>NW_018654717.1:3954880-4256461 GCF_000001405.40 Homo sapiens
TTACTTGAGCTCAGGAGTTCAAGACCAGCCTGGGCAACATAGCAAGACCCCCTCTCTAAAAAAAAAATGTAGCCTGGCCAATATTGATGAAATCCTGTCTCTACAAAAAGTTTATATATATATATATATATATATATATATATATATATACACACACACACACACGTACATATATATACCTATGTATGTGTGTGTGTGCATATAGATATATGTAGATATATAGATATAGATAGATATAGATATAGATATATATAGATAGATATATATAGATATAGATATATATAGATATAGATATATATAGATATAGATATAGATAGATATATAGATATAGATATATAGATATATAGATATATATAGATAGATATAGATATATAGATATATATAGATATATATAGATATAGATATATAGATATATATAGATATATATAGATATAGATATATAGATATATATAGATATATATAGATATCTGGGCATGGTGGCATGCTTGTAATCTCAGCTACTCAGGAGCTTGAGGTGGGAAGATCACCTAAGCCCAGGGAGGTCGAGGCTGCAGTGAGCCAAGATTCTGCCATTGCACTCCAGCCTTGGTGACAGAACTAGACCCTGTCTCAAAAAATAAAATAAAATAGAGCTAGTTGTGTTTCTATCATTGTAAAGTGAAAAGGTCTCCACTAATTCTCCTACCCTCAAGAATAACTAATATTAATATGAGAGGGTGTGTTGTCTTTCTCCATAAAGCTTCAAAGAAGAGGAAAGTTTCTTGCTGTTCCACCTGTTTCAACAGGGAAGCTCCTCCTTCTACAGATCTCCCTAAATTCCTTCTGTGGCAATGTAACTACAATTCCTTTGTTCTTTTCTTCAGCCAGTGTGCAAAATAGGTGGTTACCATCTTCCAAAGAGTAATCTTTGAATCCTCCAGGGAGGACAATTGTCAACAGTTAATAGGTTACCCCAAAGCTAGTTTCCTCCAGGCCGAGAATTCTAGTATAATAAATTGAGTCCTTCTCAAAGATAATTTTTTAGAATGCTTGTCTCTGAACTGTAGACTTTTGAACCTTCTCTTTTGATCTGGAAACGTAAAGGAAGCCCCCCAAAATTGGCATAGGTCTTTATTGAAAAAAACATAAAAATTCTATTACTGAAATCAAGTAAGACTAAGTAAATGCCATTGAAGTAAATAAGGCACAAAAAATTTCAGGCAGAAAAAAATACAAATATGTGTATCTATAACCTTTTTTTTGGTTCAGTTCGAAATAGTTTAAGAGCAGATGGCAGTTTTGTGGGGATGCAGTTAGTGGTTGGGTTTTGCCATCTTATCAATGTGTTGTTGTGTGAAGAAGGAGGTAAGGGGGCCTTTGATGTGTAGGAGGTGGGGGCTCTATGGGGCTCCTCACTGCTTGAGGCTCCTCACGGCTCTTTGGGGCTCTTCAAAGCTCATAAGTAGAGGCTTGGTTCCTCCCAGGTTCTGTAGAAATAAGCATTTCGGGAATCAAGCCAAAATCTGGGCTTGGTGGCTCATGCTTGTAATCCCTGCACTTTAGGAGGCCAAGGTGGAAGGAGCATTGAGGCCAGAAGTTCCAGACTAGATTGGGCAATATGGTGAGACCTTGTCTGGACATTTTTTTTTTTAAATTAGCAGGCCGTTGGGGCACACTTGTAGTCCCTGCTACTTGGGAGGCTGAGATGGGAGGATCACTTCATCCTGGGAGGTTGAGGCTGCAGTGAGCTATACTTTGCCACTGCATTCCAGTCTGGGCCTCAGAATGAGACCCCATCGCAACCAAAAAAAAAAAAAAAAAAAGAGAGAGAGTGAGAGAATCAAGCCAAAAAGACTAGAATTCCTAAAAGCATGTCTCATACCAGGAAGCTTTAATTAAAGTGGGGGAGGTACCGATTTCCTTAAAGAAAGACCTCTGTTAAAGATCTATTTGTGACATTAATGAATATGCTATTACTTCAAAAGCCCTTTGGACAAGACCCAAAATTTTACCATGAGGTCCTTTCTTCTGTCTTTAGCCTAGGAACACGATTCAAAATCCTTTAAATAGAAAACTTGTTAGGTTTTTAAAGAGAATTCTTCTCTCAGTAAAATAATGTTCAGAACAATTAACTTTTAATTTTCTTTAATTACTTTTAAACATGCATAAGTTCTCAAACACCAAAATAACACTGTGCTCCAGGGAATCCTGGGGGTCGGGTGGAGGCAGGGGGCTTGGTCCTCAGATGAGCTGCATTGCAGATAATCAGCAAATCTCGCATGCATGTTCCCCAACAAACCAGTTAACAAAAGTCAACTCTTCCTTGTCCTCCCCATTTCCCCTCTTACCTAGTGTCTAAATATAATTCAATCATAGTTTGAGTAACTTAATTAAATTACCACCACTATCTTCAAAAACAGTATCTATCCCTGGTTAGCTAAATTACTTGAGGCAAATTGATCATGTAAAAGTGGCTTGCATTTCTGTTTGCACATTCACTTTACCTGGGGGAGCTTTTAAAAAAAATACCAATATCCTGGTTTCACTCCCAGAGCTTCTTTCTTTTTTAATAGGGATGGAAGGGAGGGCAGTAGCTATTAGTGTTTTTTTTTAAAGATCTGCACAATTTTAACCTGCAGTCAAGGTTAAGAGTCACTGATTTAGAGACTGAAATAGATCAATCGTGGGTTTAAAACCAACTCATCAGGAAGCAGTATGGTGTCCCAGGAAGAGCATGAGAATCAGAGCCCGGTGTTTTAATCCTGTCTTTGTTCACTGGGCTCGATCAGTGCACACAGCCTCTTTGTGCATCATTTCCTCATTGGTAAAAATGGGATAATTATGCCCACCTTACAGGGTTATTTTGAAGGAAAAAAGCACCTGGCATGTGACAGGACCTTTACAGCAAGATCTGCTATTTATGTAGCATTAACTCTTCCTGGAAAAACCATGTTCTCCCCTGTTCCTCTTAGTTGCCTCCTTGTGCCAACAGGAATCCAAATCCACACTGTTTCTGTAGACCCTGAATTCTCTGAATGTGGATGGATGGCACCCAAAGCTACACTAAGGTTGCAGTGTCTTAGGGTTTCGAACACTTGTTACTTCCCATGCTTTGCTGAGAACACCTGAAGTAGCGTGGCTCAGTGAAATAAGCCTGAAGGTCTGAGTTCAGCTTCCCTACAAACGTACTGTGTTACTATGTCTGTTACTATGGAAAAATTATTAACTAACTCCCATCCCCACTGTGTCTTAATTGGTAAAATAGGATTCGACTAGATGATCTCCCAATTTTCTTTTAATAATCAGAGTCTGTCACGCCTGTGGTCCCAGCACTTTGGGAGGCCGAGGCAGACGGATCAGGAGGTCAGGAGACAGAGATCATCCTGGCTAACATGGTGAAACCCCGTCTCTACTAAAAATACAAAAAAAATTAGCCGGGCGTGGTGGCGGGCACCTGTAGTCCCAGCTACTCAGGAGGCTGAGGCAGGGGAATGGCGTGAACCCGGGAGGCGGAGCTTGCAGTAAGCCGAGATTGCACCACTTCACTCCAGCCTGGGCGACAGAGAAAGACTCCGTCTCAAAATAATAATAATAATAATAATAATAATAATAATAATAATCAGAGTCTATAAGCTTTAAAGAGACTGTACGATCCAAGCCAGAAAAGCCTGCACATATTTTTACCTGCCTACAGGAGAAAATAGTGCCCAAGCAGCTGCTGCAATGAGGAGGTTCCATGAAGGGAGTAGATTTATCTTCTGGAAGGCTGATTCTTTTGTAATCAATAATGGAAAGCAGTTCTACCCTGACTTTTGGCTTGAGAACAGCATACACGAGTCTCCCAATCAGTCTTGATGGAGAGTAAGGTCTCACGATTGATCTTAGGCTCAAAATGAGACCACATCAGAGCCTCCAGAGAGACTGAGCTTTCTGGTTGCCAGAAAGGGACTTTACTGAATCCACAGGATGTAGAGATTAAATTACCCATGCAAGATTTTGGACTAAAATTGTCAGGGCAGGTTGCACTTTAGAGGCTCTCTGGGTCCATTGTTTTCAAACTGAACATGCATCAGCATCACCTGGAGAGCTTGTTAAATCTCAGATTCCTGGACCCCACCCCCAGAGCTTCTGCCTGAGGTGGTCTGGGATGGAGCCTGAGGCTTTGCTTTTCTAACAGGTTCCCAGGTGATGCATGTGGTACAGGTGGTGCTGGTCCTAGGATCTCACTTTTAAAAGCACTGCTTTAGATTTCACTCCACAAACTTCTGGGTTGCTGTGTTAGTCTATTCTCACATTGCTATAAAGGGACCCCTGAGGCTGAGCAATTTATAAAGAAAAGAGGTTTATTTGGCCCATGGTTCTGCAGTCTGTACAAGCTTGGCACCAGCATCTATCTGTCCAGCTTCTGGTGAGGTCTGAGGAAGCTTTTACTGATAGCGGAGGGTGAATGGGGAGCAGGGGTGTCACCTGGTGAGAGATGAAGCAAGAGTTAGAAGGGAGGAGGTGCCAGGTCCTTTTAAACAGCCAGCTCTTGTGTAAAGTAATAGAGCAACAACTCACTCATTACCAAGGGGAGGGCACCAAGCCATTCATGAGGTATCCAAACACCTCCCACTAGGCTCAGCTCCACCATTGGAGTCACATTTCAACCTGAGATTTGGAGGGGGTACTTATTCAAACTATATCAGTTGTTAAGAATCACCTGGAACATTTGTTAAAAACACCAATTCCCAGGTCCCTCCTGATTTAGCAGGGAGAGTCTGATTTAGTAGATTTACAGTGTGGCCCAGGCTGTTCTTATCATCAGGGGCCATGAGGAAACCCTGAGTCAATCAACTACCCATTAATTGCATTAGAGTCACTTGGGGAGATTTCAAAACTCTGAAATGCTGATCCCTGGGACCTAGTCCCAAGACTCTAATTCTGAAGAATGGAGCTGGAAGAGACTGCATTTTTAAAGCTTCTCAGACGACTCTGATGTGTAACTAAGTTCTCTCATTTTGTAGATGAGGACCCTAGGGAGGGTAAGGCATTGCTCGGAGCTACTGGCAGAAGCAGAGCTAGGACCCACATGGCCTAAATCCCTGTGCTCAGTCCACACTACCATATTCCTTCTTGTCTTGAAACTGTCCCCACAGGGTTGCTGAAAACTGCATGCCAGGTTCTAGACAGAAACAGAGTTATAATAAATCATCATTCAGGCTTCACTCCGATCCACTTCCTTCTTGCTAAGTCATGCAGCACTAGATTAACCCATTTGCATCCCCGTTGTTCATATAGACAAGACCTCTGACATTAGACTCCTAAGGCTTTTGTTTAAGGATTGCTTAAGATGTTTTTCAGATCCTGAATTCCAGCAACCCGTTTAAAGACCCCAACAGAGGAATGGGACCAGCATGAGAATACAGTTTCTTCATTTCCCTGTCCCAAGATTTTGCTCTGCCCTCTTCGACTAAACAGTGAGCACACTTCAGCCCACTCCAAAACTCTTAAAAACCCTAACTTCAAAATCCTTGAGGAAATGGATTTAAGGCTCCCTCTCATTTCCTCATTCAGTGACCCTATGATTAAGCCTCTTTCTTTGCTGCAACCCAGTGTCTTGGTGTATTGACTTGCCTTGTGCCCTGGGCGATGAACCTATTATGGTTATAGTCTGGTCAGTCAGAGACAGTGGCTGTTTCCTCTGCCGTTGACTTTCAAATGGAGAAGTCCAAGGAATTGGATATTACACCAAGATCCAACACTAGCTCTCTGACACCAACTGGAAGTCTCACAATTCAATTCTAACATTGACTACTCTGAGTTAGTGTCAGATCCCACAAGTTAAAGGGCAAAGTCTCCAGCAAGACCGCCTTTACCTCAGATGCCAGTCACAAATGTGGTCCCCAGGATACCCACGCTTCTCTCAGATTTGACTACAAATTTGCATCTTCCCAGTATACAACCCCTCAAGTTTGATAACTTGTTAGAATGACACAGAACTCAGGAAAGCACTATACTTTGGATTACTGTTTTATTATAAAGGGCACAAATGAATAGCCAGATGAAGAGATACACAGGGCAAGGTCTGGAAGGGTCCCCAGCCTAGGAGCTTTGGTGTTCATGGAGCTGGGGTGCACCATCCTCCTGGTACATTGATACATTCACCAGCCAGGAAGCTCTGTTGCACTGCAGTGTCCAGAGTTTTTATATGGCTTTCACTGTGTTGTCATGATTGATTAAATTATTGGCCATGTAATTAAACTTAATTTCTGATTGCTGTCTCCTCCACCGAGGTTGGGGGAAAGGCTGGAGCTTCCAACCCTCCAATCACATGCTTGGTCTTTCTATTAATAGCATGACCAGCCCCTCCCTTTCAACTCTCTAAGGGCCCACCACCAGTCACATTAACGTAAGTTCAAACGTAGTCAGAAGGGTCTTGTTGTAAATAACAAAAGACACTCCTGTTGGGAAATTCCAAGTATTTTCGAAGGTCTGTCCAGGAACTGGGGACAAAGACCAGATATATTTTTTATGATATCACATGCACCTGCATCCTCCCAATCTCAGCCTCCCTTGGAACACAGCTTCTTAGATTCTCATCTTCCTGTCCCTCACCATTTACAGGGAGTAGAGCAGATTCAAATGCAGATTGAACAGCTGCTCAGCTCAAAAAAAAAAAATTCTCTTTGCCTACACAGAAACAGCCTCTGGGTTCCAGTTCTGCTTAGCCCCTTGAGCAGCATTTTCTCTCTAGATGTGCATAAGGGATTTGGCTTCTGGCAGGCCAGGTCCCACCTGTAACTTGCTCATTCCAAGTAACACAGTTCAGAGAGCTCTGCATCTTGGTTAATAATACTAACTTTTGCTGGGGGGTGATGGTGGCTCACGCCGGTAATCCCAGCACTTTGGGAGGCCGAGGCAGGCGGATCACGAGGTCAGAAGATGGAGACCATCCTGGCTAACACGGTGAAACCCTGTCTCTACTAAAAATAGAAAGAAAAAAAAATTAGTCAGGCATGGTGGTAGGCGCCTGTAGTCCCAGCTACTTGGGAGGCTGAGGCAGGAGAATGGCATGAACCCAGGAGGCGGAGCTTGCAGTGAGCCGAGATTGGGCCACTGCACTCCAGCCTGGGGGACAGGGCAAGACTCCATCTCAAAAAAAAAAAAAAAAATTAGTGATAATAATACCTAACTTTTGTTTATTGCATTACTACTTTCAAAATACTTTACATTTCTAAGTTAGGCTCCACAATGAACAACGCTGTGAGACAGGCAGGAAAATGTAATAATAATTTCCTTATTTTTTATTCAACAAACAACAAGTGCTTACTGTGGATGTGCTTAGCACAATTCTAGCTACCGAGAGACAAACAGGAACAAAATGTGGTCCTTGCTCTCATCAGATTGGGAAACCATAGTTCAGATAAATGGATTGACACCTGCTCAAAGCCAAGCAGATCTTCCGACTCTTTACCTAGTGCTTTTTCTGCTACACGGTGCTAGGAGCAGGAGCCTTTCATTAGAAAAGTTTCGGGGTTAGGCTGACAAAGTGTGAGGTGTGCCAAGGGGACCTGTGCAGGACATAGTGAGTGCCTCTCTAGGGTGCACAGACCCCAGGTGGCTTTCCCGTTGTTTTAGCTTCCTGTGGCTATTATTGTAAAAAAATAAAATAAAAAAATAAAAATAAAATGACCACAAACTTGACGGTTTAAAACAACAAAAATTTGGTCTTTCCCAGCTCTGGAGGCCAGAAGTCTGAAATCAGTGTCACTGGACTGAAATCAAGGTTTCAGCAGAGACCTTCAGCAGGGTTGCACTTTCCCCAGAGGCTCTCAGACAGAGTCTGTCCTCTGCCTCATCTGGCTTCTGGTGGCTGCTGGCATTCCTTGGGTTGTGGCCACATGGCTCCAGTCTTTCAAGCCAACATTGTAGAAATTTTTCCTGTTCCATATTCACTTCACCGTGTGTGTCTGTAAAATTTCCCTCTGCTCTCTCTTATAAAGATATTTCTGATGGTATGCAGGGCCCACCTGGATAATCAAAGGCTCTTTTTCCAAATAAGATAACATTTACAAGTTCCAGGGATCATTTGTGACTATTATTCAGCTTACTACACTCCTGCAAACCAAAGCACACTTTGAGAAGCAGTGATAAGCGTTTATCTTTTCATCTCCAAATGTGCTCCATGCAGAGGCCAGAACGCGGGCTCTAGAAAGAAGCATGAAAAATCCAGTCCAACACAAGTCAGGAGAGGGAAGGGCCTTTCACAGGTTACTTGTGCCAAGTTAATGGTCACAAAAGGATCTGGCCTCCTAGTTTCCAGTTTTCCAGTCTTGTGCTGTTTTGCAAAGAAGTTGAGACAGGCCAGGGACCCCTGTTGGGGGCCTGCTGGGCAATCCCCAAGCATGGAAATAAAGAGAAATTTTGAGTTCCTTCAAAGGAAACTTCAGGCACCGAGCCAGCTTTGCAAAGTAAGGGAGCAACTGATAAGCAAGAAAGCAATAATAGCCTAAAACAATAGCCAAGGAAGTTAGAGACACAGAATGTCTGGTTCCTTTATAGAAACTAAAGATAATATCTTTTTTTTTTTTTTTTTAGACTGAGTCTCGCTCTGTCGCCCAGGCTGGAGTGCAATGGCACAATCTTGGCTCACTGCAACCTCCACCTCCCGGGTTCACGTGATTCTCCTGCCTCAGCCTCCCTAGTAGCTGGGATTACAGGTGCCTGCCTCTACGCCCGGTTAATTTTTTTTTTTTTTTTTTTAAATAGAGACAGGGTTTCCCCACGTTAGTCAGGCTGGTCTTGAACTCCTGACCTCAGGTGATCTGCCTGCCTTGGCCTCCCAAAGTGCTGGGATTACAGGAGTGAGCCACGGTGCCCGGCCAATAACATCTTAATATGTCTCCCTGAGTTGTTTCTTAGAAACAACTTAGAAACCCAGACCTCTACCAAATGGACCCACTGGTGCACAGACCTCAGATGAGGGGGAACAAAGGACTGAAGTCTGACTATGATTCTTTATTCTAAATTTCTTCCTGAGGGGCCTGGAGGGAGCCACACCCACAGGTCAGAATTTAACGTTCCTTTCTGCTAACCCCAAGTTTTTAGATAAAGCTTCCCTTCCTTAACCAATTGCAAATCAGAGAATCTCTGAATTCACCATCCACCTGCGGCCTCACTTTGAGATGTCCCACCTTTATAGGTCAACCACTGTATTGATTTATGACTTTGCCTGTTATTTCTGCCTCCCCACCTTTAGTGGAAGCCATTGAGGAGTTCCGGTCTTAAGCAGTAGCTGCCTGATTCTCCTTGCTTAGTGACCTGTAATAAATGCCTCACCTTTTCTCATTGCAAATCCTGATGTCAATGTTTGGCCTTGCTGCACCAGGTGGGCAGACCCGAGTTTGCTTCAGTAACAAAGTTTTCCACTGAGATCAGGAATATGCACTCTTTACATATATGAGCCCCTCCCCTCTGCACTCACTCGCCTCCTGGGACTCTCTCCAAAGGCTGCTACTAGGGTGCTGATGTGAGGGCAGAGGAGATGGAGGGTGGGCAGAAGAGGTGAGCAGGAGGTCACAGCCTGGTTGGGGACTGAAAGAGGGCAGAGAGTGGACACTGTCCCTCTGGCATAGGGAAGATCCTCGGTCTGGTCCAAGGATGGTCCAGAGACCACTGCCAACTATTCCTTCCCCCTCCATCTCTAAGCAGTTCTGCAACAGACCTTCCCAAGGGAGCTGGTTCACAGCCTCCCCACAGAATCCCAGGCTGCCAAGGCTGATAAGAGCCCAGAGCAAAGGCATTGCCACGTCTCATTAGAGCCAGGCTGCAAGGTAAGGGCTCTGAGATTGCAGAGATCAGGGAGCCTTTGAAGTGCAAATTCAGAACTGCTGAAGGGCCTTGGCTCTTTAAAGGCAGATTCCTCTTAGAGACTGGTTAGATGAAAACTCTGGAAGTTTCATGTCATATAGCATAAAAGCCAAATACTAGCAGGGAGCTTGCCTGAAAGGATAAATACAACTGGAAGAAAGCCATCCTCTTTCTTAAACTAGCTGCCCCTGCCTGCATGGCTGCTAGCAGCCTAGCGATTCTCTGCCCTGCAGGCTGAGTCTCCATTCTCAATGGAGGACAATGAGTGCTCCATCATTCCTGATAGCCAACCAGTTGGCAAATCTTAGAGACTTGCTCTCTGCAATTCAATTCACATCAGTCGTTTCCTTGTACCACTGCCCTGTTTATGGTCCGCATTTACTACTCCTCATCTTTATTTTAATTACAAAAATAGCACATGCTTGTTTCAGAAGGGGCCAAGAGCCAAGGAATGGAAGGAGTGAAGTTCTAGAAGCTGGAAAAGACATGAAAGCAAGTTCTCCCCTGGAGCCATCTTGATTTTGGACCAGTGAAACTGGTTTTGGACTTCTTACTCCAGAACTGTAAGAGAATAAATGTATGCTGTTTTAAGTCACCACCTTTGTGGTAATTTGTTACAGCAGCCACAGGAAACTAATACAGGTTGTTTACAACTTTTCAGAATTATAAATATTTTATTATCTTCTAAATCTTGGTAGGAACCCGTGACTCCAATTTCCCATGGCTTCAGTCTGTCCTAAGCAGCCACTCCTCTGCTCCAGGGCCTGTAATGATTCCCCTACTGCTGGAAAGTGAAATCCAAACTCTTTAGCTCAAAGACCCTCCACAACCAGCCCCAACCCACTTTTCTAGCCTTAAAATCAGCTTTTTGTTCTATGACCACAACACTCTCCAAATGCACTTTGTACATTCATTGCTGGCTCACAAAATTTTCTGTCTATGAAATGGTTTCCTTAGCCCTTAGCCCTTCTCTGCAGATGGCTTGAAGCTCCAGCTCAAATGAGATCTCTTCCTATTAAGGTCCCTCTTTGTCCTCCACCCACACCCAACAGGATGTTATTTTTGCCTTCAGTGAACATGCATAACACTTTGCATCTCTTTCCTGGCAAATATCAATTCCATCTTGTGTTTGAGTTATACATTTACGTATTATGTGCCTAGCACTTAAACAATTTGCTGAATTATTTGTTTATTAAATATTTGCTGAATTGAATTGAAATGTGAACTATGCTATGTAGAGAAGAAGGCCTACTTCCTCCTTGTGTTCTACTTTGATATGGTAAGATGGAATCACCATTGATTTAACAATTTATTTTTATTTATTTATTTTTTTTTTTGAAGGAGTCTCGCTCTGTCACCCAGGCTGGAGTGCAGTGGCACGATCTTGGCTCACTGCAAGCTCCACCTCCTGGGTTCATGCCATTCTCCTGCCTCAGCCTCCCGAGTAGCTGGGATTACAGGTGCCTGCCACCACGCGTGGCTAATTTTTTGTACTTTTAGTAGAGATGGGGTTTCACCATGTTAGCGAGGATGGTCTCGATCTCCTGACCTTGTAATCTGCCCACCTCGGCCTCCCAAAGTGCTGGGATTACAGGCGTGAGCCACTGCGCCCGGCCCAACAATTTTTTTTTATTTTAATTATTCTGAGTGTATAATAGTTGTATAAACATAATTGATTTTAACAACAAAAGATGGTCATTAGAAATGGCCAAGTAAAGTAGGCTTAAATTATGATTCTGGTTTTTCAAACCTAATCCTTCATTTATTGCGCCTTTAGAGATGCAAGAATAAATGTGATGGCAGTTCATGAGGAAAGAACTGGAGAATATGAGCTGACCGCAAAGTCAACAGTGATTTCCCACTGTGATTCCGTTGTTGAAAACGCTAATACCATCTCAGGCTGCACTTACAAGAGTGCAAGTCCAGAACGAAGAGGACATTGCCTCATGGTTCTTTCAGATGCATCTTCTGTGGGAGATCTGATCAATGTGGTCACTGTGTTTTTCAGACCTGGTAGAGCCTCAGAATAACCTGTGAAGCTGTTAAAAAAAAATACAGACTTCTGGCTGGGTGCAGTGGCTCATGCCTGTAATCCCAGCACTTTGGGAGGCTGAGGCGGGTGGATCACCTGAGGTCGGGAGTTCGAGACCAGCCTGACCAACATGGAGAACCCCATCTCTACTAAAAATACAAAATTAGCCAGGCACAGTGGCATATGCCTGTAATCCCAGCTACTCGGAAGGCTGAGGCAGGAGAATCACTTGAACCTGGGAGGCAGAGGTTGCAGTCAGCCAAGATTGCGCCACTGCACTCCAGCCTGGGCAACAGAGCGAGATTCCATCTCGAAAAATAAAAAACAAAAGATAAACAAACAAAAAAAAATGCAGACTTCTGCATTCCACCTCCAAGAAATTCTGAATTCGTTGGTTGGGAGAAAGCCTAGGAATTTGTATTTTAACCAGTACAAATTATTGGAGGCTCACTGGTCTAAACAAAAACTCAGGTTGTTTTCAATGATGGGACTCTATTATTCAGAATATTGTGTCCAGTTTCTGGTTCCAGAGTCTCAAGCTCCCTGATTATTGCCTGTGCTGGGTCTCATCAAAATCAATCCCAAGTGTTGGTCTTTGATGCTGTACCTACTGAGAAACAAACGGAGCAACAAATCAATTGGCTAGCAGGGAAGGTCTGGGGTTTCAACTAACTGGTTATTTTTTGGTTAGTCACTGTCTTAGTCCATTTGTGTTGCTATAAAGGAATACCAGAGACTGGGTAATTTATAAAGAAAAGAGGTTTATGTGGCTCACTGTTCTGCAGGCTCTACAAGAAGCATGGTATCAGCATCTGCTTCTGATGATGCCTCAGGCTGCTTCCACTCAAGTTGGAAGGAAAAAGGGAGGCTGCATGTGCAGAGATCACACGGAGGAGGAGGAAGCAAAAGAGAACGTGAGTGGAGACGCCAGGTTCTTTTTAACAATCAGCTCTACAGGGGACTAGTTGGGCAAGAACTCATTCGTTCCCCTCTACCCCTGTCTCCTGAGGGGCATTAATCAATTCGGGAGGGACCCACCCCTGTGACTGTAACACCTCCCATTAGGCCCCACCTCTAACACTGAGGATCGCATTTCAACATGAGGTTTGGGAGACACAAATCCAAACTATAGCAGTCACTTAATGCACTAAGCCTCAGTTCCTCCATCAGGAATGTGGGCTGTAATTCACAAGCTCCAGCCACGTGACTGATTTCAAAGAGAGGAATGAAACAGGCCTAGACTATTATGACAGCAGAGGAGCCACCAAAGACAAAAATACCTCAGTGTTACCAGTAGTCTTGTGTGTGTGGTGGTGATAAGATCCTCAAGTGACCGTGGCGCGGGTAGAACTGGTACCTTGTCTGAGTTGATCCTATATTCTAGAAGGAGATCTGAATGATTCAAAGCAGTTACATTGCCCATAACCCTTCCTTCACCCCAGAGGCAGAGCCATTCCCACCGCCTGCGGTGGAAGCAGTGGAAGTGGTGGGGAGAGCCAAGGCCATGGGTCACAAGGCTCTGCCCCTGTCACACTGTCCATCCTGATTTCAGAGATTTACCGCTGGCACCTACATTAACAAAGCCATTGGAAGAGCCCAGTCCAGACAGATGACCAGGAGGAAGGAATCATTTCTCAGCCTTAACGCTATTTGTTGATCTTGTGCCCACTGTCATTAACCTCTGAGAGTGAAAGCAGGCTGCTCCATTACATTTTCTGATCACCCACTTTATGGCATCGTTAAAATTAATAGAGCACTCATCTCAGCACATAACGAGCAGACCGTGTTGAGGAGGCAGTGTTCCTGGAAAAATACTGGCAGAGGCCCCGAGTGTATGTTCACTGTCAGCGTGGTACAGCCCGGGCCCAGGTCCCACGCAGGTGCTGAGAACAGCTGGGAACCTTAGCTAAGACAATTGTACTGTTAAAATGGGCACTATGCATTCTCAGCCCCATTGCTCCTTGGTAGAAGGCACTGCTGAGCTGAAGCAGTACTTGGAGTCAGAGAGGAGAAAATAAGACAATTTGCACACTGATTTCTTTTGGGTTAAAGAGGAAGTGGAGGGTTTCTGTTTGGGATGATAGAAAAGTTCTGGAAATGGATGTTGGTGATGGTTGCCCAGCATTGTTCAATATACTTAACACCACTGAACTGTATACTTAAAAACGGTTAAAAGTTTTCTGGGTAACTTTTAAGTTATATGTGTTTTATCACAATTTTTTTCAAAAAAGAAAGTGGGTCAGCTCATTCATAGACAAGGTTGAAGGTAGCTAAACACTTGCCACTATGTTCCTTCTTGATTTTAAATGTCACACTGAACACATAACCCTCTGACCTCTTGGTAGAGTTGACTTATCTTGGGAACAGTGACAAAAGCTGCCTCTTATTGTAGGGACCATACATGTGCTTTTGCTGATTCTAATTATGGGGCATTTGAGAGCAAAGGGGGCTTCTCCAAACACTTGAGTAATTTTCAGAAAGGCTTGAACCCTGGCTGGGTGCGGTGGCTCATGCCTGTAATCCCAAAACTTAGGGAGGCTGAGGCAGGCGGATCATCTGAGGTCAGGAGTTTGAGATCAGCCTGGCCAACATGGTGAAACCCCATCTCTACTAAAAATACAAAAATTGGCCAGGTGTGATGGTGTGCGTCTGTAATCCCAGGTACTCGGGAGGCTGAGGCAAGAGAATTGCTTGAATCTGGGAGGCAGAGATTGCAGTGGGCCAAGATGGGGCCACTGCACTCCAGCCTGGGCGACAGAGACAGACTCTACCTTAAATGAGAGAGACAGAGAGAGAGAGAAAGGCTTGAACCCTTTTTAAGACAGGAGTAATACAGCCTAGTTGCAGGACAATAGAAAATTCCAGGCAACAGTTTTACATGACTAGCAAAAGGAAACTATTAAAATAGCTGCAGAAGCTAGGAACGGCTAAGACCCTGAAAAACCAGCGTGTGCACCAAGCTGGCTAAGACTGACTGGACCAAATGTGGTGCTGGACTTGAGCCAGGTTTCACCTAGGACCTCACCTTCTGCTCATTAACATCCTAAATCACACATTCACCAGTGCCATAACAGTTTCAGGAACAACCATATTTGGTGTAAAAATGGGCAGCACCACAATTCCGAGAAATCTCCATGTTTTTCTAGGAATTTTCATGAATCTTCTACCCCTTGGTTAAAGAAAACTATAAAGGCAACAGCCCCAAACCCCCTTGGTGGATCTCTCTCTTGAGTACACCTGCATCCCCTTTTTATGAGTGTGTGCTATTCTCTTTGCAATAAATCTCTGTACTTTCACTAATATTTCCCAATTCATCTTTGAATTCATTCTTAAAATGGTGTCAAGATCCTGGACACTGGTTGGGGTTGAGGTTCCAACAGCATTTGGGGACCTCCCCCAGACTACTAGTGTCACTTTTATCCTCTGAAAGATAGATAAAAAAGCATTTGTCCCTGGCGTAGACCATCCTATTTTTCCTATGGAAATAATAAACAATTCATCCTAGTTAGTATAGATAATATATTGTTTCTACGCCAACTCGCCATTTGTCTTTCTCTTCCAGAACTGAATACTTCAATAGAGTGCTGGACTAGGAAAGGACTTTTGAATTTCTGGCCCAGATTCACATCCCTCTGTTAAATTAAGTTTAGCCTAAAGCTGCCTCCTTACATATTTTAACGTCAGCCTAAAGGTTTCTCCACACATTGTGAACTATTACCTAACTGGACGTGTGACCAGTCAGGTACTACTCTTTTGCCAGTCACCAAGTTTTGGCCAATCAAAGATAGCCAGCTATTCAAACCATGTTCAAATAAGGCAAACGCTGAGCTCTAACCAATCCAGCTGTTTCTGTACCTCACTTCCATCTTCTGCACATCACTTTCCTTTTTCTCTCCATACATCCTCTGCAACCACAGCAGAGTCTCTCTGAACCTACTGAGGTTCAGGGGACTGCCCAGTTCATGCATTGATTTGCCCAACTAAAACTCTGTTAAATGTAATTTGTCTAAAGTTTTTCTTTTATCACCTCTGCCATATTTAGGCCTCTGAATGTCTTCACCATCCAGAGACAGATAAAATGTAAAGACTGAAAGAGGCCTGAAGTGTCCACCTCTATGAAACCCCGTGCAATGCCTGTCAAATGGTCACGGTCTTTGGTCAGACACCTCTGGCCTGGCTTTCTCTTTGAGAAAAGTCACACCCTGTAACTATTACTCATCCTACATCCTCAGAGAGCCTGCCGACATAAATAAGAACTCAGACATAAATTAGGTTTCAGACACCAATAGATTTTTTAAGTATCTTCCACCAATCTCTGTATCTCTACTGGCTTTAGATTGGGTTATTTTAATCTTCCAGGAAGATGTTTGTAGGTTCAGAAATTTCAGATCAATTCACGTTTTCTACTTGCAGTTTCTAGCTCGAAATCACGTATGGAAGCTGAGTCACCTCCGTTTCTCCTGGAGCCCGAGCTGGCTGTCACCGAGACCTTGCTCATTATGCAGACTCATTCACATGCATACCCAAAGCAACACTTGACGGTTGTGGAAGATTTCCATCCTCACAGGTCATGAAATGCGTCTCCACCGGAATACTGGTTGTTTATCACCTACACTAACGATTTACAATGGCCTAAGTGTTGTATTCCTAGTGACTGTAGTCTGAATCAAAAACTCCTGCCCTGAAGCAAGGACAACTTCTTTATTCACATGGAGAATGATAGCAGGGAAAAGGCAAAAATTTAACAATAACGAAGAAAAATCCCTCTTTTTCTATGTGCAGAATAAAAATCTTATTAAAATAAGACCTTTCAAGTGCTTCCTTTCACTGTTCATTTGGGAAGGTATTTCACAGACGGTATGAACACCCTGAAATGTTGCCCGGTCTGAAATATTTTATCTGCAGCTTTAGAAGAACAAAGGGTAAAACATATGGAAAGGAGAAACCAGCAGTAGACGGCACAGCTAAGGACAGGGACAGGAATGCAAATTATGATTCTTGTCTCAAAATATTTCTGGTCAGTTTCTACCCACCGAGGGCCATCTCTGGGTGCAGGGTAGAGACTGCATATGGGGTGATTAAGGGCCCTGTGATTTCTTGACACCAACACAGAACTGCGAGCTTTGCAAGTCCTTGCCTTTTATCAAAGACACACTTTTTTTTTTTTTTTTTGAGACGGCGTCTCGCTGTGTCGCCCAGGCTGGAGTGCAGTGGCGCGATCTCGGCTCACTGCAAGCTGCGCCTCCCGGGTTCACGCCATTCTCCTGCCTCAGCCTCCCGAGTAGCTGGGACTACAGGCACCCACCACCATGCCCAGCTAATTTTCTTTTGTATTTTTAGTAGAGACGGGGTTTCACCGTGTTAGCCAGGATGGTCTTGATCTCCTGACCTCGTGATCCACCTGCCTCGGCCTCCTAAACTGCTGAGATTACAGGCGTAAGCCACCACGCCTGGCCCAAAGACACACTTTTAAAAGAAATGAGGAAGGTGGATTTTCATTTTTGCAAAGTCATCGTTGGGATAGGTAGAATTGTGTTTCCCCAAAGTTTGAATGTTAAAGTCCTAACCCCCAGTACTTCACAACGCAACCTTATTTGGAAAAAGGTGATTGTAAATGTAATTGATAGATGATACTGGAATAGGGTAGGCCCCTAATCCAGTATCAGTGGTGCCCTTATAAAAAAAAAAGGGGAATTTGGATACAGAGACAGAGAGAAGACCTTGTGAAGACACAAGAAGATGCCATCTACAAGGAACACCAAAGATTCCCAGAAAGCCACCAGAAGTAAGGAGAGAGGCATGAAACTGATCTTCCCTCACAGCCCTCGGAAGGAACCAGCCCTCTTGACACCTTGATCTTGGACTTCTACCCTCTTGAACTGTGAGAAAATACATTTCTGTTGTGTAAACTACCCAGCTTCTGGTTTTTTGTAACGGTAGCCCTAGAAAACTAACACAGTGGTCAAACTGAAAGCATTTATTTCAGTGTATTGTTTTTGCAAAGTCGTAGAAGCTGCAATACCTAAAAGTACAATTTTATTTTCAAAGCATTATGACTAGAAATATTTCTTACTATCTTGATTTCTATTCTATTGCTCATACACACTCCTCATGCACACATGTAGATTTGTATATAATTCATAGAGTCTTTCTCTATTCCTGATTCCTTATGTTTGGAATTCCTATTCTTAGCCCTTAAAAATATTTCCAAAGACTTCCTTTCTTAGATTCCTTCCTTCCTTCCTTCCTTCCTTCCTTGCTTCCTTCCTTCTGCCTTCCTGCCTGCCTTCCTGCCTTCCTTCCTAACTTCCTGCCTTCTTACCTGCCTGCCTTCCTGCCTTCCTGCCTGCCTGCCTTCCTTCTTTTCTTTCTACTTTTTCTTTCTTTCTTGACTTTATTGCTTATTGCAGCTGAAAATGTTCTCTCACAAAGATGCACAGAGCCAGATGGAACAAAAACCTCTTTAGATGCTCATTTTCATTCCACTCCATCGATTGTGTAAAGGTTTTTGTTTAAATTGTGCTGGTAATTTTTGTTTTCTCTGATATCAAGAAGTTTCTCTTCCTAACTGATCACAAGGTGCAGTAGCTCTCCCTTATCCATGGGAGATGCTTTCCAAGACCTCCAGTGGTTGCCTGAAACCTCGGATAGTACCGAACCCTATATAGAGTATGTTTTTTCCTGTACATTTATATCTATGATAAAATCTATCAGTTATGCACAGTAAGAGAATAACAACAACAATAATAAAATAGAACATTTATAACAATACGGTGTACTAAAAGTTACATGAATATGGTCCTCTTTTTCTCAAAACGTCTCACTGTACTGTACTGCGGGTAACTAGAACCACAGGAAGTAAAACCACAGATGGTGGGGGGACTACTGGATTTCATTTTGGTGTTTTTAACAAATAGGTTAAAAACTCATTAAAACTTTTTTTGGAAGAATTTTTAACAGATTTTTTTTTGAGACAGAGTCTTGCTCTGTCGCCCAGGCTGGAGTGCAGTGGTGCGATCTCGGCTCACTGCAAGCTCCACCTCCTGGGTTCAAGCCCTTCTCCTGCCTAAGCCTCCCAAGTAGCTGGGACTACAGGCGTCCGCCACCACACCTGGCTAATTTTTTTGTATTTTTAGTAGAGACGGGGTTTCACCATGTTAGCCAAGATGGTCTCGATCTCCTGTCCTCACAATCTACCTGCCTCGGCCTCCCAAAGTGCTGGGACTACCGGCGTGAGACACCACGCCTGGCCCGTTTACAGATTTTTGATAGTTTAAGTGTAATAATATGAGAGTTTTTATATGTGACACACAGAATTTTTAAATTAAAAAAAAGAACACATAAACTTGAAAATGTTTCCAAATATTCACTTTCAAATTATTCTTTTCATAGCATGCATTTCTTCAAAAAGCATCTTCTCACAGATTGGCCATCTTCATTTAAAATCTGATAGATCATCTCTGATTTTTAAAATAACTCATCATGTGGGCAGATACAGAGCCCACTTGGCAAGTAGAATAAATGTCAGGTCTTCCTTTTTCTTGATATTCTCTTGTGCTTGCATTATTATTATCTTCAATGGACTACTCAGGTTGTTTGGACATTTTCTGGGTCAGAGTTTTCTGCAGTGATGACATAGGCAATTCCTTGAAGAAACTGTTTTAAGCCACTTGTTCATTTTGTGAGGATTAGTTTAATCTAGATAACAATACCTGTAAGTGCATTTAACTGGGAGCATGTCCAGTGCAACATTGTCCAATAACCTGATAGCCTGATAGCTCATGGCTAAGTAAGGGGCTGCCATCATTATTCTTTTTTTTTTTTTTTTTTTTTTTTTGAGACAGGGTCTTGCTCTGTCACTCAGGCGGGAGTGCAGTGGAACAATCTTGGCTTACTGCAACCTCCACTTCCCAAGCTCAAGTGAGCCTCCCACTTCAGCCTCTCTAGGAGCTGGGACTACAGGCACGTGCCACCACACCCAGCTAATTTCTGTGTTTTTGTAGAGATGGTGTTTTGCCACGTTGCCCAGGTCTTGAACTCCTGGGCTCAAGCGATCCACCTGTCTAGTCCTCCCAAAGCTCTAGAATCACAGGTGTGAGCCACTGTGCTCAGCCCATTTACATTCTTGATCAAATAATCTCCACTCTTCTCTTAAGATCCTGGGAACACTACATGGGTCCCATGATGATGTTTGGGACTTGCAGACTAAATGAGACTGCCAATTTAATGCATCTATTAATATTAGTCAAGTTAAACGTCTTAATTTTTGATAAAACTAAATGTAAGTGGAAGTTTTAGCATTTTCTCCAGCACTCCAATGGATCAGCGCTGGACATTCTGTTTGGGAGACCACTGATCTAGATCAAGGGCTGTTGGAAGGGCTGTGAAATTCTTTAATACTTAAAAAATTATTTAATTTAAAAAATTGACAGATAACATGATGTTTTCAAATATGTCTACCTTGTGGAATGGGAAAGTCAAGCTAATTAACATATGCATTACTTCGCATAAATCCTTTGATACTTTTTATTAGATTCTGCCATATTGCTTACTATAGCTTTGGGAAACACAGGGGCGATATGGATGGATCACCATTGTACAGTCAAAGAAACTCACAGGAAGGCACCCTGGTCACTTCCAAGATTGTGGACTACTGGGGCCATCTCTGTTTTATTACCTCTAATCACTAAGTGAGTCTTTGCCCCATTTTCTTAAGGCTGTGTTGTTCTTTTAGACTGGCTACAGTGGGGCTTCCAAAGATAAGACAGAATATCCCATAGCAAACAAGCTGTCAAGTTGGCCAGGGTGATTTGTTAGGATTTCTTTTTTGGCCAATTAAAAAATAGCTGTCAAAAGCACTACTTTGTAGGACTCATTAAGGTAATGTTCAAATTGTCTCTAATGGTTCTTTGACCATGATTAAGCAAAACAAATAACACAAAACAAAAATCTTCCTATTTCCCAGAGTCCTGGGTTTATCACAAATGCTATTAAGGTTACGAGTTTTGTCCTTTGATAAAAGAAGAACCACGTTTGGAAATTGTCATTACCCTTTATTTTTCAACACACACACACACACACACACACACACACACACACACACACACACTCCTACATTGGTTTGTTTCTGAGCGATGTGTAAGGGAATTAAAAAAATCCTTTGGTAAATACATATGCTAGTGTAAATGGGTAGAAGTTATTAGTTTTAAACACTTCATATAGTATGGAGTGCAAGTAACAAGGCTCCCAGCTGAAATGATTAAAAAGTGATATTGTAGAAAAAGGTGTGGTCCCAGACTTCCTGTACCAGTGTTACTTGTTGAGATTGTTCTGAATCTGCCTATTCTCAGGTTCCTCCTCCAGGATACTGACATAGCAACAACACGGATTTTTCAGGCGATTCTTAGGAACAATGGAGTTTGAGCACCATTTGGTCTAGGCTGTGTGTCAATAAAGGTATCAACTCAAGCGTGTACACACTGCAGTCTGCTGTACTGGAAATGACTTATTTATTCTACGTTCATTCACAGCTTCTGTTTATGGCATAATACCTTCTGAGAGTAGGCCATTATGACAACAATGCCTCTGTTTCCTCCAGATTCTTGGCTGTCACTATCCTGACCTACCACCTGTGTCACATCCCATTAGGTTCTGTGGATGAGGCATGGTGCTTGGCACAGACTGACACAAGTTTGGGCAAACTTGGCAGAGCAGCCTAACCCAAAGCGAAAAACAGAAATGAACCAAGATACAACCTCTGTGGAAAACCCTACTGAACAAAAGCAACTCTGTGGAGTGTCCTCTCAGCTGCAAATTGAGACAGAATTGTGGGGCAAGCTTGGCCACTGATGCAGGTGATGGGCCCGGGGCTGGGATGAACAATGGGGACAGTGATTGTTGGTTCAAAACCAGTTTCTTTGACATGCATTTCCCAGCGTGTGTTCTATAGAACACCAATCTTACCCGATGTTCCAGGACGAAAGGGTTTCATGGTTAAAACCCTCTCTTGGATATTCTCAAGTCTTTTTTTTTTTTAACTTTCCATTTTGAAATAATTACAGACTCAAAAGAAGTTGCAAAATAGTCTTGTGTATCCTTCGTCCAACTTCCCCCAGAGGGACATTTTATATAGCTGTTGTACAATGTCACCCAGGAAATTGATATGATACAGTGTCATTAACTACAGGCCTTATTCCGTTTTCAACAACTTTTACATGCATTCAGCTGTGTGTGTATGTGTATAGTTTGCTGCACTTTTATGCTGTGTGTAGATTTGTGGAACCACATCATCACAAAGTGGCTCCCTTGTACTATCCCTTTGTATTCATCCGCTCTTTCCATCCCTGTCCCCTGGCAACTCTAATCTGCTCTAATCTTTACAGTTTTGTCATTTCAAGAACATTGTATATATGGAGTTATATATGGACTCACACAGGTATGTAAAATTTTGAGATGGGCTTTTTCCACTAAGCACAATGCCCTTTAAGATAGGTCCAGGTTGTTGCATGCATCAATAGTTTGTTCCTTTATGTTGTTGAGTAGTATTCCCTGGCGTGACTCTACCATGGTTAGTTTAATCATTCATCATTGAAGGACACTTGGATTGTTCCCAGTTTGGGGTGATTATAAGTAAAGATATGAACATTCAGGTACAAGTTTTTATATGGACATACGTTTTCATTTTTCCAGAATAAATGTCCAAGAATATAATTGCTTGGTTGAATGGTAGTTACACATTTAACTTAATAAGAAACAGCCAATGCACTGTTTCAAATTCCCACCAGGCACGCATGAGAAATTCAGTTTCTCTTCTTCTTCTCCAGCATTGTTGCTGTTTTGTAGTTGTTCTAACAGGTGTGTCGGGATATCTCATTGTAATTGTAGTTTGCATTTTCCTAATAGTTAATGATTACAAATATCTTTGCATGTTCTTATTTCATCTGTATCTCCTCTTTGGTGAAATGTCTGCTCATGTTTTTGCCCATTTGATAACTGGATTTGGGGGTTGTTTTAATTGTTGAGTTTTGAAGGTTATTTATAGATTCTAGATTCTAGTCCTTTTTCAGTTTCATGTATATCCTCCCAGGGGGTAGGATGTCTTTTATTTGCTTAACCACATTTTCCACAGCACAAAAGTTTTTCATTTTGATGAACTCTGATTTACTTTGTTTTTATGGACTGCATTTTGTTGTCATGTCTAATAATCCTTCACCTAACCCTTGGTCCTGAAGATTTTCTCTTAAGATTTCTTCTAAAAGTTTTATAGTTTTACATTTAAATCTGTTTAAATACAATATATAGTCCCAGTTTTACATTTAAATCCATGATCCATCTTAGATCACTTTGAGTTAATTTCTACATAAGCTGTGAGACTTAGGTCAAGATTTATTCTCAATGCTTTTTCATATATTAAGGGCTAATTAACATTCCAAAGTCAAAGAAATGTATTTTTAAGTTTAACCCATTTCTGAAACTTGGCCACCTATTCATGCAGCCAGTATGTATAGGGCAATTTCTGTATACAAGGTACAGGGTTGGATATTGAGAAAATGGGCAGAACCTCTGTCCTCTATGAACTGGTTTATTTTTATTCATTTCCATACATATACTATTTGTTTACACAACACCCTTGGAACTGTGTTTTGTGCAAATATTACTGAAATACCAAGGATTTGGTCTAGATTCTGCAGCTTGCTACACAGAAAGCCAGAGACCGAGAGCCAATGACTGAGACTATGAGTATTGCCAAGGAAGAAGGCTTTAATTGGGTGCTGCAGCTGAAAAGATGAGAGCTCAGCCTCAAATCCATCTCCCTGACCAACTAAAGCTAAGGATTTATATAGCAGGGAAGAAGACAGGAACTAGGAAGGGGCAAGGAAGCGATCCTGATGAATGAAGGGTCAGGCATTTCATTGTCTGGATGTGGCGATCTGGTGAGTTTCAGTTCTTTGATACTTTTTTGGGGAGGTTGAAGGTCATTTCCTGAGGAAGGAACTCCGATAAAGCAAATGTAGTTTCAAGTTTTAAGACCAGAAGGGTCAATCTCTGTGTTTATCCAAAAAACTACCTATGGGAGGATTGAGTTGGTTTCAGAATTCTTTAGGAAATTCTGCTCAAGGCAGCAGACAAACAAAGAGACTGTCAGGTATCAGTGGAAGCAAAGAGAGATGCAAAATCAGAATGGTACACAGGCAAGAGTCAGGATCTGTTAGCAATCTGCAGTCAAAAGCCAGGAAGGCAGACAGAGGAAGAGGGCTCGGGAGCTGGAGGGAGAGTGCCAGGGATCAGACATGTCTGATGGGCTTTGATGGTCAGTGCCTAGTCCAGTTTTTAAAGATCTGAGGGCCTTTTTCTTTCCTTTTTATTTGCTGGGCAATGCAATGTTAGTGTCTGGCAGGAACCAGTTAGGTTTATATACACACACACACACATTAAAAAAAATTTTTTTTAATGCAAGGAGGCTTCCTTGTCCATACTAGTTTGGAAGCAAAAACATATGGTCACAGCAATACTCACAATACATGTCTCTGGCATTTCCAGCTGCCCCACACCCTGTGAAATCATGATGGAAGTGTCTATGTGTTGCCTGTGCTCCATGCCTCTTCCCAGTGACCTGAGGAATGACCCCTTTACTCTTTCCTATTCCAGCTCACACTGGTCACACCTGGGACTTCCAACATGAATGCTTTTGTCACGGATGCTGCGCTGCTGCTGTTTCTGGTTCTTACTCTGCTTACACCAAGGAGACTGATGTCCCTGCTATAACCCCACTTCCGATGCAGACAGCAATTCCAATGCATTGCAGCTTTCAGGATTTTCTCACTGTGTTTTTGCCTCTCCTTTTCTTTAAGACATGAGCATTTGTCTACGGGGATGGCCTGAAGTGTAGTCTCCATTACCCAGAGTCATCTCACTCTCTGACCTTGACTCATGATCTGAGAACAAGTGCTCCCCTGCTTGTCTTCCTGAGGGGCATCTGTCCCTCTTGCAAACAGATTTCCTTTGGGCTCTGTCATTTAGAAATGCCCTTATTTATCTGAATTATAGTTCCAGTTCAGAACATTTACAAAGGAACAGATTGCTCCCAATTTTAAAGCAGGTAAATTCTAAAAGTTGGCAAGCCAGTCATTTAGAATTTGAGCCTCATATTCCATAGGTATGAAATTATACATAATGAAAAAGTTCCCAGGGCAGCCCACAAAAAGCCTACTTATCCAAAATAAAGCTAACCTGAGTTAATTCAGCTCTATGGCCTAGCCACATTCAGCAATGTGTTTCCATTAGAATGCATGTCTTATATCAACTGGGAAGCCAAGAAGGCAGTTCAGAACTGAACTGAAATCTATCCTGTGTTGGAATTTTATAGCCAGATATCAGTTAACCAGGCCCCAGTGAGTGGAGAAATCTTGGATTTAGATTCTCATGAAATTCTTTATCAAATCCTGGGATCTTCCAAAAGACTGTGTAAAATTATAATTTAATTCTGCAGAAGTAGAACCTCAATTGGATATCATCCACAAAAGCACTGCAATGTCTATCTTTTTGGGATCATGTCAAAGATCCTAAATCCGTGCTTACTTTGGCAGAAAGTATTAGTGTTTAGTTCATTAGTAATTGGCACATTGGAATGATATAGAGAAGATTAGCACGGCCCTGCACAAAGATGCCGTGCAAATTTGTGAAGCTTTCCATATTTTTATTGCATTTACTCCATCATATGTGGGAGCTAAAAGAAGGTGATCTTACAGAGGTAGAGAGTAGAACGTTTACTAGCAGTTAAGAAGGACATGAAGGTGGGGGAATGAAGAAAGGTTGGTTAGGGGTACAAACATATAGTTAGAAAGAATAAGTTCTAACGTTAGATGGTAGAATAGGGCGACTGCATTACATATTTTGAAAATAGCTAGAAGATAGGACTTGAAATGTTCCCAGCACCTGGAAATAAATACTCCAGCTGGATACCCTGATACCCTGTCTTGATCATAACACATTCCATGCATGTAACAAAACATCACATATACACCATGAATATGTGAAAATATTATGTATCAATTACAAAAAGATACTAAATCAAGAAGGAATGCAGGCACCGCTGTTGGAGGTGGCCCTGGCATCTGGTGATGAGTAGTAGACAGAGAGACGCAGGCGGGACATAAGAGAGGCCGCAAACTGTAGGTACCTGATTCAGGAAGCCGTTTTGATCCATTGTGAATGTAATTAAGTTGTGTTTTCTGTTCCGAAAGGATAGCCGTCCCTTCGCCATTTGTCTATTCCCCATTTTTCTGTACTAATGTTTCCTTATCTTACACTGAACAGGCGAACAGGCTATTAAATAATACAAGGAAGAAAACATGAGGGATTGTCTTTAAAAGTGATCAAACGGCAAAGGGGATTCCTGACCAAAGCGAAAGAGGAATGGAGTGACACCTGCTATGTGCCAGTCACTGTGCTGTGTCTTTTTTTCTTTTCTTTTTTTCTTGTTTTTTTTTTTTTTTTTTTTTTTGAGACGGAGTCTCGCTCTGTCGCCCAGGCTGGAGTGCGGTGGCGCGATCTCAAGCTCCGCCTCCCGGGTTCACGCCATTCTCCTGCCTCAGCCTCCTGAGTAGCTGGGACTACAGGCGCCCGCCACCACACACGGCTAATTTTATGTATTTTTAGTAGAGATGGGTTTCACCCTGTTAGCCAGGATGATCTCGATCTCCTGACCTCGTGATCCACCCGCCTCGGCCTCCCAAAGTGCTGGGATTACAGGCGTGAGCCACCGCACCCGGACTGTGCTGTGTCTTTTCAACTGCCTTTCTTTATCCATTCTCATTAAAAACACACACACACACACGAAATGCATATTGTTATCCCTACTTAATTGACAGAAATGGAAGCCCGGTGGGTTACAGTAGACTGAGAGCCTTTAGTCAGCAAGTAAGGGCCATTGCAGGGATTGAAACCCAACTTCTGACTTCAGAGCGACAGTTTTCCCGCTGCTCCGCAGCACCTTCTACCACTGAAATAGAGCATTTCCATGTCACCCCCTCTAGAAACAAAAACATTTTACTCAATTGTTTTTCAACCAGGAAATAAAAATATTCAAAAAGCAAAGATGACCCCATTTCCTCTTAACTATATTTAATACAGGGACAGTGATAAGAGAACACAGTAGATTTGGCATTAGCTAGACGAGGCTGGTCAAACTGAATTAGAAGGGCACAGTTTGTTGACAGCCGCGATAGACAGTGGGTTCTGTGAAATGGACCCCAAGCCAGTTAACACTGATGGGGAAGAAGCCCACCTGCTCGTGAGACTTTGCGTGGGGCCCGGCTCAGTGCCTTAAATAAGGGATCATTATGTATACAATCTGATAGTAGAAAGAAGGAAAAAAGCCCTGTGCTGTAGAAAAAGTGTTTAAGCTTTTTAGATTACATAACGGGAGCTATAACATCCACTCTGGTGGCACAAAAATTAAATCTAGCCACCAAATCATATCAAAGCCAAAATACAGAATACAGGTGTGCTTCTCGTGAGAAGATCCACACGCACAAAATCTAATCGCGTTCCAGCTCAGCCTCACCGATACCCGCTCCCGCGATCCTGTTTCTGGTGCTGCATGACAAGCTCCCCCTAGTGGGAAGCAGGGACATTTCAGCATCCATGCTCAGCTGATTCAGAACAATAGAAATGTCTCAAGGTTTCCATTTTTTTTAAATGCTGCTTTAGTTGACAGTGAGCAAAAACTGGAGCCAAAACCAGTGGATTTTCATGGCATGCAGGTAACAGTGGGACTTTTCACCCTCCCCTCGTGTTTATGCTCAGGAAATCCTAAAAGGACACACCCTGTAAGTGCAGGGATGTGTGAACAATCCCGTTCATGCCTATGCACACATCAGTCTCTCTCAATCCCTTATCTCCAATAGGAACCAACAATAAAATGTATCCTAGGTTGTCGCAAACACCGTATGTGGTGCGCATAATCGGAAGGTCCCTTCCTTTTTTTTTTTTTTTTTTTTTGAGACGGAGTCTTGCTCTCTGTTTCCCAAGCTGGAGTGCAGTGGCACAATCTCGGCTTACTGCAAGCTCTGCCTCCCGGGTTCACTCCATCCTCCTGCCTCAGCCTCCCGAGTAGCTGGGACTACAGGCGCCCGCCACCACGCCCGGCTAATTTTTGTATTTTTAGTAGAGACGGTGTTTCACCGTGTTAGCCAGGATGGTCTCGATCTCCTGACCTCGTGATCCGCCTGCCTCGGCCTCCCAAAGTGCTGGGATTACAGGCGTGAGCCACCACGCCCGGCCTTGGAAGGGCCCTTCTAATGCTGCTGACACCTGACTTAGTTGGGTAGAACCCCAGCTTCACATCTGCTTTGCTTTCTGCTTTACTGATAGCCTTTGTGTGCACTCAAAGGGCTGCTGACAAGATCTGTCCAGTGACATTTTTATGTGCCCTTTAATCTTATTTTACTAACAGGTCAACAACCTTAACCAAGAGTAAGGAAGCCACTTGCTCCAAGTCACAGTAGAAGGTTGAGCATGTGACTATTACCAAGAGGAAGTGGGGACACAAGTGATGCCATGTTGGAGGCTAATTTGCTGTTTTCACTTCTGATTAGCCGTTGTCTCGGGAATGCCTTCCGATTATTACTTAATTTACTGTCCCTAATGTAAGAACATGTCAACCTTGATGCTGTTGCACAAATTATAGGCTTTGATGCATGCAGCATTCTTGCCTCTTCTGGAGGGTAGTCTTTCATTGTCTTGCACAGGGCACACATACCCTTTCCCTATGCTATATAAGCCCTGGTTCTGGGGGTAACAGGTGCAGAGATCTACCTGTATTGCTGCCGCTAAAGACCATGCTTCCATCTGTAAGTTTCCCCAGTAAAACATCCTTTATCAACAAACTGGAGTTGTGTGGCTTGTTCTTTGGTTTCTTGGCTCTTTTGGCCTTTGGGGGCTACTTTGCATATATGACCCTTTCACGGAGCGGGCATTTTCCCGTGATATCCAGCTGGCTGCTGCCACTGCCATAGAGCAACTCTGCGAGAGAACTTGGCCCCCTCTCCCTTCAAGTGTTGAAAAGAGCAAGAAGTACAGGCTACTCCATAGGCCCAGTGCCCAAGGCCCTGATGGAGCTATCCAATTCTCACTGTTAGCCTGGGCACCCTCCAGGACACCAAACATTCTGTACTTAGGCAGCCCTCAAGAAGAGGCAGTAGAAGAATTAAGCACACTTTCCAGGTTAAAAACTCCTTGTGTTGCAGATCTCAGGACAGGCCGAAGCTCTTCTGGGGAGTATTTATCCCCATTAATGCATTGTCATCAAGATGCGGTGTATAACCTACAAAGAAAGTCATCACACAGTATCCAGCTGCCATAGAAAGAAAATCGATTGTGTTGCATGGATTTGTGCAATATAAATATTTCTTGAAAGAAAGAAATAATGAACGATTACGTCACTAGTTTTTAGGCATTGATTTTTGAGAATTTGTATATGTAGAAGTTGAGTGTTCTGAAATTAGTACATTGTGAATGGGGAAGGAGTCAACTCGCTTAAGGAAATATAATAGCTGCATGGAGCTGGAGACAGAGTAGGATGAGGCAAGAAGAAAGGCCTGGAGCAGGGCCAGGACTGTGAGACCCACACTTGGTGCTTTTTTTTTGAGATGGAGTCTCGCTCTGTTGCCAGGCTGGAGTGCCGTGGCGCAATCTTGGCTCACTGCAACCTCAGCCTCCCGAGTAGCTAGGACTACAGGCATGCGCCACCACACCCAACTACTTTTTCTATTTTTAGTAGGGACGGGATTTCACCCTGTTGGCCAGGATGGTCTCTTATCTCCTGACCTCGTGATCCACCCACCTCGGCCCCCCAAAGTGCTGGGATTACAGGCTTGAGCCACCGCACCTGGCCCACTTGGTCCTTTTAACAGGGACCTCCTAGGGCCTAGGGGATGGGATTAGCTCCAGACCTCACTGTATCCAAATGTCTCTCCACCGTTAGGGAGAGAAGAGAGGAAGGCAGAGAAGGCCTGAACAAGCCTGGCTGGGGAGGGCTCCCAGAGTCCTTGTGACAGAGATGACTCTACCCACACTTGGGAGACTGATGTGTCAGGAAAGCATGCACAGGTAAGTGAGATGCTAGGTCAACGAATCAGCAAAGAGAGTCGGAAGGGAATCTAGGAGTTGATGTGGAAAGCCATGGTGTCAAACCAGAGATTACGGCCTGGGCTCAGAGTGTCTGGAGGGTGAGAGGGCAGTGCTGGCCAACTACACAGACCAGGCATTGGAGCCAGTGATGGCCTAGGTGTGCTGGCTGCAGCCCAGCTCAGGGCTCAGGGGAAGCTGGCTGCATTTAAAGGACTGAGGCACTGCAAAATGTTACACCCCTAAACTGTGGAGATATTGGCCAAAGCTCCTTTCAGGAGTGGCAAGAGCTGTGTGTCTGAACCAGTCCTAGTACTGGCCGTGATCCTGACAACGTGTTCACGTGTGCTCTTAAGTTAAACCAATCTACAGAGGTCATCCGGAGTGTTGGCTTCATTCCCTCCTTACCCCACACAATCCCCCTAACGCTTTGCAGAATAGAGACCTCTCAAATACTGTAAAAAGAGGTATGTGAATTTGGGTTAGCCCAATTGGTTTTGTGGTTTCTGTTTGGTTGGGCTGTCAAGAATTTGTTCTGTTGGGTGTGGTTGGGTGACAGAGTTGTTAGTTAACCAGACCTGAGAAGAGGAGGGAGCCATGTACAACCTGCCTAGCACTAGTAGTTGGCATTAAACCCTAGAGAGGTTCCCATTTCTCTCAAGTGGAGTCTTATTAGGTACATCTCTCCATCCCCCCTACTCCACCTCCTTGAATACAGAATAAAGGTACACATTTATAGGCTCCCAGAGGGCAGGGACCATGTGATGTAATCCTTTATATCCAGTGTTAGATACTGTCTAATATGGTAGCCTCTAACCCCTTCAGAAAGAGCTACCCTGAATTGAGATGTGCTGAATTTTGAAGACTCAACATGGAAAAAATAATGCAAAACATCTTATCAGCATGTTCTTACATTAATTATGTTGGAATAATATTTTGGTTAAGGGAAACATATTATTAAAAGTAATTTCTTCAGTTTCCGTTTACTTTTTTTAATGTGGCTACTCAAAAATTTAAAACTCCGTACGAGGCATGAATCTTCTGATAGGTAGCACTGTTTAATACCTTCTCTGGTGGCAAATCCAAAACACAGATCTTATATAATTTGGATAATAAACCCCCTTCAGTCACCAGTGAGCCCACACTGATAAAAGAAAGAAACTGATCGCAGAGCCGCCGAGATCCCAACCCAATTAAACACTGGCCTTTCTTCCTTCTTTTCACAGCCAGTTAGGAAAGAAATTACTCAGAGGCCCGGCCGCCCATCGTCTGAGATGTGGGGAGCGCCTCTGCCCCGCCGCCCCATCTGGGATGTGAGGAGCGCCTCTGCCCGGCCGCGACCCCGTCTGGGAGGTGAGGAGCGTCTCTGCCCGGCCACCCCGTCTGAGAAGTGAGGAGACCCTCTGCCCAGCAGCCACCCCGTCTGAGAAGTGAGGAGCCCCTCCGCCCAGCAGCCACCCCGTCTGAGAAGTGAGGAGCCTCTCCGCCCGGCAGCCACCCCGTCTGGGAAGTGAGGTGGGGGGGTCAGCCCCCCGCCCGGCCAGCCGCCCCATCCGGGAGGTGAGGGGCGCCTCTGCCCAGCCGCCCCTCCTGGGAAGTGAGGAGCCCCTCTGCCCGGCCAGCCGCCCCGTCCGGGAGGGAGGTGGGGGGTCAGACCCCCGCCCGGCCAGCCGCCCCGTCCGGGAGGTGAGGGGCGCCTCTGCCCGGCCGCCTCTACTGGGAAGTGGGGAGCCCCTCTGCCCGGCCACCACCCCGTCTGGGAGGTGTGCCCAACAGCTCATTGAGAATGGGCCAGGATGACAATGGCGGTTTTGTGGAATAGAAAGGGAGGAAAGGTGGGGAAAAGATTGAGAAATCGGATGGTTGCCGTGTCTGTGTAGAAAGAGGTAGACATGGGAGACTTTTCATTTTGTTCTGTACTAAGAAAAATTCTTCTGCCTTGGGATCCTGTTGATCTGTGACCTTGCCCCCAGCCCTGTGCTCTCTGAAACATGTGCTGTGTCCACTCAGGGTTAAATGGATTAAGGGCGGTGCAAGACGTGCTTTGTTAAACAGATGCTTGAAGGCAGCATGCTCGTTAAGAGTCGTCGCCACTCCCTAATCTCAAGTACCCAGGGACACAAACACTGCGGAAGGCCGCAGGGTCCTCTGCCTAGGAAAGCCAGAGACCTTTGTTCACTTGTTTATCTGCTGACCTTCCCTCCACTATTGTCCTATGACCCTGCCAAATCCCCCTCTGTGAGAAACACCCAAGAATGATCAATAAAAAATAAATTAAAAAAAAAAAAAAAAAAAGAAATTACTCAGAGGAAAATCTTAACAATTTCTATCAAATGAAAATCTTGTCTCAGACCCAGACTGACTTTCATTCAATCCATTCGCTGAAATTTGAGCATCTAACTGCAGCCTGCCGGGGATCGTCTAGCTGAGACAGGGATCCTTCTGGAAAGAATAGACACAGTCTCTGGGTGCTTCTAGCTTCTGGCCCTGTTCCCTCAAAAGGTCAGTTTCAATCTCAGACTACACAGGTCATGTGCTAGAACGCCTTCTCCCTGTGTTCCCCCAGGGCCCTGGTCAGCCCAGCAGAGCCTGAGTTGTAGGTCACAGTTCCAGCCATTGTTGATTCTTAGCTCTGTCGAAGCCGTAGTTAATATTGATCCTGAAGACTTTCTTTTTCTACATCACTTTGTGCTTGACGGTGATTAAATGGAAGACTTATACCATCAGCAAATTGGCTTTCCACACCTCACAAACCAACTCACACGCTTACTCCCAATCCTCATGAATACCGAGAATTTCTAATTCTCGAAGTCGGCTGGCATTTCAGGCCAGGATCCGCCAGAGCCTCCATCTACGGCCTAGTGAGAATGGCCTGTTTGCCTAAGAGGATTAAGTGGAGGGCAGCCAGCTAAACTTCCACAGAGACGTTTTAATGACTTCAGCTCTAATCGCTTCCTAGGCCTCATCAGCCACCACCAGTCATGACTGGGCTTTTTTAAGACGGATGTCACTAATCTGTTCCACTCCAAGGCCGCCAGAGCCCCTCTCTTTGTTGTCGCTTTTACTCCCCCTTCGCAGGCTCCACTTTTACTCTTTTGAATAATGTAACCCCCCTGCCCCCAACTCCTCATACCTCTCAACCTGCCTCGCTCATCTCACCAGTTTGACCTTCTCCAAGAATTCTGGACAGAAAGTAGAACCTCATTCACAGGCTTACCTCATCATTTTGGAATAACTTAACTAAATGGAACATTCACTCACAAAAGGAAACTTACATTTCAGGTCCTGGTGCTGTAACTCGCCCCTTTAATCCCAGCACTTTGGGAGCCCAAGTGGGAAGACTGTTTGAAGCCAGGAGTTCAAGGCCAGCCTGGGCAACACAGCAGGACCCTGTCCCTGCAAAAAATTTAAAAATTAGCCAGATGTGGTGACGCGCACCTGGAACAGATTAGTTCCAGCTACTCAGGAGGCTGAGGCAGGAGAATCACTTGAGCCCAGGAGTTTAAGGCTGTAGTGAGCTATGATTGTACCAATGCACTCCAGCCTGGATGACAGAGTGAGGCCCTGTCTCTAAAAAGTAAAAAAAAAAAAAACTTAAAAAAAAAAAAAGAAACCTGCATTTGATTGGAGGAAGCAGAGAAAATATTTATGAGCAATTTCTGGCCCCAGTTGTCTATGACTTGGAAAACCTGTTTACCTGCAGTTCACCTCTTGATGCTGATTTAACTTCTTTTGCCCAGTGTTTCTAACATTCAGCTAGATCCAAAGACCATGATCAAAACTCAGTTTTCTCATGGTGCCCTTTTGTATTTTTGAAATCTTTAAATTATTTTTCTTTTATAATAGAGCTACCTTTACTCTCTGGTCAAGGAGCTGTTAGAGTGTGTGTCACTTGCAAAAAAAAAAAAAAAGAAAGAAAAAAATGGTAATTACAGTGTCAATATTTTAAAAAATATTTTGGCACTAGGCTTATTCCTAAAAGTCGTCTACTGTTTTGTGAGTCCTGTGTGTGCACTGTCCAGTTTTGGCATTACTGTTATGTTGGCTTTATAAACAACATTAGACATGTTGATTTTCCTTAGAAAAGTTTTAAAAGTACTAGAATAATCTCTTTCTTAAAATTTTTAAATTTAAAATTTCATTTGTGAAATGACCTGTGTCTGGCATTTGGATAAATTATTCACTTCATGTATATTCATTCCTTAGGTTTTCTAATTTATTTGCATAGTTAAAAAGTGTTTTCTCTGTCTTTCTGTTATTTCCCACCCTCCTTTCTAATTGTATGCGTTTGTATTTTGCCCCACTTTTTTTTAGGATATTAATGGTTTATCTGTTTTATTTAAAAGCACCAGGACTTGGATTCATTTATTTTTCTGCCAAATATCCATTTTTTAATTTATTCACTTCAACTCCCAATTTTTATTTCTTCATTTTGTTTTTTCATAATTATGTTCTTTTTCAAACTTAAGTTGAATCACTAATGCATTATTTTGATTCTTTGTATTTATTAATGCTAAGTGCTTACGCCTAATAATTTTCCTCAAAACATTGCTTTAATCATGTCCTCAGGTTATGAAGTACAGCTGGCAAATTTATTCACAATTATTATTGTGTCATAGTTTTTTTTTTTTTTTTTTTTGAGACGGAGTTTCGCTCTTGTTGCCCAGGCTGGAGTGCAATGGCGTGATCTCGGCTCACTGCAAGCTCCACTTTCCAGATTCAAGCTATTCTCCTGCCTCAGCCTCCCGAGTAGCTGGGATTACAGGTGCCCACCACCACGCCCAGCTAATTTTTTGTATTTTTAGTAGAGATGAGGTTTCACTATGTTGGCCAGGCTGGTCTCAAACTCCTGACCTCAGGCGATCCACCCGCCTCAGACTCCCAAAGTGCTGGGATTACAGGCATGAGCCACTGCGCCTGGCCTATTGTCTAGATTTTCTGCATAAATGTGCTGTGCTCTTTGCCCTGAAGACCTACCTACTTTCATTTTTTGACTTTCCCCTCTTTTGTGGTGAGCAGGGCTGATAGAGGGGTTGTTTTTGAACACACAGATGGGCTGTCCAAGGGTTTCTTCCTATGACATCTACATATCCTAACATTCTGAAATGACAAGCTGTATTAGTCTGTTCTCATACTGCTAATAAAGACATACCCAAGACTGGGTAATTTATAAAGGAAAGAGGTTTAATTGACTCACAGTTCTGCAGAACTGGGGAGACCTCAGGAAACTTACATTCATGGCAGAAGGGGAAGCAAACATGTCCTTCTTCACATGGTGGCAGGAAAGAGAACTGCAGAGCAAAAGGGGGAAATCACCTTATAAAACCATCAAATCTCATGAGAACTCACTTACTATCACGAGAACAGCATGGAGGTAACCGCCCCCATGATTCAATTACCTCCCACTGGGTTCCTCCCATGACAAGTGTGAATTATGGGAACTACAATTCAAGATGAGATTTGGGTGGGGACACAGCCAAACCATATCACAAACTTAAGAATACCACGATAGCAATGTTTTGTTTTTGTTGTTGTTGCTGTTTCCCCCTCCTGTTTCTTCTGGGAATATAAACCTAATTGTTCCAAGCATAACACTTTGGGTTGGATTTCATAGAATCCTTTCACCTACTTTCAGAGATGTTAACATCCTGCAGTAGATGTGGTGAGCACATGTTTCATTCATTCATTCATTCATTCACCAACAGTTACTGAGTGTCAAGTGCTGGTCTGACTAGGTATTTCTTGCCCTTGTTAATTCTCACTCAGTCAGATCCAAATATTCCTCAGGATGGTTTGCAGAGCTATAGATATGATTTTCTGTGTGTTTCAGAAAAGGAAAGTGACAGATAGCAATTTATCCCACCATCTGTTATTGGATGTGTCAGTAGTTAATTTTTTGAAGACTATTTGAAAAGTGTTTTAGACGCATGGAGCTCATGTGAAACTGAAGCTTGGTTTCCAAGTGACCATCAACAGAGAAAGAATTCTCTTGATTTAACCATTTACCTAAGCCTTAACTGATCTTTCATCTCCTAAATACTATTCAGCCTTTATGCCTTTTACCTTCCATCAAGCAGGTAGAGTTTATTGGTCAGAATTACTCTGTTGAAAACATGGGCATGGACAGGCTGGAAACAAAGACAAGGGGCAGCCTTCTGCCCTTGTCTAAGGAGAATGCCCAGACTCTCAGCCCTTTGCAGACCTGACTCTGAATCTGAAAATGTGCTCAGCTTCTTTTATTCTTGCCTAAGGCTGTCTAAGGGAAGCTGGCAACAACAGCTGATGTGGAAGGTCAATAAGTGTGTCAATAAACCCCTGCCCAGACTCTTTTTTTTTTCCCACCTGCAAAATTGCTTTGGTCAGCAGAGACCCCGACTGAAAGGGGCCCTCTGTCTTTGGGTCATGCAGTTTCTGTTCTCACCCCTGGACAAGACTAACTCCAAAGAAAGAGAATCAAAACCTAATCATAAGTCACACTGGAGGCTTTACATAAAACTGGAAAATAATCAGATGGAGTCGAGCATCTCTCAGTCAGACATTTGCTTGGGGCCCACTAACATATCAATGTGATGGCCTCTTTCACCCTGTGCTGGATGCTGCAGGCTTCTAGAGAGCAGCTTGGGGACTGAGGCCAACTCTGCATTCAGGGAGGCCGAAGGCAGTGCCAGGTGAGTTTGGACACACTTTCCAGCCACCTGCCCCGTGTGACGATCCCGCGAAATGCTTCCAAGCCAGAGATCCACTTCATAGGCTGGCTTAGGCTTTTGAAATAAAACACCCGCCTGAAACAAGCATTGGCAGGTTCTATTTCAGGGATGGGGCAGAGGCAAGGACCCTGGCCTTGTCTCCATACAGCTTTAGGTGATGCAGGGTTTTTGAATTTGGCCTCTATTTCAAGCACTTTCTGAAAAAGAAAAGCATAACCAGGATAGTTCCAAGGCAGACAGTTCTTCTGTTTATTTTTTCACAGGAGCGTGTGAGAAATGGAGACAGAGGGATTGGAGAGATGAAGATGGGGGATCCGTGGTCTCTGAAGCCCCCAATGCTTGTGTGAGGGTGAGAGCTCAGGTGCGGGACAGCCTGGACATGGGGAAGGGCTTTCCTCTACATAAATTACTGGGGGATCTAGAAATGACTTCCACAAAATGCTTCCCTTCTGGACCTCACTCTGTTGAAAGGAAAGATTTGTCTAGCTAATCAGGACGGTAGCTGATAAAGATATCAATAAAAGCAACATTAAAGTTTTTCCCAGGGTACACCAGCCTGGCCCTTCCTGACAAGTGACAGAGGCTCTGGGTTAAAAATTACCTCTCCTTCTAGAACTATCTTTGAAACACTAAATCTGATTTTCATCCTGAGGGCATTTGCTAAACTCCAGTGGCCAGGCCACAGGAGAAAAAGCCTAGGAACTTCGCAAAGTATAGAATCTAATAGAAGACCACACAGAAAACTGGGCCCCAAGGGTTTATATCTTTAGTATGATCACAAATTAGATAGAAGCTTATCCTCCCCCACAACTACTACTACTAACCCCAACCACTGCTCTTACCCTGGACATCAAGGAAAAATGCCTTTCTCCAGACTTAGTACTTCGGTAAGAGAACAAAATATCTGCCTTGATTATTCATAAACACAAGGCCATTGTACAATTTTCCAGCTTCAATTCACACTACCTGGTTAGTCCCAAAAAACTCATGCTGAGAATTAGTGTAGAATGCTGCTGACTTGGAAGTGGCTTTAGGCTCATGGTACTAAGAAAAGCAAATTCTTTCCGATTTGTTCAAAGAATTCTCATTGATAGAACTTTCAAAACATATGAGCTCACCAGCACAGATCACAAAACTCACAAAAATACCATGCCCTAGAAGCACCACACACCTGAAAAAACAAACAGCAGATTTAGCTTCCAAAACGTTTCACATATTGGCTTATCAGACAAAGAATATGAAACAAGTATTTTAAATTATGTTTCAAGAAGAAAATAGAGAGGTCTGTATTAGTTTGCTAGGACTGCCATAAGAAAGTATCACAGACTGGGTGGCTGAAACAACAGAGATTCACTTCCCATAGTTCTGGAGACTGGAAGTCTGAGCTCAAGGTGTCAGCAGGGTTAATTTCTTCTGAGACCTCTCCCCTTGGCTTATAGATGGCTGCCTTCACCGTCTTCATATGCTCTTTCCTCTCTGTGTTTTGTGTCCTAATCTCCTTTTCTTACAGGAAGACCATCATATTGGACTAGAACCTACCCTAATAATCCCAATGAAACTTAATGACTTCTTTGAAGGCCCTATCTCCATATAAAGTCATATTCTAAGGTACTATGAATTTTGGGAGTAAACACAATTTATAATAGAAAATATAAATAAAGAAAAAGAAGTTTTCTTTGTTTTGTTTTGTTTTTTTTAGACGGAGTCTAGTTCTGTTGCCCAGGCTGGAGTGCAGTGGCACGATCTCGGCTGACTGCAACCTCCACCTCCTGGGTTTAAGTGATTCTCCTGCCTCAGCCTCCTGAGTAGCTGGGATTACAGGTGACCACCACCATGCCCAGCTAATTTTTGTATTTTTAGTAGAGACGGGGTTTCACTGTGTTGTCCAGGCTGGTCTCGAACTCCTGACCTCGTGATCCACCTGCCTTGGCCTCCCAAAGTGCTGGGATCACAGGCATGAGCCACCGCAACTGGCCAAAATTAAAGGTTTTTAAGGACATAAAAGAAAAAATTCAACTAGAACTTCTAGAAATGAAAAATATTGTAACAAAGTTTTTATAAACCTCAATGAGTGGTTTGAGAGAAGATTAGCATGGGTGAAGGAAGAATTAAAGAACCGAAAGACAGACCACTCCACTGTCCAGAGAGAAAAAGGGACACAAAAAAATGCTCAGAATTAATGGACTCCAATCCTCAGGTTCAGAAATCCTAAGGAACCCAAGCAAGATTTTTTACAAAGAAAGAAGTGTTCACCCAGATACAGCCTAATGATACTTCAAAGAGACAGATTGCTTACAAAGGAATGACAATGAAATTGACTTCTTGATAGCATCCATAGAAACTATAGGTAATAGTGGAACAATATTTGTTGTTGTTGTTGTCGCCGTTTAATTTTTTTTAACTTTTATGTTAGGTTTGGGGTTCACCTGAAGGATTGTTTCACAGATAAACTCATGTCATGGGGGTTTGTTGTATAGATTATTTCATCACCCATAAATGAAACCCAGTACCCAATCATTATCTTTTCTGCTCCTCTCCCTCCTCCCACTCTCCACACTCAAGTCTGTTGTTTTCTTCGTGAAACAATATTTTAAATATGCTGAGAGAAAATAACCATCAACCTAAAACTGTATATGCAGTAAAGATAGTTTTCAAAAATAAGAGTGAAGTTAAAAAATTTGAAGTAAGGAAAAACAGACAGTGATTAAAGGAAATGCTGAGGGCTTGTCTTAAGCAGAGGGAAGACAATTCAAGTTAGGGATATTGAGATGAAAACATGATGAGCTAAGAAAGTGGCAAATACATAAGCAAATCTTTAAAAAATTGACTGCATAAAACAATGGCAATAAACTTCTGTAAGTAGAGGGATAGACATGAAATACAAAGCAACAATAGCATACAAATTGCAAGATGTAAGAGGATTAAAGTGTTCTAAGTTCATGTAATGTAAAGAAGGAGAGTAAACCTATTAATTAAATTTAGAATATGAGAAGTTCAATATGCTTGTTAACATTCTAGGATGAGTTCTAGAAGAAGGGAATTTGATATAACTGTATTAGTTAGAGTTCTCCAGAGGGACAGAACCAATAGGATGTAGGTGCATATAAAAGGGAGTTTATTAGCGAGAATTGGCTCACAGGATTACAAAGTGAAGTCCCACGATGGGCCATCTGCAAGCTGGGGAAAGAGAGAAGACGGAAGTGGCTCAAGTCCAAGTCCAAATGCCTGAAAACTAGGGAAGGCCACAGTGCCTCCCTCAGTCTATGGCTGAAAGAGATGGAGTTGATGTCCAAGGGCAGGAGGAACAGAAGCAAACGTCTCTCATGGGAAGAAGAAAAAAAGCCAGAAGACTCAGCAAGCAAACTTATCCCACCTTCTTCCATCTGCTTTGTTCCAGCTGCACTGGCTGCCAATTGGATGGTGCCCACCCACATTGAAGACGGGTCTTCCTCTCCAGTCCACCACTCACATGTCAATCTCCTCTGGCAACACAACACCTTCACAGACACACCCAGAAACAATACTTCACCAACCATCTAGGCATCCCTCAAACCAATCAAGTTGACACCTAGTATTAACCATCACAATAACTTTCCAAGTAGTAGAGAGAAACAAAAAATAATCAGTTCAAAGGAAGGCAAAAAGAAAGAGCAGGGGAAGGAAGAAGAGATATATAATATACATATACATGTATATGTGTATATATATGATTTTATATATATAGATATATAGATATAGTATAGATATATAGTAAATGCAGGATAGTTATGAAAGAAAAAATAAGATATGAAAAAAGGCCAGGCACAACGGCTCACACCTGTAATCCCAGCACCTTGGGAGGCCAACGCAGGTGGATCACTTGAGGCCAGGAGTTTAAGACCAGCCTGGTCAACATGGTCAAAACCCCATCTCTACTAAAAACACAAAATTTAGCTGGGAGTGGTAGTGCACGCCTGTAATCCCAGCTACTCAGGAGGCTGAGACCTGAAAATCGCTTGCACCCTGGACAAAGAGGTTGCAGTGACCCGAGATTGTGCCACTGCACTCCAGCCTGGGCAACACAGCAAGACTCTGTCTCATTAAAAAAGAAAATTTTTTAAAACTCTAGAAATAAAATATTTCAGTGATTACATTCAAATGAACATAGATTAAATGCCTCAGTTAAAAATCAAAGCTTGTCAGACTGAATTTAAATGCACTTTTATGAGAGATCACATCTAAAACACAAAGATCAAAAGGCTCAAAGTACACAACGGACAAATCTAAATGAAAGAAAACAGTGTCACTCTGTTTTTAGACTTTAGGGCGAAAACGGTTCTAGAGATCAAGAGGCTCCCAATGTATTGGTAGACGTTTTAGTTCAACAGAAAAATACAAGCCTAAACTAACTGGTACCTAAAAACGTAGTCTCAAAATACATAAAACAAAATTAAAGACACTGGATAAGGAGAAATAGACACTACAGTAAGAGACTCAAATAATTCTTATAATGACTGGACAAATACATTTTTTTAAATCAAGGAAAATATACCACACGGGAATGATGCATCAGACAAGCCACGCAGAAATAGGTTCCAAAGCCGGGCGCGGCAGCTCACGCCTGTAATCCCAGCACTTTGGGAGGCCGAGGCGGGCGGATCACGAGGCCAGGAGATTGAGACCATCCTGGCTAACACGGTGAAACGCTGTCTCTACTAAAAATACAAAAAATTGGCTGGGCGTGGTGGCGGGTGCCTGTAGTCCCAGCTACTTGGGAGGCTGAGGCAGGAGAATGGCGTGAACCCGGGAGGCGGTCCTTGCAGTGAGCCGAGATCGCGCCACTGGACTCCAGCCTGAGCGACAGAGTGAGATTCCGTCTCAAAAAAAAAAAAAAAGAACAAGAAAAAAGAAAAAGAAAAAAAAAAAAAGAAATAGGTTCCAAAAATTTGTACTGGAGTCCTTGAAGGTCTGTAGCTGAGGGTTATGCTGTATATACAACGGGCAGCAACACCTGAGGCTCACCAAGTAGCAGCTGCTGTAGGGTTGAGGGAGAAACAATGGGATGAGAGATCAAGCAAGCAGTGCTGTGGACATTAGAGTTCCGACCCTGACAGAGAGCAGAGATAACACCTCATGAACACTCCTGAAATCCAGGTCAAACACAGCAAGCTTGTGCCTTATGGGTACAGACGACATTCTAGAGCAAATATTTTCTCTAAAGAGTCAGACGCTAAATGTTTTAGCCTTTGAAGTCCATATAGTCTCTGTTGCAAATACCCAACTCTGCCATTGAGGTATGAAAGCAGGCATAGGTCAAGACATAAATAAATGAGTAAACCTGCTTTCCTGTAAAACTTTTTTTGCAAAAAAAAAAATAAAAAGGTGTTTGTTAAACGTGGTGATGTTGGCACAACTGTGTGACTATACTGAAAACCACTGAGCTATATGGGCAAATTATATGATATGTGAATTATATTTCAATAAAGCTATTTTAAAAATAAGCAAAATAGACAGTGGGCCAAATTTGGCTCATAGGTCATAGTTTGCTGACCTTTGCTCTAAAAATACGACTCTTAGGCCAAATTCAGCTGTTGCTTGTTTTTGTAATAAAATTTTATTAGAACACAGCCATGTTCATCTGTGTACTTACTGTCTGTGGCCGCTTGCATGCTACAATGCAGAGGTGAGTAGACATGACAGGATCGTATGGCCCTAAAATTTAAAATATTATTTTGCCTTTTACAGAAAAAGCTGCTGATCTCTGACATAGAACTGTGCCTATCAATAGAATTTTCTGTAACAGACATGTTCTGTAGTTGCACAATTTTAATCTGGTAGTCATTGACCCATATGACTACGAAACACTTGAAATGTAACTATGGCAACTGAATAAGTACATGTTTAAATTTAAATTAATTTATTTATGTATTTATTTGAGGCAGGGTCTCACTCTGTCACCCAGGCTGGAGTGCAGTGGCGTGATCATCGCTCACTGCAGCCTTGACCTTGCAGGCTCAGGTGATCCTCCCACCTAAGCCTCCCAAGTAGCTGAGACTACAGGCACAAGCCACTATGCCTGGCTAATTTTTGTATCTTTTCTAGAGACGGGGTTTTGCCACGTTGCCCAGGCGGGTCTTGAACTCCTGGGCTCAAAAGATCCACTTGCCTTGGCATCCCACCCTGAAGTGCTGGGATGATAGGCATGAGCTACTGTGCCTGGCCTAATTCACTTAAATTTGAATAGTCACTGTAGTACAACATACACCACACTCACTCTTAAAAAGCCTAAACCTGAGCCCTAATAGGATGGTCATGGGAGACAGTTTGGAGAATGAGTCTTCTAAGTTAGCACTCAGGAAACACTTCTGACTTTTTCCTTATCTATAATATGAGAGCCTAAAACCAAGATGGACATTCCAAGGTGATCAGATAATAATCAAACTGCTTGCTAAAATGAGAATCAACATTTTTCTGAGGAAGATAGTAGAATCCAGGTCTCTACAATATATTATCTACAATGTCCAGTATTCAGTTAAAAAATCACTAGGCTTTCAAAGAAACAGGAAAACATAATTGATAATCAAAGCAAAAAGTACTCAAAACAAACTGAGATGGCCCAAGTATTAGACTTGGCAGCAAAAGACTTTAAATGAGTTATTAAAACTATTGTCAAAGGCTGGGGCACGGCGGCTCACGTCTGTAATCCCAGCACTTTGGGATGCCAAGGCAAGTGGATCTCTTGAGTCCAGGAGCTCGAGACCAGCCTGGCCAACACTCCTAAAGTAGTAGAAACCCCATCTCCAATAAAGATACAAAAATTAGCTGGGCATAGTGGTGGGTGCCTGTAATCCCAGCTACTTGGGAGGCTGAGGCAGGAGAATCGCTTGAACCTGGGAGGCGGAGGTTGCAGTGAGCCGAGATCACGCCACTGCACTCCAGCCTGGGTGAAAGATCGAGACTCCATCACACACACACACACACACACACACACACACACACACACACACAGTCAAATAGTTAATGGAAGATGTTCAAAGAATTAAAGAAAAATATGGATTTAATGAATTAGTGACTATGAAATCTCACTTGGAAAATGGAAACTATTTTTTAAACCCTATGGAAACTCTAAAACTCAAGTGTATAATACCTGAAATGAAAAATTCCCTGAATGGGCTTATTAGGGATGACAGAAGAAAAACTTGGTAAACTTGAAGACAGATCAATAAAATTAAATCAATCTGATAAATAGAAAATTAATTGAAAAAAACGATCAAAGCCTCAGGGATTGATAGGACAGTAATAAATGGCCGAACTCACCTGCAATACGGATTCTGAACGAGAAGAGAATGAGGATGGAGGAAAAAGACATTTGAAAGAATAATGGCCCCAGACTTCCCAAAAGTTGTTGAAAAACACCAACTTTTAGGTTTAAGAAACTCAGTGAACCCCAAGCAGAATACACATAAAGAAAACCACATCTAGGCACATCACAGTCAAACTGCTGAAAACCAAAAAATGATAGAAAATACGGAAATCGGCCAGGCGCGGTGGCTCATGCCTGTAATCCCAGCACTTTGAGAGGCCGAGGCGGGTGGAGCACTTGAGGTCAGGCCTGGCCAACACGGTGAAACCCCATCTCTACTGAAGATACAAAAATTAGCAGGGTGTGGTGGCACATGCCTCTAATCCCAGCTGGTCCGGAGGCAGAGGCACGAGAATCACTTGAACCCAGGAGGTGGAGGTTGCAGTAAGCCAACATTGCACACCACTGCATTCCAGCCTGGCAACAGAGAGAGACTCCGTGTAAAAAAAAAAAAAAAAAAAGGAAACCAAAAACCAAAAAAACAGAAAATACGGAAATTATCCATAAAACAAAAGACACATTATATATAGGAAAACAAAAATAATTTCTGATTTCTTATTAGAGATAATGCAGGCCAAAAGACCAGGGAATAACACCTTTAAAATGCTGAAAAAAATCTCACCAGTCTAGAATTCTATATAGAGTGAAAATAAACTTAAAAAAATGGTAAAATTAAGACACTTTGAGATAAACAAAAGCTGATAGAATTTGTTACAGGCAGAACTGCAGGAAATTCCTCAGGGTATTCTTCAGAATGAAGGGAAATAGTAGAAGATACAAACTTGAATCTACAGTAAGAAAATGATGATCACTAGAAACTACGCTGCAAAGTATCTGACAGAAGAGAGTAATGAGAAGACAAACATTTTTGTGTTCTTGACTTTAGCTTAATTTCCAGATGTGGTGAGAGAAGATTCTATAGTTGATAACAAGCATTTAAGATTGGGGTCTTAAAAGAGTGACACAAAATGCTCTAGAACCTGAATGTTTCATGTAACACATAGACAATTTTTGTTGAAATTGTCCTATTGCCATGTTTTTCTCTTGAATTAGGTTTGCTTTTTCCAGTGAAGCTTTCTACCAGAAAAAAGGCAAAGAAGATGGTTTTTCTGATAAAGTCCCATGAGAATGCTCTGATGACACTGGAAAAGCTTTCTTTCATTCATCCACCCACTGGTGACTTGGAAAATAGCCTCTTCACCTTCAAATGAGAGAATAATGCTGAATTTTTCTGAATTTCTAAGACGGGAAGTGATGTATCACTAAAACGGTGAGCTCTCACTGAAACAGGAAATCTTCTACCAGTGTGGGTCTGAGTTGATCTCTCCCTCCCTCCCTCCAACCATCCAATAAATATTTCATTTTAAAAAATTTTAAAATGAATTTTTCCTCTAGTGCTTGTTAAAACACAAAATGAATACTTCGTTGTTTACTTTTTATTCATTTGATTTATTTATTTAGAGACGAGGTCTGGCTGGAGTCCAGTAGCCCAATCATGGCTCACTGCAGCCTTGAACTCCTGGGGTCCAGCTATCCTCCCACCCATGAGTATTTCTATAGGAACAATTATTCATCATGCAGAGTACTAGGTGCTGCAGGGAAGGGAATAAAAATAATCTTTGCCCTTGAGGATTTCATGAGCAAATAAGGAGATACATGCACAGAGCTAACTGTAATGCAACTTAGATCGAGTGCTAGTGTTTATTTATCATCTATATATGAAGTGTCGAGGAGGAGATATTATAAGAACATAAGTCATTTCCCCTGACTTTAAGTGGCCGATCATCTTACTTGAGGTACAGAATGTAAACCTGCTAAACGAATCCCGGCAAAATTCCCAGGAGTGACCTTGGATTCAGAGCTCGAGGAGCACAAACTAAAAGAAAAACTCGTCCTGGCCTATAGCTGTGCTTTCTCCCTGTCCTCTGGAGCAACAGTGGTATGTCTCTGAAAATGTACATCATCTCTGTGTGTGGGCAGCTCTGCTGGCAAATACTTTTACAAGCTGTTTTCACCAGCCCTTCGCCTGCTCCACTGAAATTCCCAGGGCTCAAGAGACCAATTGCTTAACCAGGGTAGAGCTGTATTTCCATGTACAATCGACAAGCCTGGCGTTTAAAGCACTAACAACAGCAGTGTGGAGTCCCATTTTCTAGCAGTCCCAGGAGCCCATTTTCTAGACCAGCTCTGTTCAATGGAACTTTCTGCAGTGATGGAAAGGCACACATACTGTAGCCACCAGCTAATGCAGCTAGTGAGCACTTGAGACATGGCTAGTGAGACTGAAGAAAGGAATTCTTAATTGTATTTAATTTTAATGCATTTAATTCAAATTCGAACACCTTAATTTTAATGAATTCAGTCTTAAAACCATGGCTACTATATTAGACAGCAGAGTTCTAGATCCTGAAGCTGAAGGACAGGGTGAAATAAAGAGTCCTCCTTGAGCGAATAGGTGGGTCCCCTGGTAATTCACAGAATTATGTAGCTACCAAAGTGGGTAAAACCAGACCTTGACCTTCAACAGCCAGATGGGCCCATGCCACAGGGTTCATCCTCCCTCTTCTCTCCTCTCCCACCCCCAGCTTCAATATAGTGGCTTCTAACATGTTTTTATTCCCATGGAACAAGGAACTCACAAAGCCTCTTAAATTGACCTCCATTAGCCTGAAGGCTAATCCCCTTTTCCCCTGCCTTGGCCACTTCAAAACTTTTCATCAGAGTGAATGGAAAGATTAGGACACCATCAGTGACACACCAATAAAGATGGGATGAGGCTCAAAAACCTGCATGATTTAAAATGTGTCTAGGTAATTCTCCTGAGCTGCCAGACTTGGAAGCCATGTGGCTTCATACTGCAAATAGAAACACAATACAGAACTCACTGTGATGAGACCATTTACTCACACGGCAAATATTACTGAGCATCTGATATGAGGTGGGCATTCATATAAGTTAGGGAAATAGCAGTGAAAAAGACAGACAAGATTGCTTTCATGGGGTCTAGTACGGGGAGACAAAAATAAACCATAAATAAATAAAAAGATAAGTTGAGGCAGAGAGTATTAATTGACATGGAGAAAAACATTTGTGATGAGATAAAGACTGGGTTGGGAGCTACTTTAAGCTGCGTAGTCAGGGAAGTCCTCTCTTAGGAGATGACACTGATGCCGAGACTTGCATGGTGCACAGTGAATTGTGCTGAGGTCCTGGGGGAAAGCGTTCCAGGCAGAGGGCACAGCAAGCACAGAGGTCCTGAAACAGGAACAAGCCAGGGCTGCCCACAGGCTAGAAGACAGCCAGTGTGAACAAGCAGAGAATGGAGGCACAAGGGACAGGGGTCAGATCATGCAGGGTCTTATCGGCATGGCAAGTTACCTAAATTTTATTCTGTAATGTGATTATAAGCCATTAGCAGGATTTATGCAAGGGAGTGATATGGTAGATTTACACGCTTAAGAGATTATTTTGCCTGTTGGGTAGAGAATGCATTATAGTAGGGCAAGTGTGGAAAACCAGAGATAGGAATTCCTGCTATGGCCTAGGCAGAAAATGACAATGGCTTGGATTAGGGATATAACAGTCGATGTGGTGAGATATAATTAGATTCTGGATATATTCTAAAGTTAGAAAAAGTAGGACTGGTCAGTTGAATGTGGGGTATGACAGAAAAAGAAGAGTCAAAAACACATGATTCTTAAGTTTTAGATCTGAGCAACTGGGTAGCAGCTGATGGAATTATTTGTTGGGCAAATAAAGAATGGGGGAGAAATAAGCCTTGGAGGGATATCAAGAGTTTCACTTTGGATATTCAAGTTTGAGACATCTGTTAGGCATCTTAGCAGAGGTGTCATAGAGGCAGTTGGATTTAGGAATCTGGACCTTCGTGGGGTGATAAGGACTGGGAAGATAGATTCGAGAGTCATGAATGTATAGACGATTTGAGACTGAAACAGATTACCAGGAGAGGGAGTGCAGAAGAGAAGGAAAAGGGAGAGAGAAGAGGAACAAAGGGAAGATAAGAGAAAGGGAGGGAAGGGAAATGAAGAGAAGGAAAAGAAAAGGAAGGGAAGAGACGGGAAAGGGAAGGGAAAAGAAGACAAAACAAGAGAAGAGATCTGGAGATTTATTTTTGGGGGTTCTAACTCAGGCAGAAAAGTCAAGCTGATAATATGGTAGGAGGAAAACCAAGAAAATTTCTTGGTTTCTGGGACCCCAGAGAATAAAAAGCTCCACAAAAGAAGGAGGCGTCAACAGTGACGATAGCTGCTAGGAAGGCCTGTAAGATGGAGCAGAGAGTTGACCCCTGGATAAAACAAGTGGGGCCCAATGGTAGCACATGAATAGAATTGAACAGGTGAGTGAGCTTGTTGGGAGAGAATGGGCAGTGACAAACAGAGATGGTACTAATCCATGACTTTTCAGAACTTTTGCTATAAAGGGAAGCAGAGAGCTCGGCCATGGTTGGATGGGCCTATAAGGTCAAGGGAATGTTTTTGTTTTGTTTTTAAGATGAGCTATTCCAAGTTAGATGTATTTGCCAATGGGGATGATGTGGGAGTAAGAAAGATATTGAAGGTGCAGAATGATGAGCAATTCTCACTATCCTATGAGAAATCAGTGGCCACCTGGAGAAGCCTTACAGACCCCTGCTTGTCCATGAGTCATTCTATGAGAATCACTCCTGTGGGCACTCCTGAGTTTCCATATGTGAGGAAAGCCTTTAACTGGATTGGATGAAGGGAATATGGCCACTTGACGTCACAGTCTGTTAACAACCCATGGGTCCTGATATCATCAGTTGGCATAAATCTTACCACCCAGGGAGACCTGCTACTCAACACATGGCCCTGGAGGAGTGGGAGGCACTAGGTGACTCACCAAGCCTGGTGTTTGCTGGAGTAAGAGCCAAGCATACTCCATTGGCCTTCCATCAGCTACCACAACCTAGTGCCAACCCCACCGTACCCCAAGATAACAGGGACAGGGGTAGGCTTTAGGAGCATTGACATACCTAGAGGGGATTGGCTTTCTTTCACCTTCAGCCCTGTTTTTCCTTCCTTCCTTCCTTCCTTCCTTCCTTCCTTCCTTCCTTCCTTCCTTCCTCCCTCCCTCCCTCCTCCCTTCCCTTCCCCTTCCCCTTCCTTCCTTCCTTTCTTTCTCTCACAAAAAACACACAAAAAACAGTTCTTCCCTTTCAAGCAATAGACACACAAGAACCCAGGAACTTCATACAGGAGGCCTGGTTCCTTCCTAAGTCTCTTTCCCCCGCCCGCCCCCATATTTCTCTGCAGTGAGAAGTTAAGTGGAGGTGGAGCCAGGCAGGCTGTACACATTAATATGGATATGTGCCCACAGAGCCTCTGAGATCGTGTATCTATAGGGGATAGATGACTGCTGCTCTTCCCTGAAACCCCAAATCACAAGATTCTTAAGCTAGTGGCACTAAAGATCCAGTAATGCCCATGACAGAGCAAACTGCTGCCCTCTAGACCAAAGACAGTGTGGTAGTAGCAAGAGGCCCCAATCGACCTGTAGAGTACAGTCCACAAGGAAATGACACATGTTCCTGTCTGACTGGAGAGCTGAGGGCTGCTTTCCAAATGGCACTGCAGACAGCACTTCCATTCCTGGGGACAGCTGCCTCAGCCTCACCAACAAAATCACCAGTAATCCATGTCAACGAATGGGCTGGAATGTCCAGACTGAAAAAGAAGTGCCTCAGTACTATTCTAAAATAGGTGATAGGAGCTGGGCATTGTGGCTCAGCACCTTGGGAGGCTGAGGCAGGAGGATCACTTGAGGCCAGGAATTTGAGAGCAGCCTACACAACACAGTGAAAATTCTTCTCTTAAAAAAAAAATGTAATTAGCCAGCCATGATGGCTTGCACCTGCAGTCCCAACTACTCAGGAGACTGAGGCAGGAGGATCACTTGAGCCCAAGAGTTCCAGGTTGCAGTGAGCTATGACTGCACCACTGCACCCCAGCCTGGGCAAGAGTCAGACCCTGTCTGTAAAAAATAATAATAAATTTAAAAAATAACAATAAATAAAATAGCTTATAGGGCCACAGCACTCAGAGTCACAGGTAGTTAAAATAGTGTTTGCTTACTTAAAATAGAGAGGGAGGTGATTGTTGCCACCATAAGAAGCCTTTTGGGGAAATACTAAAAAGCACAGCTGTGTGGTACCCTGCAGGGTGACTGCCTTCTCTTTGGTTTCACTTGTGTTTGAATGAGAGAGCTCCAGTGGCCACTGGGGGACAACAGAAATACAGATCAGATATCACTATGTAAGCATTAAATAACTTGCTACTCCAGGAAGTGCCATTGAGGCAAGAAGTAAAAAGAACAGCCCCGTGCTGGCAGGTTCTGGATGGAAATCTTGCCGGGGTTTTATTTTTTTTCCTTTGATTATTATTCTTGGGAGATCTGGGAAATGGTGTGACTATGGAACTGTAGAACAGTGACTGTAATAACTTAAAAAGCAATATCAATTTAAATAGCGATCTGCCCCTGGTTTGCGACTAATAGAATAATGTCATTGTACTCATCACACAAATAAGTATGAGTGGGAAGGAGCTTGACAACAAAGACAGAGTGTTTCAATCAGAATGAACAAAATGACAGCAGGAGCAGCAGGCTCTGGAAAGGCCTCTATGTTCTCCCCAAATATGGAGTCTTATCTGCTCTCCCCCAGCTGAGAATTTGACTCGTTGACCAGTACATCTGGGAAGGGCTCAGCAAAGTGAAATAGCGTAGAGGGAGCCCTGGGAGTCATGTTCGGTTCTGATGCAAAAAAATCTAAGGGGATGTGCAATGTGTTCTCAGTGCAGAAAACGGGGCTGCAGGTGCCTAGTTGGTTGCTTGGTGGATGCATTCAACTATCACTCAATTTCTACATGACCCCGCTTTCAACAGACCTTGTGCATCCCAGAATGAGCAGATGTGGAAAAAATTGTGCAGCTGGTTTTGGGCAGCAGCCCCCTTTTGGCTGCTCTTTTCCCTCCTGTTAATACGACCCTCATAATCACGCATGCCTTCAATGAGTCAGAGAGACCCTGAGAAAAGCAATATTCACTTGAACCGGCGGTCTGGGCTTTTGAGACAGGATGACTGGGCTGGAGACCCAGCATACTGACTGGTTATGTGACCCCCAACAAAGTTATTTCACCTCTGGAGGCTCAAATTTTCTCTTCTGTAAAATGGAGATTTCAATATCTACTTTGTAGGGTTGCTATGAGAATTTCATGATCTAATACATGCAAACCGTTTAATGCATAAAATTCCGGGCATTGGGTGGGCACTCCATGTATGTTAGCTATTACAAGTATTATCTGATAAATCAAGAACCACTAAAAAATTAGTTGGTTTCTAAGCAGATCTCCCAAAGGTGCTGAGGCATGAAAAATAGGTAGGGTGAAGAGTGAATGCTTAACAAGAAGAAATGAATATTCAATTCTGACCTTCCAACCCAACCCTTCTGCCCACTGGGGAGACCTCTCAGGCAGGTAACCCCAAATTATAACAGACTATTCTGCCTGAAACTAAGGTCATCTTGGCTCCAAATTCCGGGGTATGGTTAGTGTGGCATTTGGTGAGCGCGTGCCTTTCAACTGGCTAACTAGTGATGTAAAAACTTCTCTTTTCTTGTCTTTCTTTCTTTTCTTTTCTTTCTTTCTTTCTTTTCTTAGAAACAGGGTCTCTCTCTCTCTGTCACCCAGGCCAGCTAGTGATCTAGAAACTTCAATTTCTTCCTTTCCTTTCTTTCCTTTCCTTTCCTTTCCTCCTTCCTTCCTTCCTTCTTCCCCTTCCCTTCCCTTCCCCGCCCCTCCCCTTCCCTTCCTTCCTTTCTTCTTTCCCTCCCTCCCTCCCTCCCTCACTCCCTTCCTTCCTTCCTTCCTTCCGTCTTTCTTTCTTTCTGTTGAAACAGAGTCTCTCTCTGTCATCCAGGCTGGAATGCAGTGGTGTGATCAGGACTCACTGTATGCCTCAAACTCCTGGGTTCAAGTGATCCTCCCATCTCACCCTCCTGAGTAGCTGAGACTACAGGTGAGCATCAGCCTGGCTAATTCTTCAATATTTTGCAGAGATGGGGTCTTGCTATGTTTTCCACACTGATCTCAAATTCCTGGCCTCAAGTGGTCCTCCCATCTCAGGCTCCCGAAGAGTTGTGATTATAGGCATGAGCCACTGCACCCGGCCTAGAAACTCCAGTTTTTATGTGTCACTCAGGTCCACAGAGAGTGGATCTCAATTCTTCCAGAAGTCCCTCTCACTATGAGTATGGGGCTTCCTCCTGGCAGTCAAGGCTTCATTCAGACATTTGCATCAGCAGGACCATTGTTCATACCCAGATCCAAGGAGTCTTGCTTGGTTCCTTTGCACACACAAGTCATGTGTACCCTCCCAGCACACACATAAGAGAAAGCAACTAATTAATATACTTTGACTTTGCTTGGTCCTTGATTTTTTTTATAAGTGCTTCTTTAGCCATTATGGCTAAAGAAGAGCTGAGATCAATGCCTTGCAATGTAGCAAATACAGTATTTTCACAAATGCTTATGAGCAAATTTGCGGAGATAGGAAGGTAAATCATAGATTATACTCAGGCATATTAGTTCCCCAGAGCTACCATAATGAATTACCACAAACTGGGTAGCTTAAAACAATGGAAATTCATTCTTTCACCGTTCTGAAGGCCAGAAATCTGAAATCAAGGTGTCAGCTAGGACTTCACTTGCAGGAAGCAACAGATACTTCTCCTTTGCCTCCGGTCACTTCAGTTTCTGGCAGTTCCTGCTGTTTCTTGGGTTGTGGCTGCAGAAGTCCCATTTCTGCCTCCATCTTCATATGGACTTCTTCCCTGTGTGTCTCTCTGTGTCCAAATCTCTCTCTCCTTTCTCTTGTAAAGACATCAGTCACTAGATCTAGGGCCCACCCTAAATCCAGGATGATATCATCTCAAGCTCTTTAACCAATTATATCTGCAAAAACCTTATTTCCAAATAAGGTCACCTATTCTGAGGTTCCAGGTAGACACAAATTTTGAGGAACACTCTTCACCTCACTATATTGGGGAACATGTACTTTAGTGAGACAAATAGCCATTACCTACAATACACAGTAGCACAGAAATTCCATGAGAGACCTGCAATGAGTTCTGGGTATATAAAGGAAGTGATGTTCCCATTCATCAGATTTGGGGGAAATGGATGGATAAGGTCATTTGAAAGGTAGGTCTTGAAGGATGGGAGACGTTTTACAGGACAGGGCATTCCTGGAAGAGGAAAAAATATGAGTACAAAAACAGAGAGAATAACAGGGCTGTTCGGGAATCATAGGATTCTATTATTGTATTATTCTGAATAATAAGTATTGGCTACTTTATATGTGGCTAGGCAACTTGATTACAAGTGTCTAGCACGGCACCTTGCACACACCACAGAGCTGGTTAATATTTGTTGACTGATACTAAGAAAAAGCAAAAGTGTAACTCTGCCTCCTCCATTCAAATTCTCGAATTGCTAAGCTAAGCTTTGCGGGCGCAGACATTATCCCTCACCAACTGGCACTAAATAATATAATCAATGTAATGATGACAAAAATTAATTCTAATAAACAGCTAATTAAAATGGAGTCTAGAAGGGTAACATGGCCCTAATTACTACATTGGCGAATTGTTTTCCCTATTCCTGGAACAAATTCCTACTTCATTATCCTCCTTTTGTGCAAGAAATTGAGCTTTTCCAAAGTGCAAGGCATGGATTATAGACAGTGTTGATGGCAGCCCGACCTGGCCCCTGCTGTGTCCAGCTCAGAGGTGAACATGCAACTCAAATGCCCACGTGCTACCTGCCAGTGACTACATCCTGAAGTCACATTTCCTTTCATACCCAAATTACAGTGACTCTGGGCTCCCACCTGCCACCTTAGCAAGAGTTTCCTTCAACAAATGTTCCTAAATAGCCACAAGGTTGCTAAGTTGGTCCCCTTGCCCTCTGCTTATGGCTGAATTGGGAGGACAGAAACTCAGGCCAGCCCTCTTAGGCTGACTTATAAACCACTGACTGCTTCCCGACTGTTCTGTGTGCTGGGCTCTCTCCCGTTGGTGCTGCTGCCTCGTGCAGGAGGAGGAGCCCAGGCTCCCTGCTTGGCTGTGCCAAGGCTGTCTGCTGCTGGCCCAGGCATGCTCCAGTCTCCATTTAGTATTGAGGGTCCCCACTGGGCCAAGATCCCCTCTGGTTCCTTGGTGATTTGATTTTATGGCTCCTCAAAGCAGGCTCTCTCTCTTCCAGGTGAGCCCTGCCCCTCTCGGATACAGCTGCTGTTTCTCAGCTCTCACTTCCCAGGTATAATCCAAGAAACGGCATTAAATGGATCAATATGTCAGAATTTTATAAAATCACAGAATGCTTTACCTGCAAGGGATTTCACTAACCACTTGCTCCAAAGTCTTCATTTTACAGAGGTTAAAAGATTTTCCCCAAGGCCATACACACAACAACTTAATTTTATTGATGTACCTAAGTTTATTATTGATCTGTTGTCTTAGCTGGCTAGGGCTGCCATAACAAAACACGACAGGTGGTTGGCTTGAACAGCAGAAGTGGATCGTCTCACAGTTCTAGAGGCTGGAAGTCTGAGATCAAGGTGTCGGCAGGGTTGGCTCCTTCTGAAGGCTGTGAGAAAGAGTCTGTTCCATGCCTGTCCCTGGCTTCTGGTGACTTGGTGGGAATCTTTGGTGTTCCTTGGCTTGCAGATGATGCACCACTGTAATGTCTGCTTTCATCTTCATATGGTATCTTCCCTGTGTGAGAGTGTCTATGTCCAAATTTCCTCTTTTCGTAAGGACACCAGTCAGATTAGATTAAGGTCCCACCCTATTCCAGTAAGTTAAGACCTCATCTTAATTAATTACATCTGCAATGACCCTATTTCCAAACAAAGCCACATTCTGAGATACAATGGGGTTAGGACTTTAAGACAGGAATTCTCAGTGGGGGGATATAATTCAATGGATAACATCTGTCCCCACTCTGATTGAAGGGTGGGTGGGATGGCAAGGTCATCTCCACACGTGATTGGAGACTGTCAAGACAGAAAGATCATGAGTTCATGGAAACATGCACAGCGTTTTTGAGACAGTGCTGATCTGTGTTTATCTTAAAACCTTTAAAACAAACTCCATCTTCTTTCTGTCTTTTAAACTACTTTGCATCAAAAATGCTCAATGAGCATGCACCAGAATTAATGCCTCTCAGGAATCACAGGACGTCTTAGCACGATGGGCACAATCAGAACCTCTGAGTCCTTCTCTGTGGCTGGCCGCTGATACTCCAGCCTCACACTCACAGCCTCGCTCAGAAGCTATTGACATTTGTTTCAAAACTAATTGTGCTGAGGTTTGGGACATGAAATGGAAAAAGACCGCTTCACATTGCAATCCATCTTGGAATGAAATGGCTATTGTGGCACCAGAAGAAAGTTTTTCCATTAAGTCAAAGGCAAACCTCAATTTGGAGGACAAAAAGTCCAGCACCTTGAGATGAGGGTCTCTGCCTTACAGAACCATCACTGCCTTTTATAGCACTATAGTCATCACGACACTCTGTCCCTTGCACCCATAAAACTCTCCTTTCTCCCTCCCCTTCCCCAAACCGACAATTCTCCATTATCCATGAGCATTTTAACCACAGCAACATTCTACTCTCAGCCTGGCTTGACCCTCCTCTTCTACAAGAGCTGTGACTCCTCCTCTGCCACTTGGGGCCATCCCTTCCTCTAAACTGCAACTGTATTTAAAATTTGGACCCCTCAGTCAACACTCAGCAGGAAATCTTGTAGGACACCAATTTTTCTGCACATTTATGTCTGATTTCTCCTGGGAACATGCTAGAAATGCTGAATCTTCGGCTCCACCTCAGGCTTACTGAAGCAAATTCTCTATCTCAAGATGCCCTGTGAGTGAAATGGATGCTGAATTATAGAAGTGCCACACAGTATCTCTCAGAGTTAGGGCTGAGTTCAGGCCCTCAAAAGCAATTGTCAAGCTGGTGAATGCCTCTCTCTTATCTCTCAGGGACTTATTCTGTCCTCCAGTGGCTGACTACTATTAGTGGTCATAGAATGTAGACTACTATTAGCATTAATTATTAATATCACTAGACCCACTCAGTTCTCTGCAGAACAAACAATATTCAGATATGACACACAGGATGGTGAATCTGAATTTCTAGATCAAACATAAATGCTTTTTTGGTTTTTTTTTTCCTGCTGTCTGGGATTCCCTGTGTCATGATTCTAATAATTCTCGCAGGATTATCATGATCATCAGTTAACTGGAACTTTTGATAGTTTTAAAATTGAAGATCAGAAAATGTTAACCTTGAAAGGGAACTTAAAGTTCATTGAGATTAACCTCCTTACTTGACAGATGAGGAAACCAAGTTATGGTCTACTAATAGCCTCAGACGAGTTCACCAGTCCTGGGAGTTTCCAGTAGGGACAAGAATCTACAATTTGGACTCCAGGTGTGAGCATTTTCTATACCACACTGTACTAATTTGTGTTACACGGGGCTGGTTAGTAGATTGCATAACGTGTTTGGCCTGGTCACTTCTCAATTTCTAACCAAGCAGAGGGGACTGGACAGTGAATGAAAGTTTCTGGAAGGGTGGAGTAGCTTCTTTATATTCTAGCCTCTAAACTCTTCTCAGAGCTCGCTGGTGTAGACTGGGAAGGAGAGTGCATGAAGTGGGAGTTCTCATTATTGTTTTCTTTATGTAATAAAATCGTTACTTAAGGTAGCGGTCTGCCCCCGATCCCTGGTACAAGGGACCTGTGCAAGGGAGTGAATTCTGTCTAGACATCCAGACATGCGGAGGCCCCCGTCACGTCCAGTTTCACTTCATTCTTTGCAAAATAACCAGACTTCCAACTTGATGTTGCCTCTCCATCTTCTGTGTGTGTTTACAATGCCAAAGAACCATCAGCAGCAGAATCAAGTTCCCAGGTTCTAATTAGTTCATTCATTCAACTAAATGAGGTCAGGGGTGTTAACTACGTGGCTTCTGGAGGGCAAGGGCTATGGGGTCTTCCTGAGGGAGATTGGCACTGTCTTCTCCAAGACCATAGCTCCACAGAGGCAACTTCACCCACCATCCCCACCACCTCCACCCTCACCTATACCCGCCTGTGCCCAGCCTGAGCTTGGCCCTTTGCATCTGTTATTAATGCTTAGCACTGGCTCTTTTTCCTGATATGCAGCCTGAGGCCAGAGGCTGAACCATTCGGGGTGGAAAAGAAATCATAAGGTCTGTAGCCTGAGAAGCACATGGAAGGCAGAACAGGCTATTTCAAGGTTGACCTCAAGGTGGCCCAGGAAAATCTATGCAACATTTACATTGTACATATTTACATATGCTTCATATATACTGTGTAATATATTTTTACATTTAAATAAAAAGATAGGTTGAATGTAGATTAGCTGGAGCTCATGCACACATAGAAACATACATATCTCATAAATATCTCATACATATATCTACACATATATCCCATAGATGTCTCATAGGTATATTTATGCTATTGTTTTCTTTATGTAATAAAGAAAATATAGATATATGAGGTATCTATGGGACATGTGTGTAGATATATGTAGATCTCTCATATCTATATGTGTGTAAGTATATGTAGATCTCGTATCTATGATATGAGAGCTATCATAGATCTCTGTAGATATATGTAGATCTCTCATGTCTATGATAGGTAGTTATATAATCTCATATATATGAGATTTCATATATATGAGATATTCATGAGATGAGTGTAGATATATGTACATATGTCTCATATTGCATGCATATATCATATATGTAAATACATACATACATAAATAACCTGTATATGTCTATGAATACACATAATGTCTGCTACGCTGGGTCTAATATGCTCATATTCCCTAGGGATATTTTTCCTGGGCTGTGTTTTCCTTTGCATGCCCACAGCCTAGAAGTTTGAAGCGCTTGTCAGGAGGAGGATTCATTTTCCCAGAGGACAGTAGTAACTGAAAAAAAATGAAATAAAATGAATACTACCTGTAGTGAGCAGGTCTGTCCATGAGGTGGTGGTGTTAGTATAATGGAAGCAGAAGGGAATAAGGTCAGGGCAGAAAGAGGCCCTCTGTTGGATTGATGGTGGAAGGATAAATCCATGCCCCTCCGTGAACTCCCACCCCGAAGCCTGACAGGTGCCTGGCTACTGGCTGCCACGGTGTAGGAAATTCGCACACGTAGCTTCTCAGCAGCTCCTAGACCAGCTGGCCTGGAGGCTTGGAAGCAGTCCAGGCAGAGGGGACACAGGATAAACCATCAGGAGCAACAGCTCTATCAAGTGGACTTGAGTAGAATGTTCTCATGGCACTTGGACACCCCTCACATTCTCCGGCCTGTAGGTGGTTTTCTTTGCCGCCCACTGAGGGCTGCAAGAAGCATTCCAGCCAACACACAAAGCCTGGCGCTGAGGCTCCTCCAGCTCAGCCTCCTGGGCAAGCTTTTCTGCCCTTTCCACACACATCTGCAAGCTCCTGCTGTTGGAATCCATAGAGATAGGACCCGGGCCAACAAAACATCTCTGCATATTGAAAGCATTCCCAAACACCACTTCTTTTGCAAGCAATGGCTGCTAAAGGCTGGACCACACCAAAGTAGATACTCCCTGTCTGCATGGACTTTGAAGGGAGTAGAGATGCTATGAAAACAATTCACCACTGAAGCTTTCCCTGGTGCTAATCTTGCTTTCTAGTTTCTGAAGTTACATTTTTTATGTTTTTTTAAAAAAAGGTACCCTGTGTCTTCACCAGAGAGAAGGGAGAAGGAACCTTGACTGATTCTCTGTGGCAGGCACAAGATCTATCTTATCACTTTCAGTCCATTTAGCAACCCTGCTCTCTGAGGACTTCACAGACGGGGAAGCTGGGCTCTGAAGGGTGATGGAATTCGTCTGTAGTGTGCTCTGTAGTGGGCTCTGAAGGGTGATGGAACTCACATGTGTCAGCCACAGACCCAGATCTCTCTGGTTTCCTTTGTTTTGTTGACTACTTTGTTGATATTAAACAACTGGCTTTCCAATGAAAAGTAGTAACAATCATAGGATAACACCCTTAACATCTGTGTGTCCCTCTACAGTATACAAGATGCCTTTCCATTGCTGGGGCCCGGCCCAGCTTGGAGATCGGCCCCCTCTGCTCTGCTTCTCCCTGGCTCCACCTTGCCAGCTCCAGACTGCGCGTGTCCCCAGCGGAGCTGGTTCTCACTCCCTTTTGCAGACATGCTTCCTTGCTGGGCGACTTCACTGGAAGACTGTCTACTGATTCAGGGTGACAGGCTGTGCCAACGCCCCAGCCCTTGTGGGGCTCATAAATCCTGGGATGGTAGGCGCTAGAGAGGTGCACCTCAATGACAGCAAATTTGGCCTGTCTCTCGTTTTTACCCGGGGCTAGCCTTGACTGAGGCTGAGCAAAGTGTCAGTGATGAAGGACTTGTCAACACTGCCTGGCTTCCTTCCTCACTTGCCATCAAAGGTGGACTTTTGTCCAAAGCTCTTTAATTTGGGAATTAGGTCTTATGTGTAACTGCCAAGTTAAATTGGACCCAAGAGTGAATTTGGATCTGCATTGAAGAGGGAGTGGAAATAAGTAAGTTCTGGGGTGCCCTAAGCTTGGCGCATAATCATAAGAATAAAGACTGATGCTTTGAGCTCTTGCTGCAGGCCAGCTGTGTGCTAAGTGCTTCTTCACTCTGTCAGCTTCTTACTTCACAATCCTGTCAGGTACAGGCTATTCGTGCCCAGAGAAATGAGACGCTAAGAGATGATATGATTTGCCCAAGATCCCACAGCTAGCAATGGAGGCATTGGCATTTGAATTTGTATAGTCTGTACTGCCAGAATGGCCGCTGACCTCTCCAAGGCCATGTGGGAGGTTTTCGATGAGCCCTGAAGCTCTGTGGAGTTTCTGGCATCTGGGGGAGGCCTCTGTTTACATCCAAGCCTTGGGAGAAGCCCTTGGGAGGACCACATGGGGTGACAGCGCTGTGTTGGTGGCAGCCTGTCATGGGTCCTGAAGCCCAGCTTATTTTCTCTCTTTCTTTTCCTCCCTCCCAAATCCTTTCTGCCTTGCCTGCCATCCAGCAAATCAATTCCAATTGATTCCAAATGATAACATTTTATTGGAGTTTTGTTTATTTGAAGATCAATAGTGACAAGAATGTGGCAGTCTCCACCCTGAAAGACCATATTCAAGCACGCTTTTTTATCTTGACTTCAAGTCTCAACCTGGACTCCAGCCTACAGCCTCTGGTAGGCAGACTATCTTGTGCTCACCCTTGTCTTGGCAGCACAATCACATGCCCGTTTTGTGCGTTTGCCTTTTGGGCCCCAGTATACAAGAAATGGGCTTAATTGAAACTGTAAGTGAATTTGTCTGGAACACAGAAAACACTCAACAGCACATCTCCCTCGGACAGACACTGTCAGTCTAATCAGAGGCCTTGAATTATTAAAGCTCTCTAGCCACTTAGAGCTGCAGGTCACCAAGGCACCGAACATACTTGCCTGAGTGGCACTGGATTAGGAAGCAGTGGGCTCACAGCCAGCTGTTACTGTGGACCCCCCAAATTTGTTTGATCACCACTCTTCTTAGTCACGAAATCCCACCCTCCTTTCCCAGGCCTGATCCTGCCGACAGAGCCCTGAACTGGCTCAGGTTCTGGCTTCTGGTCCTACCTCTGGAGTTGACTCTGGGGGTTTTGGCCAATCCTTTTTCTTCTTGGTACCTCCATATTCCCACCTGTATTGTGTGGCTACAAATATTTGCTTAGGATCATTTTAGCAGCTGTGAAGTGTCCTGGGAACTCTGAATGAAAGGCGCTCTATTCCAGCTTATGCACCAAGTGATGACTCTGGCCCTGTCCACACGGCAGGGCTCTGCAGGAGACAGACGACCCATTCATCCTTCATACAGTCCTAATTTTATTCCAGTGCCCCACTGGGGACTCAGGCAGCAGGGCTTGTCAGAGAACTGAGCAGTCTTCACACTTTCAAAGTCCCTTCTATTTGGTAGGGTTGCTTTTTTTCCTTTCCTTTTTTTCTTTTTTTTAACCACTGCATATTAGCAAAGGTAAAATCTACCATGCAAGAAAAGGAACAATCATGAAAGGAGAAAGGCCTTCTCAAGGGAGGGCTGCTTATTAGTCCTTTGGAAGGTCAAGAAGGCCGTTTGCCTGAGGCCAGGATTTATACTGTTAGCATGCTAGGCACATCTGGGGCCCACCCTGCGTACATATCAGGGTGCCATGTTTACATGTATTTTTACATATGTGTCTTGTTTTAGGGTGCCCACGGTGCAAGAGAGCGGAGCTGAGAATCAATAGGATAATATGTCCAGGGCCTGCTAGTGATGAATGTGGGTGTTTTGGCCCATTTGGGCTGCCACAACAAAGTACCCCATAGACTGGGTGACATGCAAACAACAGAAGTTTATTTCTCCCAGTTCTGGAGCCTGGAAGTCCAAGATCAAAGTGTCAGCATGGTCGGGTTCTGTTGAGGGCCCTTTCCAGATTGCACACTGCAGACTTCTTGTATCCTCATGTGGTGGAGTGAGGGCGAGAGAGCTATCTGGGGTTCCGTTGATAAGAGCACCAATCCTATTCCTGAGAACTCCACCCTCATTACCTCCCAATGGCTTTACCTCCTAATCCTAACACATAGTAGATTAGGGTTTCAACATATGAATTTTGGAAGGACACTAACATTCAGTCCATTGCACTGAGTATTTTTGCTTCTTCAAAATCACTCCACTGTTGCAACCTATAATTGTGCATCTGTCTTGAGGCTACAATAGCATGTCTTAGAGCTGGAATCTCCAGCTTCCCGGAATCCTGGGCCCCTCTACCGACCTCTCTAACCCTTCCCCTGTAGGAGCACTTACTTACAGAACATTGAGTCTCTGCTCACTCTCTCCTGAATCCATTTCTGCTCCTTCTTCTTTGAACTCCTCACTAACCCCAGGGCCCAGGCATCCCATCCAGATATCATCCCCAGTTGCAGATATCTGAGAAACTTTGCAGTCACTCTCTCCTTCAAGGCTCAAGTCTTCACTCCCAATAGGTCTTCAATCACCATGGTTTCCAATCTCACTCTTATTCTGAGTATGCAGAGCATGGCTTCCCATTGCTTTCAAAGGGAAGGGCAAATGTCTTATGCAAATTTACTGTATTAGTTTGTTCTCATGCTGCTAAGAAAGACATATCTGAGACTGGGTAATTTATAAGGGAAAAGAGGTTTAATGGACTCACAGTTCTACATGGGTGGGAGGCCTCACAATCATGGCAGAAGGAGAAGGAGAAGCAAAGGTATGTCTTACATGGTGGCAGGCAAGAGAGAAGTGCCGAGCAAAAGGGGGGAAAACCCCTTATAAAACTTATAAAACCATCAGATCTCGTGAAAACTCGCTCACTGTCATGAGAACAGCAGCATGGGGTAATCACCCCCATGATTCAATTATCTCCCACTGGGTCCCTCCCACAACAGTGGGAATTATGGGAACTACAATTCAAGATGAGATTTGGGTGGGGACACAGCCAAACCATATCACTTACCAAGGCCTTACATGATCTAGTCTGTGTCTTCCTGTTTGACTTAATTTTTCCTCTTATTCACCTCTTTGCTCATCAAATCCAGCCACATGATTCTTTTTCCCATCCTTCAGACTCATCCAGGTTCATTCCCACTTTAGAGTTTTGTACTTGTGCTGGTCTCTCTACCCAGTATACTCTGCCCACCAACATTGGCATGCTGGCTTCTTCTTGTCATTCAGATCTCTGTTTAAACATCATATTCCCAGAGCTAATTCCTTGAGCATTTTGTCTAAAATAGCCCTTCCCTCTCAGTCACTTACATCTTATAAAGCTAATTGTCTTCAGACATTTAAGATCATTGACAATGACTGATGCTATATGTGCTATCTCTTTTCCTCCAATAGTAGAATATGGATTCTATGAGTAGAAACCTTGTCTGACATTTTCCCTGCTATATCCCTAACACCATGGAATGTATATGGCACTTGACGGTTGCTCTATAAATACTTGTTGGATGACTCAATGAGTGAACAAACTAGAAATATTTGTTATGGACTATAAGAGGTTGACAGTGAACTTCACCTTGCAAACCTCATAGTCTTTAGTATTGGCACTAGAAGTCTCATCTTGATCCCATGCTCAACTGGTAGAAGGCCATAGTGTTGGGTCTGGGCTGGGTTGCAGTGTCCCACTCACCTAGGCTTTGTGGAGCTTAGCTGTGGCTAGTAGAACAAGGTACCAAGGGTCAGCCAAGAAGCAATCTCCAAACTTATCAGAAAGTCCAACCTGGCCACTACTTCTTGTAGGATAGGCAAAGTGGGAAGACCTTGGTATGAAGCATAGGATATAAACTGGGGAAGCCAAACCAGAGTTCAAGTCTGGAGGAATTCCCAGAGCCATGGGAACGTGACTGTAGAAGGCCCCTATAGTTTTGGGTGAGCTGGTGAAGGAGCAGTTAGACTTACTTGGTTTAGGCACACAATGATCTTCAGTCCTTCTCTTGAAGGCATGAGCTGGCTGCAGTTGCACTTTGCCCTACTGGAAAGGATCTGATGCCAGAGACTGACAATGGGTCAAGGGCTTGGTGGAGAGTATTCACTGCTGATTAAGTCTTTCTTGATACTGAATAGAGAGTAGATTTAGTGGAGGGGAAGGGAAGACCACAGGAAGACCACCAAAGAGATTATTCTACAGTCCAGTAAAGAGAGGACAAGAGCCAGTGATGGCAGAAGGGAGGAAGAGAAAGAGATTCATGCAAGAGAATTACTCATGCAAAATGTGCAAAATTTAAATTCAATCAGATTAGACCAATGGAAAAAGAAAAAGAAGGATGCCATGAAGACTAGGAGGATCTGAGCTTGCTCAGCATTGTAGAGGGTGTTACGGGCATTGATTAAGTTAAAGACAGCAAGGGAGAGGCGTGTGAGGGCAGAGAAATGTGCTTTACCTCTGGGCAGGCTGATGTGACAAGCTCATTGAGCCTCCAGAGAGATTTTTTCCAAAAGTAGCTGGAAATATAGGCCTACAGCACAAAAGCCCTAGGAGCCAGGTGAACGCCTGGAAGAATAGAAGAAATTATATTATTTAAAGTAAAATGGGCCAGGCGTGGTGGCTTATGCCTGTAATCCCAGCACTTTGGGAAGCCAAGGTGGGCGGATCACTTGAGATCAGGAGTTCAAGACCAGCCTGGACAACATGGGGAGACCCGTATCTCTACTAAAAATACAAAAATTAGCCGGGTGTGGCGTGCCTGTAATCCCAGCTACTCCAGAGGCCAAGGCAGCAGAATCACTTGAACTAGGGAGGTGGCGGTTGCAGTGAGCCAAGATGGTACCACTGCACTCCAGTGTGAGCAACAGAGCGAGACTCTGTCTCTAAACAAAACAAAATAAAACAAGCAAACAAACAAACAAAGTAAAATGGGGCTTTTGAAAGTGACCGAGAATTCTAGTAGAGGGAGGGGAAGCCAGGAGGACATTTTTATCTTGAATAAAAAGTAATGCTGATGGAGGGAAAGCTTGAAGCTGGAGGATGGTTTCTTATTCAAACGCAGTTTGGGATTGAATTACTTAAAATGTATCATGTGATTTCAGAAATCAGCTGTCTTTTTGCTTTACAAAGAGAACTCAGGAGTGTCTTTAGAGTCAGAAGCCTAGGAACCAAAACCCCAAAGGGGCCAGACCAGGAAAACCTAGCTCTCCCCAGTACAAAGGGGAAAGCGCTCCCGTTCACTGCTGCTTTCTGCACCACAACCGCTTGTGAAGAGCACTTTGTGCGAGTAATTCTGAAAACGTCACACTAAAAAAAGAATTACATGTTATTAATCATAAAAGCGAAAGCAAAAACAAACGAAGGTTTCTCCTTGCCTTCGAATGAAGACAACCAAAAGCATCAGAGGTGAAAACAAGACAGACACGACATGAAGATTGAAAACCAGATTATACCCTAGGGAGCACGCATAAAATTAAGAAAATAATTACTGACTATGAGACGTAGATCACAGAGCAAAAGGACTCCTAAAAGAACCTCCCACCCACAATAGAAACAAACAACAACTTAAAAACATGAAGAAAGTGGGCCGGACGCAGTGGCTCATTCCTATAATCCCAGCACTTTGGAAGGCTGAGGCAGGCGGATCACTTGAGCTCAGGAGTTTGAGACCAGCCTGGGCAACATCTCTATCAAAAATACAAAGTTAGCCTGGTGTGGTGGCGGATGCCTGTAATCCCAGCTACTCAGGAGGCTGAGGCAGGAGAATCGCTTGAACCCAGGAGATGGAGTTTGCAGTGAGCCGAGATCACGCCACTGCACTCCAGCCTAGGCAACAGAGTGAGACTCTGTCTCAAAAATAAAATGAATAGAATAGAACAGAACAGAACAGAACAGAACAGAACAGAACAGAACAGAACAGAACAGAATAGAATAGAATAGAATAGAGATATTTCATAAGGCGGTGTTACATTAATGAGAGAATATTATCAATTTAGCCTTGGTCCTTCTCCCTGAGCTCTTACAATAAGCCCCAGGTCAGGGTTACAGACATCAAGCAAAGGGAATACTAAGGAGGTCCAGGGATAAGACTACGAGTCAGGGGTGGTAATAAAAAGATGGTCATGTGGGGTGAGGCAGGTGGGAAGTAGGGCGGGTCTTAGCTAAGAACATCAGAGGAAGCTTCTCAGACCACACCCAAGGCTACAGGGTAAGGATCGACCGCAGAGACGGGGAGCTGCTGGCTTTCCGCGGCTGCAGCTCCTGGTGCTGCCTCTTGGACTAGTTCCCACATTACAGGTTACCTACAGCTTCCCCCAGAAATGAACATTTTCCTTTTGAAATATAGGACACAGACTCTACTATTTCTTGAGTATCTTGGAGGGCCTCCAGGCAATGTGGACCCGGAAACAGGAGATTTGGTTGTCAAATCAACCTTGAGAAATGCTGGATTCAAATAACCTTCTTTGAATTCTCAGTGACCATTGAATTCTCAGTATATGAAGGGCTCTCCAAAGTCCTGCTTTGATTGATTGATTGATTGATTGATTGATTGATTGATTTGAGACAGAATCTTGCTCTGTCACCCAGGTTGGAGTACAGTGGCGCGATCTCGGCTCACTGCAACCTCTGCTTCTTGGGTTCAAGTGTGTCTTCTGCCTCAGCCTCCCATGTAGCTGGGATTACAGACACCAGCACACCTGGCTAATTTTTGTATTTTTAGTAGAGATGGGGTTTCACTATGTTTGCCATTCTGGTCTTGAACTCCTGACCTCAAGTGATCCGCCCACAATCGGCCTTCCAAAATGCTGGGATTACAGGTGTGAGCCACCACGCCCAGGCAAAAGTCCTGCTTCCACAAAACACACTTTATCTTCACTGCCTCAGGGTTATAATTTGGAACAATCACAATATTGGTCACCAAATTGGAGTTGGCTGATGGGATTGGCTGTGCCCATCTCTTCTTACTTCCATATTTCTGCTTTATAGTAAAGTTGAAGGGAGAAACTTTCTCAGAGGCGGGTATCTGCGGCAATATGCATTCTGGCTAGATCCTCTCGGCACACCCATGGAAAGCTACAATACAAATTATCAATCTATTTGTAGAACACTCTGTGTGTTACAAAGAACTTTACTACTATCTATCATAGTATGATAAATATGGTGAATATGTAAATATAGTAAATCTATGTGCATAAAGTAAATGTGGAATATGACAGGAGTTGGAGGTAGCTGAGTCAATTGTATTCTAGGAGTGCAATAAGACAAGCTTGGTTCCTGCAAGGTGTATGTCAGTTGGTTCCAGCAAGGTGAAGATGTGGGATAATTAGATCCCACTGTCTACAGCAGTTTCCACGAGTTGAAAGCATACCTACTGCTTGCCCTGGGGGCGTTTTCCCCACCATCCCTTCTCAAGGTTCATTTCTAATTACTTGAATACCCCTAGCGTGCTGACTGAACAGGTTAATTTAAATGGGAAGACCTAAAACTCTTGTTTTTCAGCTCCTTGCCGAGGTACCTGATGATTATCCCATCGCCAACAGGGGCAAGTCCAAATGCCTTTACGTCCCTTCACGATGTCATCTCCCATCACTTTCCCTGCACGCTGTGTTCCAGCTCCTCGGAACGACCTCCCATTTCCTGAACAGGTCACACTTCCTCCGCTTCTCACCCCTCAACATACCCACCCTGCATTCTGTTCCTGGCTGTCCTTCTTTCCTTTCTCTACCTGCAAAACCCTCCCCAGCTCCCCAAGGCAGAGCTAGTTGCTTCTTCCCTTGGATCCCATGGCCCTTCCTACCTATGGGCCTCCCGTAGTGCCTAATGGCTTGTAAATGATGTCCAGGGAACATTCATTGAGGGGATGGTTCATTTAGGGACTGACTTTTACTGTAGTGTCTCTGAATTTGACGTTAAGACACAGGAAAGCATGCCACCAACTGCCAGCAGTCAATCACGATCAGTGGGAAGAGGTAGGGGCCAGAGCTGGTGCTGGCTGGCTGGGGGTGGTGGGACAGGCCTAGGTAAGTGGCTGCCAAGTATAATCTCTTTAGGGGAAGAGATATGATATGGTTTGGAGGTTTGTCCCCTTCAAATCTGATGTTGACATGTGACCCCAGTGTTGGAGGTGGGGCCTAGCAGGAGGTGTTTGGATCATGGGGGTGGACCCCTCATGAATGGCTTGGTTCCCTTGGTGATGAGTGAGTTCTCACTCTATTAGTTATTGATATCTGATGGTTAACAAGAACCTGACACCTCCCTCTCTCTCTCACTCTCACTGTGTGACACATCTGCTCCCCCTTCACTTTCTGCCATTAGTAAAAGCTTCCGGAGGCCTCCCCCAAAACAGATGCTGACACCACGCTTCTTGCACAGTCTGAAGAACCATGAGCCGAAGTAAGCCTCTTTTCTGTATGAACTACCTAGTCCTGGGTATTTCTTTTTAGCAATGCAAAATGGACTAATACAAGGCATACATGTAAATTTTTTAAAAATGCTTTTCTAAAGAAACATAGATTTAATGAGGATAAGGAACAATGGCCTGACAGGAAGAATGGATTCAAAGTAAGCCACCTTGAATAGTAGAGGGAAGAAGAGATGGGGCAAAGGACTGTGCCAGGGCTCTGCCTGCTGGCAGGGCAGAGATCTCACTGCGGTGCCAGGGGTGCTCCTTGTCTCAGAGTAAGGGCAGGGCTGAGGAGAAGGCTGAAGTCCCTCCCCACACCTTCAGCCTCCATGGTAAAGGCTGGGACTTGTAGCCAGGTTCTCCTGGAAGAGAGGTAAAGGCAGTACACGATTTGCTACTGGTTTTTCACCTATTTTACCAATCATTTCCTCTTCATGTTTAACCTTCTGTTATTTGACTAAAGTCTCTAAGAAAAGCTTAGTTCCTTCTGAGCTCAGTCCACTCTTGTTATCTTTTCTCAAAATTTCTGAACTCAAAGGGACAGAAACCAGGTTTCTAGACATTCAGCTCAGCCAGGCAAACAGCCTCTAGTAATTCCAGGCAAGTGCAAAGACAAGCAGCAAATTGGGCAAACAGTAGAGATTGCACCTGTTTTCTTTTTGAGAGTATCCTTATCAGAGAGCCAGAACTAGTCATTAAATTGTGTTTGTTTGCTAACGTTGCTTTACCTTGCTGAGCTAAAAGTGCCCCCATGGACAAAAAAGATCACAGACCACTGCGATTGACAGGGACTGCAGAGTGTATTTAGTTCCTCCCACCTCATTTCACAGGGTGGAAATTGATAGGGGAAAGGGGGAATTCAAATTACAACAGACTTGATAGAATTCTTTTGCTGTTTTCCTCTAGACAGCTCAGGCTCAGTTTAAGGTCCTTTTAAAAAGCCCCCATTTTCTGATCTGCTCCTTCAGAAACAGGGCAGCAAATATAAGGATGGGAACAGAAGTGAGAAAGGCACTCCGAAGCAACGGACACAAAAGAAGAGCGATTGATGGACCTGCCCGAGCTTGGGTAGATAATTCCACTCTGAACCAATCCTGGCATAGAGGAAAGACCATAAAATATTGATCCATGAACAGATATATCGAATTACCCATTCCTTCTTAAAATATACTAGTGGACAGACGCAGCGATACAGGTACATATCTTAACTGCTAATCCCATAAACGTGATTGAGCATCCACTCTGTATTAAATCCACAGAGATTAAAGTAAGGATATGCATATGTATAATGAGAAGAACAAACATTTATTGAGAGCTACAATGTTCCAGGGGCTGGACCAAGTTATATCCTTAATAGTAACTACACTTAACCTTAATAGTAAGTACAATTGTTTGTCCATTTTATAGGTAAGGAAACTGAGAGTAGGTTGATGAAGTAGCGTGCCCGAGGTCACACAGCTGACAGGTGACAGTGCTGAGATTCTGAATTAGTTTAGCCTGAGTTCCTAATCATTCTGCCCCAGTGACCTCCATGAGACTAGATCCCTGGAACCTGCAGTAAAATGGGTGGCGCATACCCAAACGGAGTGCCAGTACCACGTGATAAGAACTTCAAATGGGACAAGGGAAGATGGGATAAAGAACAGGGAGATTTGCTAAATGATACAAAATTACAGCTGGATAGGAGGCGGAAGGTCTAGTGTTCTATAGCACTGTAGGATGACTGTAGTTAATAGAAACATATAGTTTCAAAGAGCTAGAAGGAGGATCTTGAAAATTTCTAACACAAAGAAATGATAATGTTTGATGTGACAGATATGCTAATTATCCCGATCTGATCACTATACCTTCTATGTATCAAAAGATCGCTAAGCACCCCATAAATTTGTACAATTATTATTTGTCAATTAAATAAATAAAAGAAAAAGGATTCCAAATGGCAAAAAGGAAAGAAAGAATTCACAGGGAAGGTAACGCTAGAGCAGACGCTTGAAGAATGAGGGAGGAGACCAGGTGAGGTGGCTCATGCCTGTAATCCTAACACTTACGGAGTCTGAGGTGAGAGGATTACGTGAGCCAAGGGGATCGAGACCAGCCTGGGTAACATAGCAAGACTCCGTCTCTATTTTTAATACATATTTATATTATAAAATTTAAAAAAAAAAAGAGAGAGAATGAGGGAGGAGATGTCCATTTGGAAAGGAGTGGAGGAGTGGAAACGCGCCTTAGGAATGGGGTTGAACTAAATAGGAACATCGTACCTGATGCTGTAGAAGAACCGTTCGAATGGCGCCAGGGTCAGACAAAACGTACCCCGGGGGCTCAGATGGTGGCCTAAATCCAGCTGAAGAGAGAGACCAACCTCCATGCAGTCGGGATGAAGAGTTGTAGACCACAAGGTGGAAATGGCCGTTGGCCATCGGAGCTCAACCTTCATGGAGACTGGTGCGCCACTGCCCTCTCAGGTCACCAGCTGGACGCTGCCCTGGAGTAGACTAGCTGGGAGGGTTATGCAGGGTAGGGACGCAGCCAAATGGAGCTGCCAAGAACCAGAGAAATTACTGAAGATGGTGTCAAGTCCTCTGAAACAGTCTCCCTTTCCATAGCCCCTGGCTTCATCCAGCCTCACCCTTGGAGATCAGCACGTGCTGCAGGCAGGGGATCTGCAAGAAACGCAAGAGGTATCAAAGAAAAGGCTGGTTCCACGTGATATTGACGCCCAAGCATCTAGCAAAATCAGCTTTCTGTTCTTTGCTCTGTGCTTGGTTAGGCAAGTCCTCGAGTTTGAAAGACCAAAAATCTTTCAATGTCCGTGGCTAACACATGGACATCAGTCACCCTGAGTGGCCCTAGCACCTCCGCTAATACTCGCTGTCCTCCTTAGAGAGGCCTCCCTTTTCTCTTTTGCACTCCTTGGATTTTCTCTTTTTCCATTTCCCACCCTAATCCTCTCTGAGGTTCCCTGTTCCCTTCCCTTTCTTCTTCCTCTTTCCTCCATCAGTCTCTGGTGGACCCGCCTCATGGCTGGCAGCTCTGGGGCCAGGCAGTTGCCAGTTCTGGTTCTCCAGGCCCACTGTGGAAGAGCAGCATCCCCTTGTGATGACAGACTACCTGCATCTAGATCCCCCAGAGAGCTGGGAAAATGCAGAGCCCTGGGCCCACCTCCAATCTGCTGAAATGGCTCGCTGAACTGGAAGGTATGCCTCCAACAAGTCTTCCGGATCAGTTTTTGCTCACTAAGGTTTCAGACCCTCTGCTCTGGAGATAAGGGCCCTAGAAACTTTGGTCTCTCATCTCTCTCTCTCTGCTTCCCCTATTAACCCTTCTCCAAAAAATGGAGAAGCTAAGTTGAAGGCACAGCATTGAGCTTTTCCTTTCCCTTCTGTCTTCTGTCTCGACGTCTTTCTCCTCTACTGGATGGTGAATCCCTAAGGATGGGAGTTGTGTTCTACTCAGCTCTGGAACCCTGAAGTTCCCATGATGTCTGGGTCACCATGGACACTTAGAAATGTTTGTGGAAAGAATAAATTGTTGACGCAGGGAACACTCTCTCTCCCTTCCTCCCCGCTCCCTTCTTTTCCTCCTCCTCCCCTTTTCTGTTCCTCTTTCTCTTGGGATCCCCTCGGCCTTGGGCACAAAACCCAAATGTTTTAAGAGATTGTTAATGTTTAAAGGGAGACAGGCGGGCACAGGCAGGGCAATGGCAGGTTGCTCAATGGACAAACAAATCCACCTTCTTCTGTTGTCTCCTAAGCCAACAGGAAGCAGCCAGAAGACGGTCAGACGGTCACTCACCCGGCAAGGGCTCGGGACAGCTGTCCTGCCTGCCCCACGCAGCAGTTGCATAACCTTGCTGCAATAATCAGAGCTATAAATAGTCTTTACTGAGAAGCCCCAATCTGGGATTGGACAGGCCCGAGGAGTGGCCTTTATTTGTTGCCCCTTCAAACCAGTGGGGAAAAACGGTTTTTGAAAGTCTCACTTATAGACTCTAAGCCTGGGGCAAAGTATTCCATGTTCTCCTTTGAGTTTAGCCTGTGGTCTCATTCTGTGACTGCATTTGGAGTCTCCATGCGGCTCTTTCTCCTTCTCCTTACTGTGACAATACGTGACCCAGTTCCACTGATGGAACGATGCTAACAAAGATAATGATGATCATTCTTTAGTAGATCTTCTTTTCCACCCGCTCCTATCACTCCTATTCTTGTCTCGTCTTTTGTCTCTTGTGTATGGCCCTTTCAGTGCCTTGCCCATTGATTGGTGACTCTATCTCCATCTAGTCTATAAGACCAATTCTTCTGAACACTTGTTTTTTTCACGTTTTCCCCCGGTTCAGAGTCTTTCAGTGGCTTCCACTTACTTACAACAGCAGCCTACAATTCTCAAAGGCACCTCCTATTCTTAATGTATGTGTTTTGTTTGTTTGTTTGAGACAGAGTCTTGCTCTGTTGCTGAGGCTGGAGCACAGTGGAGGTGATCTCGGCTCGCTGCAACCTCCGCCTCCTGGGTTCCGGTGATTCTGCTGCCTCAGCCTCTCAAGTAGCTGGGACTACAGGTGTACGCCACCATGCCTGGCTAATTTTTGTATTTTTTAGTAGAGACAGGGTTTCACCGTATTGGCCAGGCTGACCTTTAACTCCTGACCTCATGATCCACCCGCCTTGGCCTCCCAAAGTGCTGCGATCACAGGCGTGAGCCACCATGCCTGGCCAATGTTTGTATTTATTTATAAATCAAATATGTGTGCTACTGTCATTTTATAGAAAATATTAGAAAAGTTTACTTTCATTGTTAATTTTTGACAAACCATAAATAGTAGTTCTAATACTTTCTCCCTGACCGCCAGTGGATCACTGTGAATACCCTACAATGGATATCACTGAAGATAGCATTGAATCATTTTGCTGGGATATCAAAGGCTTCCAAGATCTAGTTTCAGGTCATTTCTCCATTGTCTCAACATTTCTTAGAGATGACTATGGCCAGGCACAAGGCTAGGCTCAGGAGGCAACAATGAGTAGTTACCATCCCTGCCTATCAGGAGCTCACAGACTGGTAGAGGAGATAAACTCATAAACAGGTAACTTTTGGAGAGTCCTATGTATCATCAGAAACGTTTGCACAAGGCATTAAGAAAGAACAGTGGAAAGAAATGACAGCCTATGTGAATCCAGAAAGGCTTCATGGACGACTATTTGAGCAGGGTCTTGAAGGATGAGTATTTCACCAAGTCACAAAAAGGACAAAGGGCCTTCTGGGCACAGGCAAAGGCACAAAGGTAAAAGAAGAGCTTGGTACACCGGGGAAGGGAGAAGCTGTTCACAGAAGCTGATGGGGCCTGGAGGAGAGGGATGGAAGATGAGGACTATAAAGGGAGGTTGAGAACAAATCATGGAGGACCTTATCTGGCCATACCAATAAGACTGGCTGGTATCCTGAAGTTAGTGGGATTCAAGGATGTTGTGACAAACTACATTTTCTCCTAAATCTGATTTTTCCTGACCTCTCTGCAGGAGTAACAGACTATAAAGTAGGAAGAATAAAATCAGCATTTTCCCCAGGGCTCTCATGAAGCTGATAGTCTGGGCTGCTCAGGAGGCCCCGCACCAAGGGCCACAGCCCCAAGACAGTAGGACATGCCCCTCTCCAAAGTCTAAATGCAAGGTCAAGAGCATCCAGTGTTTGAACTAAAACTAAGGAAAACTTGCACTGCATGACTGGGACTAGTGGTCATTGGAAAAGCTTTTCAGGGGTCACTAGAATTTGACTTTGTGATGAGATGAAGACGTATCTCTTGCACATTGTCAGGAATAAATCAACCCAAACTCTAGTAAAAGAACAAAGTTGTAAAATATAACACAATGACAGATGCATGTAGTTTAATGAAACCAAGATTGGACGATAAGAATTTTTCATCTCTGGCTCGCCATAGTTTCAGGGTGGGAGACACCGCTATCCATCTTCTACGTTTATCACACTTTTATTAAGAAATTGATGTTTAAACAGTGTTCCCAGAGAAGCCATTTATCTTTTAAGTTCATTAGCATGTGCAATTCCTCTTCTAAAAAGCTTCACCTCAAAAATCTTTGTAGAAGGGTTTTCGTTCATTTAGTCAACCTTTATTATGTGCCTAATGGTTGCCACGCGCTGCTCTTGGCTAAGTTTTTGCTTCTAAAGTATTTCCCTTCATCTGTGAAAAGAGTGCAGATGGCCACTGTCCTCATGATGGGGACTTTCAGTTTTGCCCAGAAGGGATGCTAGACAGACCCTGAGCTATCTGCTCTGTCCCTCCTGTGAACAGGGCCAGGCATTTGTAAGCTCCTTGGGTCACGTTTGGAGGTGTCGTCTGTGTTGGAGGACTGGCACCTTCTCTTGTGGAATAGAGTTGTCCTCTGTGCTGTGCTGAAACAGCAGCCTTGAGCTTTTAGCCTAATGTGCTAACAAAATGAAATAATCGTCCAGAGGGAAAATGTTGGACGGAATTAGAAATGATAGAGATCCTCATCTGGACAGGGACAAGACTGTTAGAGATTATAAGAATGAAACGACAGGCCTGAGGTGCAGCTGTGTAGGCATGTGACCAGCAAGGTACTGACAACCTGGGCAAGAGCAGGGTGTCATAGAAGATGGACTGGACAGCCAGGCACGGTGGCTCATTCCTGTAGTCCCAGCACTTTGGGAGGCTGAAGCGGGCGGATCAGGAGGTCAGGAGTTCCAGACCATCCAGACCAACACGACGAAACTCCGTCTCTACTAAAAATACAAAAACTAGCCGGGCATGGTGGTGAGCACCTGTAATCCCAGCTACTCAGGAGGCTGAGGCAGGAGAATCGCTGGAACCCAGGAGGCAGAGGTTGCAGTGAGATGAGATCATGCCACTGCACTCCAGCCTGGGTAACAGAGCAAGACTCCGTTTCAAAAAATATAAATACATAAGATGGACTGGACTCAAAGTCAGAGACAGGAGCACCAGCCTCAGCTCGGAACACCAGCCATCTCCTTGAAACGCTCATACCCTTTCTGTCTCTCCATACACCCTTCTGTCAAGGGAGGATACTAGGTGTTGCTAGCTAAGACCTTGATTCTAAAGTGTTGCATTTATTTCATATTTCCACACTTGTCAACAAAAGTAAGATGGATTAGGTCGGCACTTCCTCTTGTATGTGTATATCTGAAATCTAGCTGCTTTCGTTACTGTAGATAAGTGTTACTGACATGCCATTTTTCTTTGGAAATCCTTTGGAAGGGAAGAGAAGGAAATAAACATTCTTTGTTATCAGCTGTTCTCATTAAGGGGTTCATTCTGTGGCTCCTCTGATATCTTCTAATGAAGAGTGAGGCTGGGAAAAGGAGAAAGAGACATGCAAAGGGGAAAAGGGATCTCATGGGAGAGATGAGAAACCAGAAACATTGGTCCACCTCATCAGGAAAGTTGACTTTTGTGTCTTGAGCACGTTGTTTAAATATCTGTCATCACAATTCCCTTGTTTGCAAATGACAGTGATAATGCCAGCTTATCTCATTAGGGTGTTATGGGAGAAATAATAACAGCTTAAACACACAGTCAACAAAGTACTGTCAGAATGCTCATTGTCACCGGTAACACGAATTGGTTTTTACATGGGCAGTAGCGATCCCCAAATGAAGATCCTTGTCCCACTCTCCCTGAGAAGGAGGCCATGCAGGAGCTATGCCCAGGCAGCACTGCCCAGGTAGGCAAGATGGTCTGCCAGCGGTTTCATTTCTGTAAGGCCCCAATGAACCTCTTAGGAGTGACAACCAGCCAAGCTGAGGCTGAAGGCTGCCCTCTAGTTGTAAGACTGCTAAGCAATTCAGAGTAGATGCTGTTTTGCCCAGGAGGGATGCCAGACAGACCCTGAGCCACCTCTGGATGATTGATTGTTTCATTTGGTTAGGCTAGGCAATGAAGAATTCAGTGAATGGCAAAATAGTCTAGGAGTACTCAGACAAGATGGCCTATGGGCTGGGGTTCAAATAATTACATGAGTGCGGGCCACAAGTCAGAAAAAACGTGTATATGTAAATTCCTTTCTATTTATATATGATTCATATATTACGTATTTTTAATGTTTATTTAGATTCAGACTTATCACAACTGCTGACCCTACCTCCAGTCCTCACCTCTGATTCGCTCTGAGCAGAGATTGGCAAACTGCAACCTGTGTGCCAGATCCAGCCTGTGGCCTGTTTTTCTGTGACCCAGGAGCTGAGAATTAGTTTTACATTTTTCAAGGGTTGTAAAACACACACAGGAATAGGCAACAGAGGCCTGATACAGTACAAAAAGTCTAAAATATTTACTACCTGGCCCTTTGCATAAAAGTTTGCCAACCTCTAGCCTTGAGGACTTACTGGCCTCTTGTGTATGACATGATTTGTGATTGCTTTCTCATTTCATCCTTACAGCCATCCCGGAAGGGACGTAGGACAGTTGCTATTATGTCCATTTTAAAGGTGAGGAAACAGAAGGCCAAAACAGTTACCTAACTGCTGGAGGTCACATTCATAGTGGCAAGGCTGGGAATAGACCCATGGCCTTAGAATTCCCCGTCCAGGACTCTTATCAGTAGATCACAGAGAGAATGACTGACGCAGCTCTTCTGTACCAGGGGAAGGATGAACTGAGTCCAGACTGATCGGAGGACATTGGGTCTGTCTACTCTTTCTTAGCAGGCAGCCTACTGGGGGAAAAAGTCACAAAGAGGATTTGGAAATTCTAGCAATTTTTAACTAGTCTTATTACAGACTTAGGCAAGGCAGGCAACAAAAGTTCACATATTACCCTGAACTGATGTCTCAACTCTCCAAGCTGACAGTGCCCCCCGCCCCCTACCCTGCAGAGGAACCCCCGAAGACAGTGGCAATGCACTTGTGGCAAAGGGCTGCTTGCACCCCTGGGCTGTCTGTACTCCTAGTTCAGAATTCAACCCCCTCTCCTCCAGTGAGTGCTGCAGGGAGCTGCCGGAGTGAATGAATGCCCACATTATCTGACGCCCCGGCCTGTCGGCAGCTTGCCGGCCACAGACCCGGGCGGACCGCGGGCACCTGGCGTGGACTGCTATGTCCCTGACATAAACAGCCCACAGCTGAGTAGCAGCTTGTTCTTATCCCCGCCCTAAGCAAGGTCTCCCCGAACCCAGGCCTCCCTGCTGCCCTGGAGCTGAAGAGGGGCTTTGTGCCCGTAATTCAGACCAGCTTCTGCCTAACGCGCTTGACTGATACCAAGCAGAGACCTGGAATAAAGATGTGCATGGGGATGGTGCCTAAGTCTTCCCCAGGCAGGCAGGACTGGGGGCTGCCAAGACCCAGGCCTATCTGCCTGTCAGAGATGATTTAGGGAGCTTTGATAGAATAGTAGGAGGCTGGGCAGGGTGACTTTAGAGGCTCTTCTAACAACTTACAAATCCAAGTCCTCAAATACCTTCCTTTTGACTCAGTGTGGAGGGAGATTGCCATTCTTAGAGATCGACCTCTAAGAAACAAATACAGAGTCATTACTAATTTCATCCTATCAGTAAGTTAGTAATTTAGCCCTTACTAGGTAGAGACCTGGACCCTAGGGAGGAACAACAGAGAGGGGAAAAGGAGGAAGACAGGAAAGAGTGGGGCCCCTCAGAGGCAGAGCCCCTGCACACCAAGCCATAGCGCGGGAGTACTGAGAATCTGGGCAGCAGGTGTCAACAAAGGGGCTCAGTGAGGGTGAGGGCACAGCAGTATTAGGCCTTGCTGCCTTTGTAATTCTGCCTCATCTTCACTCTTCTCACAGCAGCTCAAACATAAGGAAGCCTTCTCGCTGGGTTCTCACTGCCATCTTCTCATCTCCACCCACCGTGGCTTCCCCATCCTCTGTCTTTCGCTGTCCCAGAGAACCTTTTGCACAACCCGGTTCCACACTAGCAACTCTCATCTTAAAGATCACACGGATCTGCAGCTCCTTATGCAAGTCTTGGCCCTGCCTTGTACTTTTTACGGCCCTTATTTCTTTCTACCTTGAATTCCAATTTTTGGAGACTTGTCTTACTTCCATCATGAGACTGTGGGCAACTTGAGGGAGAGGCCTGTCTGATTCAGCCAGCACCAAGCACAGTCCTTTGCCCACAGGTGAAGCTGCAATAAATATCAAGCCATTTTAGTATTTCCTCATGATTCTTCCAGCCAGATGCTTAGAAAAACTTTTAAAACCCTAGGGAAGGGCCAGCTGGGATCTTTATAGCTGCTCTAATCTAAGAGGGATTCTTTTCATGCTCAGGATTTAAAAAAATTTAATGTTATTCAGGACATCAGGTTGCATCAGACACTAATAGAGATTTCCAAACTCCTTAGCAATCACCCATTCAAAACTTCTGCCAATACAAACATGTCCAATGACGGGGGAGAAGAAAGAGACTTCATTTTCTTTCAAAGTCATTCACATGTAAAGATCAATTAGGATTTATAGAAGACAATTCTTACCAAGGGGCTCACTAGGCTTTAGTTCTGAAATCACGTTTTTCCTTCGCAATCACATTTTTTGTAGGTCTCTTATTAGACCTGCCAAAACAGGCAATCTGCTGTGTCTGCTTATTTGCTGAATTGCTGCTGACGTAAACTCAGCAAACAGCAACAAAAAACTGTTTTAATGAGACTTTAAAGTTCGGCTGTGAAAATTGAAAGTCACCCAATAGCAAACCACCCAACCACCTGAGAATATTGCACTGCAATGTTCTTGTCGCTCACAGCAATTCTATTTCTGACCAGCCAGTTTACAGTAGCAGGAGGGAGTGAGGCAGGGAGGATAAGAAGCAGTTACCCAGGGACAATTTGGGGAGAATTAAATAGAAAATGTTTGCAAAGGGCCCGGCATAGGACTTTGAGTCAAATAGATGCTCAATAAATACTGGTTGTCCATTCTGTGGGCTTCTTTTAGATCTCATATGAGTAGAGTTCACCGTGGTGCACAGTATTCTTCAGTATAAAATTTGGACTTTGAATGCATTCATCTCTTTGAATAATTAAACAAATGCAGTCACTCACACGCTCAAAGAAGGCCATGATGAGAGTGTGTTACAAATCGAGTTCTAATTAATCTAATTCTATCCACGTGAGGTCAATTAAAAACAAAAATATGAATGACTCTATCTTTTATTGTTTTAATCAATCACATAGGCCCCTACTTGTCCCAGGAAGTCAAGTATCTCCCTCTAGGGACCTCCACTTCTCATTCAAGAAAATACTCTTCCATTCCAGTCTGGCTCAGCACAAAGGGGCTGATGATCACTTCTGGTGTCAAGGCCAGGCATCTGGAAACTGAAAACTGTTAGTAGTTAACTGTATCTCTTGCATGGCTGTGCCACACAGTATTGTGGATGGAGCTTCATGTGATCAGTCCCTGGATGCTTGCCCTCTCTGTGGCAATACTCTGGGTTTCTGCCCAGGCCAAGTGGTGTTCCGCTCCTGAGCTCAGATACGCAGCCGCCAGCAGCAGCCACATGATGTGCAGAAACAAATCCTCCCTCAAGTTCAGGGACTCTCAGGCCAGGGATTGAAAGTCACATGCCTATACAGCAGGCAGGTAACAGAAATGAGTGGACAAAATTTAAGAAAAGTTGGCATATACACTTTATTCTTATTTTATTATTATTATTATTATCATTATTATTTTCAGACAGAATCTCACTCTGTCACCCAGGCTGGAATGCAGTGGCACAATCATAGCTCACTGCAGCCTCCAACTCCTAGGCTCAAGCAATCCTCCCACCTCAGCCTCCCAAGTAGCTGGGACCACAGGCATGTACCACCAGGGTCAACTCATTTTTTAAATATTTTGTAGAGATGGGGCCTTGTCATGTTGTCCAGGCTAGTCTCAAACTCTTGGGCTCAAGCAATCCTCCTGCCTTAACCGCCGAAAGTGCTGGGATTATAGTCATGGGCCACCACACCCAGCCAGATTTATTTTTTATTAAACTTGAATGTTAGCAGGTTATATGTAAATATATGTAATATTGACTAGATTTTCTATGTATATAATGCAAGTAGAGAATAAGGAATGCTTAATAAATACACTTTTTAAATAATTCATTTCTTCTTTAATATAACTCTGGAAACCAGGCACTGCTGTTTCTAGATCAAAATGTCAATGTCTCTTCTGTTTTGTTTTCTGGACATGGATTCCTAGAAAAGTTACACCTTTAGATTTCTGGGACTTCAGTATAGTTATGGTAAATTTTTTAGTACTATTTTTCCCTACAGTTCAAGCATATCAATTTATAGTGCTTCCTTTATCCTATCAAGATTAATTGAGGAAAGCAAACTCAACAATGTTATTTCATTTTCATTACGTTTGAAATACAATTTTTTGGAGTCTGGTCTACAAATGGACAATTTTAAGAATATAGTTCCGTCTATCACTTTCATTTCTGGAAACTCATTCCAGTGTAGTTAAGTGGGTCAGATAATTTTCCATGAAATGAGTTTCTCAGATGTAATTTCTTTAGAAATGAGTGCATTGCATCTTATATTTCTTAACTACAGTGTCTAGGTATCTCACGCACAGACACCCTTCAAAACAAATATTCCAGATTTTGTTTCTGATGGCCTAGTCTTTGGTGAGAAGGCATGGAAATTTTTCCTTGGATCAATGAGCAAGTCAATTTATTTCAACAATTCAAAAAAACTCTTTCTGGCCAGGCGCGGTGGTTCATGTCTGTAATCCCAGCACTTTGGGAGGCCGAGGTGGGCAGATCACTTGAGGTCAGGAGTTTGAGATCAGCCTGGCCAACATGGTGAAATTTTGTCTCTACTCAGAATACAAAAATGAGCCGGGCGTGGTGGCACACACTTGTGATCCCAGCTACTTGGGAGGCTGAGGCAGGAGAATCGCTTGAACCCGGGAGGCAGAGGTTGCAGTGAGCCAAGATAGCACCACTGCACTCCAGCATAGGTGACAGAGCAAGACTCTGTCTCAACAAAACAAAACAAAACAAAATATCTTTCCAATTTTAAACCCCCTCGATGGATCTCCCCAGACTCCATGAAATACAGCTGAATATGGTGTTCTGTTTCAAGAGGGTCATGAAAATCATTGTACTTTCAGCAGTTCAAGGCACAGAATCATATTCCGTACTCAGTGCTAATTGCAATGTCCCTGACATTTTCCAATTCTAACCTTTTAGTGCTAAGCAATTGCTGGTGAATAATGTAATGAATGGGCTGAAGTTCTCTGTCCTTACAAATGTTGCCTTGCTACATTTTCTAATAAGTCTGAAATTAACACTAACAGGTCACCTGTCACAGCCTGTAACCACGCTGTCTGATATTGACTGGTCTACTGTCTGCTCAAACCATCAAGACTCTCCTGGCACCCCTAAATAGTTCATTTCCTGATATTATGTCTGTCATACTGATATATCCAAATGACCTCTTAGCCCATCAATCCTAATCAACTCCATGAACAAATATACTAACTTACCAGCTACAGCAAGAAAACACTAGTAATTATTTACCTTTCTTACGTAAGTCGTGCTATGGATTCTTAGCCATACCTTCAACACACACTGCAACAGAATTTCTGGTTGTTTCTGTTTGGGATACGTAATGTCTGTTGCATTCAATAGACACTCTTGTGTAAACTCACCATCTGTCAGTGGTATTGACGCCCACGCAGAATTTTCTCTTAAGATATAGTGGCATTTAACTACAGCATCACTTTAACAGATTCAGTTTTTTTTAAAAGCCTTTTAAAATACCTGTCCTCTTTTTGGTTTAGTGTTTTTTATCATGCATATTTTTTCATACTGGTCATAGGTATGACCATGTTTTGTTGCATCCCTTATATTCTTTTGACACAGAAACACAACAACCTTCTCGAGGTATCTTTCATTTCAGAGAAGCAGCAGGTGGGAGTTCAGTAGATCTGATCTGTGACATTAAACCAGGCAACTTAACTTCTCTAGGTGTCAAGTTCTGGGTCTCCTCTGCAAAAATGATGGCTGGCTGCTGACTAACCCTCTAACGTCCTATGCATTCTAATATGTTTAAATTTTATGGCCTGAAGTCCTAATGGATCCCAGGTTCCTCCTCTATCCCAGAGGCAAGCTGCCTGGAAGAGGGACTTTTTCCTAAGGAAAATGAGTCTGTACCCCAAGCTATAACAGACACTCACAGCAAAGCAGCAGTATTATTCATCCTAGCACTACTTAACCTTACATGTGATTATATGCAAAGCATTTCATTGCTTTTCACTTTATGCCTACATATACATAAGATAAAAGGGAGAAGAAAGGATAGATGAGGTGAGAGGGGGCCTAACATTACGTACCTACCACAAATCAGGTGTATGCAAGGACTTTTATATACAAGCTCTCATTTAATCCTCCCAATAAATCCATGTGGGAGATTATGTTGTCCTCACGTTACAGATAAGGAAAAGAAGCTCAGAGGCTTTCAATATTCTGGCCAAGATGACACAATTAGCAGCAGATCTAGGATCTGACCAATTTGGCTTGACCGCAAAGCCCATGGTGTATCCACTATACACTGTGTGATTCTTCGTTCCTGGGCAGTCTTCCTTGCCAGTGGGTTTTCTTGGGTTGCCCATCTCCCAGGCTGTCCATGCTAAACAAGAATGCTTTATTCTCTTATGCCCCTTGGGCCCAGAAGCCCTGGCTCAATCTTGGGTTGACCAGGTTGAAGGCCAAAATGAGGAGAGACAAGGCCAGGATGCAGAGCCTGGTGTGAAGATCAACAAGACCCAGGAGCTGAAGGTCCAGCCGGAGCCCTGGGTCCAAGCTGGGTGAGCCTGTAAGAGGCAGGAGCAGGTGGAAGCTGAGAGGCAATGGCCAGGAGAGGCAGGGAACAGGCCCAGGTCACACAACCTGAATGTGCTTAGGGGCTGTTGCAGGCCATAGTCCAACCCAAAAGCACTGACTGCCAGAGAGTCAAGTCTTTTTCAGAGGAGATGGAAAAACCAACCAACCAATTAGACTGATTTTATACTGTTAGATGTAACACCTTGTGCTGGCTGGTATTAACAGAACATCTGTGGCTAGAAGTACTCTCCTGATGGCATGCTCTCTCTGTCTCCTTTCTCCAGTCATTTCCCCCTAATGTTTATCATGAGCATTGTAAGAAGAAAAAAAAATAATAATGAAAAGAAAGACAAGAAAAGGGGCTGGGTGTGGTGGCTCACACCTGTAATCTCACAACTTTGGGAGGCCAAGGCAGGAGGATCCCTTCAGCTCAGGAGTTCAGGACCAGCCTGGGCAACATGGTGAGACTCCCATCTCTACAAAAAATACAAAGATTAGCTGGGTGTGGTGGTGCATGCCTGTGGTACCAGTGACTCAAGAGGTGAAGGTAGGAGGATTGCTTGTGCCCGGGAGGTTGAAGCTGCAGTAAGCTGAGATTGCACCACTGCACTCCACCCTGGGTGACAGAGCAAGACCCTGTCTAAAAAAAAAAAAAAAAAAAAAAAGAAAGAAAAAGAAAAAAGAAAAAAAAAAAAAAAGAAAGAAAAAGAAAAAAGAAAAAAAAAAAAAAGAAAAGAAATCAACAGAAGAAATTACAATGAAAACCTATAGTCACCACCCACCCCATTCTTCCCCATGTAGTTTCTGTTCCCCAAGGCAAATGGTTTCTGCTCTTAATTCTGGAAGTTCCCTCCTTGACGATAACTAATGTATATGCTATTTCCTGACTTATTAACTTAAGACATTATGAAGTCACTCATACCTACAGAAAGCTAACGAATTAACTCACCTTAACCTCCCTCTTTTCTTCTTCCTAATTTTTGACACTTTTGTCCTACTGTGTATTACCTCTGAATAATAATGTAAGCATATATTTTATATTACATCCATTTTAGAAAGTATGTCTTGATTTTCACCTCAATTAGATGAAGACATGAGGGCCCCTCTTCTTCCTCCCATACCTTTCTCACTTTCTGACAGCTGGAATTTGCTTTTACACTGGGAAGCTGATCATATCACATTTTCTTCTATAACCGTATTTAATCTTCTGTGTCCTACGAGACTGATTCTCAAGGTTAAAAACCAATAGACACTATTTCTGTTATTATAAATCTGAAGTCATTGATATATGAGTCCTTTTCATAGATATTGAGGCAGGTGCTGAGCTTGGATTACCAGACAGGGGTCATGAGGCAGGAGTCATGTGCCCTAGGTGCAGCGGCTTCTCTTCATCACATTCCGGCAGTGTCCCGGCAGCATGTCACCATCTGGCAGCGCTTCACTTTGGCTTAAGCAGACAGAGGAATCTGGCCAGGACACCACTTACACAGGGATCTAGAAGCCCCAATTCTCAGAAAGAATGTTTGTCTCTACGGAAGGGAGCTCCGTTTTTGCCTGGAGATGGCTGCCACACCTCCAAACTCAGGGATGTGTGAGAAGATGCCTCCCCACCAAGTGGCCAGTTCTTCCCCAGATAATGAATTATCTTTTCTGCAACCCCACCGCTCCGCCTCCTCCACCATGCTGGAATATGGCTTCCATGTTCTGATTCTCCAACTTGTCAGCTGGTTTCTATTCTCTTTACCTCTCTTGAAATTGTACGGGGATCTCTCCTCCACTGTTTCCTCCCATTACCTCGACTGTTATGAGTTTATTCCCATGTTTTTATCTTATGTCTCTGGAAGGAGGAGTAAACCATGGTCATATGTGTATTTTATTTCTTTCTTGATTATAACATAGTTTAGGTTTATTATAAACAAAAAATACAAGCAATCAAGAAAAATATAAAAAGGAAAGGAAAACTTCATAAAATCTTGTGTCTCAGAGGTACTCACTGTTAACATGCTGATGGAAATTCTTCCCAAGTCAACCAACTCTTCCTGCTCCGTGTGGAATTCCCAGAGGGGGTTCGCCTGTGCTTTTATCTTGGAGTCTTCACTCCTCTGGGAGCCATTATGCCAAAGGTAGGCAATCAAGTTAAAGGGCAATATTCATCCCTTTCTGTTGCAGCCCCAACCAGGGCTTTAGTGAAAGAGAAATTAGTCTGGGTAAATAGTTTTACTCAGCATTGCCCCTTGCTGCTCTACTTTTCCTGCTCCTGGCTTCTAGAGCATCTTATGGTGGAGGTACATCCCTAAGGCTTCATCCATAAGGCAGCATCCTGAGTCCCTTTGCAGAGAAGGGCCCTCTACTGCAGATTCTTCTGGAATCTTTTCTCTCTCTGGATTAGAGTGTGGGAATATGGAAAGTCAGATTTACTAGTTTATGAAATGGACATTTCACAGTCGGGACAGCCTCCCAAGTAAGACACTACCCATCTAGTCTCCTTTTATGGGAGAAGGGCTCTTCATGGAATATACAGCTCCTGGGTTGGAAAGAGAGGGCAGAGGACAGATATGCAAAGCTGAGAGACGGCACTCATGGAATTTCTGTCCTCCCACCCTTCTTCCCTTTAGGAACAAGCACTTTTTCATTTTTCCATTTTGCAACAGTTGCATTCGTTGGCTTGTTTGGACGTGAATTAGAAAAGAGACGAGTTTATCTCTTTTTCAGTTGACTGCTGAGCCAGGGAGAGTTAGCAGGAGCTAACTTTGCCTTCTACTGTGTGGGGTGACCCACAGGGTCAGAGACAAGAGAACTCTCCGAAGGCGTGCACCTGGCAGACCCAGTTTCTCCGTCCATGTGAGGGGCCTGTGTGAAGGCATCAGATGACCCCGTGCTTTTCTGGGCCATCAGTCAACTCTCCAAGTGTGTGCTTTGCTTTTGACTTGGCCCAAGCTCCTGGCAGCAAAGAGGCTGAAGAGAGGGGAAGGCCTCAATCTCCCAGCCATGCACAGGTTGAAAGAAAGAAAACCATCACACTGCTTTCCTGAGGAAGACTTTGGACTTTTTCTTAAATGTTTATGCTTCTCTCCTTCATCCCCACGTAAGACATTTTAGACAAACTCTGCCACCAAGATACTGAGTTTGTGGGTCCCAGGTAGGGAGGGTGCAGAGAGGGGGCAGAAGGATTCTGCCTGTGAGTGACAGCTTGAAAAATGGAACTTTGCAGGGCCAGGCCCCCTACTCTTACCATCATTTGCTGACTATCCGAGGGACGAGGAGACAAAATCTCTCACTTTCTCGGACACACAGATAATCAGAGCACTCTCTGAGACTTTGATCAAACCACACATTTTTTTCCAGTAGTGGTTCTGGTGGAGATAGGCCATTTTATGGATATTTTGGAAGTGATTTCCTCTATATAAAAAGCACATGTTCTGAGTTTGTTCTCCTGGCCAAAAATGTCGCTATAGCATGGCAATGAACCCCTCCCAGCACCTTTTTGTTGTGTTTTTTGTTTCGCAATGCATCAGGAGACTGAACTGAGAGATAAAACATGGAGATAGGAACAGGAAAATATAAAAGTCACACCTTGCCAAGCTCACCACACCCAGAAAAAAACAAAAAAACAAAAAAACTGTCAATAAAACAAGGGCCCTATACAACTACATCTCCTTCTAGACTGAACTCACCTTCCCTGTTCAGCATAGGCTTCTTGGACCCTGTAAGGCAGGATTGAGACTGCTGGCCTCTGTGTGACATAATATATTTCTTATTGCACCATTTTGCAGTGATTTGTTTGTGTCTTTTTTCTTTTCTGGTTGTTGTTGTTGTTGTTTTGAGATGGAGTCTCACTTTGTCACCCAGGCTGGAGTGCAGTGGGGCGATCTCGGCTCACTGCAACCTCCACCTCCAGGGTTCAAGCAATTCTCCTGCCTCTCAACTTCCTGAGTAGCTGGGATTACAGGTGCGTGTCACCACGCCCAGCAAATTTTTTGTGTATTTTTAGTAGAGACCGGGTTTCACCATTTTGGCCAGGCTGGTCTCAAACTCCTGACTTCGTGATCCGCCCGCCTTGGCCTCCCAAAGTGCTGGGATTACAGGCGTGAGCCACCACGCCTGGCCTATGTCTTTCTTGCCTATTATAATTTGAACCCCATTGAGAGTAGAGACCTTTACCTGTTTTTGTGCTCTATCATTGAGTACAGCACCTTACACCTATAAGGTAAAAAATGGTCTATGAAGTGAGAAAATGAATGATTAAATGACGTACGGACCATAGGCTTTTCTTCCCAATACATATGTCCACAAAAAAAATTTTGCCTCACATTATTCTAGGTGAAGTAAGTCAGGAATAGAAAACTAAATACTGTATGTTCTCAATTATAAGTGGGAGCTAAGCTATGAAGATGCAAAACCATACAGAGAGATTTAGTGGACTGTGGGGACTCTGCTAGGGGAGAGGTTGGGAGGGGAGTGAGGGATAAAAAACAATATATTGGGGGCCAGGCGCAGTGGCTCACACCTGTAATCCCAGCACTTTGGGAGGCCAAGGTGGGCGGATCACAAGGTCAGGAGATCGAGACCATCTTGGCTAACACGGTGAAACCCAGTCTCTACTAAAAAAAATACAAAAAATTTAGCCAGGCGTGGTGGCGGGCGCCTGTAGTCCCAGCTACTCGGGAGGCTGAGGCAAGAGAATGGAGTGAGCCGAGATCGTGCCACTGCCCTCCAGCCTGGGCGACAAAGCGAGACTCCGTCTCAAAAACAAAAAAAACAAAACCCCCCCCAAAAAACCATATTGGGTACAGCGTACACTGCTTGGTAATGGGTGCACTAAAATCTCAGAATTCACTACTAAGGAATTAACCATGTAACCAAAAACCAATTGTACCCCCAAAACTATTGAAATAAAAAAAAAGATTTGCCTCCTTGAAGCATGTTCTTTAGACCTTTAGTAATAGCAGCTACCGTTTACTGGGCACTCATGTGCTAGGTACCATGCTGCACACTTCATGCATAGTATCTCATTTAATCTGGATTCCTCCCATAAGTTCACATAGATGTGAAATAATCTTCACTTGATCTTAGCCAAAAGGCCGAGAAGTGATAGGTGTGATATGATATTAAAGTGTCCTTTACTTCTTCACTGTGATACCTGTCACACTTATAAATAATTGTTCCCTCTCTGTCTTCTCTTGGATTTTTAAGTCCCATGAGAATACAAATGTCTTTTCTTGCATGATGCTGAATCCTTCAGCATGCAGCCCATATCACACGTGCCATGGAACACATGCTGAATTCATCTTCATGACTTTCATGAGTCCCAGCAGATTGCTGGTAGGTGCTGTTCCAAGTATTCTCCAGTATAATTATTATTGCAATCCTGGCTGTCTCTCTTCCTTTTTGATGCTCAGGTAGAACGTAAAGGAAACTCGCAAATTCTCCCTGTGGTAGCTGAAAACATTGGTAACCCCTAACATCACCATTTGTCACCTCTAATGTCACCATTAGATTACTCCATACCTCGATCCGTGGAAGAAACTCCTTCCCTGCTCTCTGATCATCTGTTCTTTCGGTCTCCATTTCCATCTCAGTGTTGCTGTCTCCACCAACATGGCATCTCTTCTAGGCATTGCTACTGCTGCTTTGGGATTCCAGGAATCAACAGAACTGTAATGAAGTAGGCACATCCAGGGGCAAGACAGGGCAGGGCAGGGTACAGGGCAAAAAGCGTCTGATGTGGAGACTGTGCTCAGCTGAGAAAGCTTCAGGCACTTTTTCCCACTTTCCTGGAGGAGTAAGGTGGGTCCCCATCTCTGCCAATCTGAGGGAGTTCCCGTCTGCCTTCAACCCCCCACCCATCTCCCCACTGCATACTACATTTAACGTTTCCACCCTAATAGGATTTCCTGCATGGTTTCCATAGATCTGTTTTTCTGTTTATTTGCGCTCCTTGTTAGCACCCTCACTCCCAACTCTTCACTGTTGCATTTCCAAGTGCAATCATCTCATCGATCTCATCCCAAGGCCAGAAAGGAGTTGAGCAATTTACACAAAGTAGGCTAAGAACATTCTCACTATCCCAGGGCACTGAACCAAGTTTCTGAAAGTGGCACAAGTCGGATGTTATTAATATTCTCTCTTTAATGTTCATCAATTCCAGAAATGGATATTTCCTCCAAAGACCCTGGACAACCTCTGGAGTCATTGCCATTCTGGTCCGGGGCCATCGGGGATCTAACCATTTCCGAGAAAATTAGCAGAGAGTGGGAGGGGTATTATTTCAAACTGGCGCTGATTGCATTTGGTATCCTAGGCTTGTTGCTGGGATCACGCACGAAATCCCTGGTAGAAGAACAGAGGCGACTCACAGTTTCCGTGATAATGATAAGCTGCAGACGACTATTTAGAGCATCCCAACATTTATTTCAAAGTAAAGACAGTAGAAAACAACTGGACTGCAAGATGGGAGTCTTGGTCACTCACTGTGTGATATTAACAGAGTCACTCGACCTCCTTGGACTCAGTTTCTTCTTGTCTAAAATGGGGCTGTTGTCCTCACTCAGCTCTAAAGGCTCCTCTTAAAGCAAAAGTGATGGTTCTTGGAATTTCTTTTATTTCTCCAGTGAGAATCACTTCAATCTTCAGGCAAGATACCTGCCTGTCTCCTGCCCCTCTCTCCCATTCTGTCCCGGATATTGTGAAGCTACTTCTTCAGTTTCATGAACCTGGATTTTGGCCAAACCCTTGATCATTCATCTTAGAAGCTAGATTTCCTTTTCGAAGCCACAACTCTGGGAAAGGTCTTCACAGCCAGTTCCTGATGTTGCTGAGCTGATCTTGTCCATTCTCAGTCAAGGTAGGATGACAGCTCCCCGTGAGAAAAAAAAATAGGTGTTGCATAAGAGAACATCTTGGCTATTTATGAAAGATTTTCTATGCTTCTGTTTTAAGTTTGTTTTTCAATTACAAAAGGGACTCATTCTTTTGTATAAAATTTGGAAAGCTAAGTTAAGTTTAGAGAAGAGGGTAAAATCATTCTTAATCCCATAATTCTACCATGGAGAAATTTTGTTAGTATTTTGGTGTATTCTCAATTTCCTCTGCAGTTTTTTACATTGTTGAAATCATGCTATTTATACTATTTCATCCTTTCTTCCCACTGAAAATTGTATGATAAGCATTTCCTCATGTCACTGAAGTCACTGATAAGTAATATTTTAATAGCACCATAATATTTTATTTTGTGGGTTTTGTCCTAAGGTTGAACAGATAGGTTGTTTCTAGTTTTATTTTTTTAAAAATATTATTAGCAATGCTGAGATGAACATTTGTGTGTATATATCTCTGGAAATTTCAGATTATTTCCTTAAAGTACATTCCTAGAAGTGAATTACTAAATTTAAGAGCCTGAATAATTTTAAGATTCTTGATACCATTTAATTTTTGATACCATCTTGGTCTTAATTTTTCAACCACATTTTGTGACTTAAAATCACCACCTTTTCCCTTAAAGAATATCATATTCATTTTAATCATGAGAAAACTTCAAGTTTTCTAACACTTTTCCTGAAACAACTTATTCCAAAACCTCCACCCAAGAAACATTAGAATCCACATGTTTGTCCTGAGCTATCAATCAATTTAGTGAACACCTGCCTGACCCTAGGCCTCTGCCAGGCCCCTATGATACTTATTTTCAACATCACTGGGAAACGTGGAATTATAAAGGAAGCAGAGAGAATGGCTCTTTAGTATAAGGAAGAGAAAATCGGTGAGTGCAGAAAAAATCCGAAACTGTATTTGTCAGAGCCCCCACCGTACTTTAAACACACTAAAATATAAAAGAAACAGCTATTACTAGAATGTTCTATGTGACTTTGAGTCATTCCACAGCTTTGCTGCACACCAATCTCCTCTTCTGCAAAAACAGAAGCAAAAGCTAGAGTGGTTTTTCAGGTCTTTTCAGTCCAGTATTGGATGATTCTATATTTCTTCCCAGCAGTGTGAGGATAATGAAGTCACATGCTACAGGTACTTTGAAACAATTTTTGAGTTTGAGGTATTCTTCAAAATGGTGATAGTTAAAATAACCATCTTTGGGGTAAGGAGTGCTGCATAAATGAGATTAGGCTGAGTTTGGGATCAGATCAAATCCAGCTTTGCTAATTGTTAGCCATATGTGTCCTTGGGCCAATTATTCAAATTCCTTGAGCCTTAGTTTCTTCATCTGTAAAAAGGCTGACAGAAGAGCCTATCCTATGCTGTAGTTGGAGGATTAAAAAGATAATGTATATAACAGGCACACAGGAAGTCCCCAGGAACTAGCATTGTGAGAACTGCTAAGTTTGGTGTGCCAAAATGTTCATTATTCATAGTCCAGAAAGGGAAACTGAGGCTCAAGGAATTTGCCCCTTGACAAAAATTACACAGTAGATTAGTAATGAAACAAATCCCCTCTGCCTTACTTGTCTGGTTCACCCCTCCATTGTATATCATTGAAGAACTAGCTGAATGAAGCTAGTTCCCAGTGCTTTGGGAGGCCAAGGCAGCCAGATCACTTGAGTTCAAGGCCAGCCTAGCCAACATGGTGAAACCCTGTCTCTACTAAAAATACAAAAATTAGCCCAGTGTGGTGGTGCACACCTATAATCCCGGCTACTCAGGAGGCTGAGGCATGAGAATTGCTTGAAACCAAGAGGTGGAGATTGCAGTGAGCCGAGATCCGTTACTGCACTCCATCCTGGTCGACAGAATGAGACTCCATCTCAAAAAAATAAAAAAGTAAAAAATAAAGAACTAGCTGAGTGAAGACAAATATTTCAAATGGAAGCTTAGGCAAAGATGTAATTGTTTTCCTAACTGTGGTCCAAAGTCAACTGCCAGTATTATGTATGTATAAGCTTATTTTATCCAAGTAAGGTGAGAAAGTCATAAATAGGCAGCACCGTGTGTAGGACAAAGTCTAAACCCCCTACCTGGTATTCAAGAGGTCTCTGAGCTCAGCCTCAGCCTCCCTGCCTGTGCTTACCTGCTGTCATAGCCCCTCATGGACTCCAGGCTTCCACTCAATCCACAGTGCATTGTTCTCCTCCTGCAGGGACTTCACCATGGCCCTGCCAGAGCTGCAGCCTCCTTCTAGAAGACCTTCCCCCATGTCACTGGCAGCTTCCTCCTCATCCTTCAACGCACAGCCCACATGTTAGCTTTGGTGCAGTCTCCTCCTTCCAGACATACTCATTGCTCTGGGTTCTGGCTGACTTACTATGGCGCCCATGTTTTTCATCACATGTCACAGTGTGACTGATGTGATTTAGCTCCATAACAGACGGGTACAGGAAGTCTTCCTCCTCTGGCACTTCTAACATAATCTGTAGTGGGTCAGATCTTCCCAAAGCTAGGCAAAGATTACTTCTGCAAGGCTTCAGAAACTCAGAGAGTCTTAACCTTAACGTAAAAGTGTGGTCGTTCTTCTAAGTAGAAAGTGAGAAGGAAAATGTTATCTTTATTTTTTTGCGTTCCATTTAGCAGCAAAAGCAAATAAGAAATGAATATCTTAAATAGACTGTCATGCAACAATCATTATTTATGTTTTTCTTCCGCTATTATAATGAGAATCCATTTTTGTTTTTCACCTTTGAACCTCGATGTTAAGGTGTATTAGTTACTATGCATGCTGGCTGCTCCGTGATTCATTGAATGGCCCTGGCATGAGTCAGCCACTTCCTCAGTGGCCATTAATGTGTCCAGCAATGTGCCAGGTGCTCTGGAGACTGAATGAGGCTGAGTGTGATAGCTAATGCCTCTAATCCCAGCATTTCAGGAGGCTGAGGCAGGAGGATTACTTGAGGCCAGGAGTTCGAGACCAGCCTGGGCAACATAATGAGACCCCCCCCCATGGCTACAAAAAATAAAAAACTTAGCTGGGCATGGTGGAAGTGTGCCTGTGGTCCCAGCTACTCGGGAGGCTGGGGTGAGAGGATTGCTTGAGTCCAGGAGTTCAAAGCTGCAGTGAGCTATGACTGCACCACTGTACTCCAGCCTGGGTGACAGAACAAGACCCTGTCTCTAAAAAAAGAAAAGAAAGAAAAGACTAAAGGAGACACACCTGCCTTTTCAGCTAAACTCAGCCAGCCACCACAACACTTAGCCTTTCAACTCTAGAGATGGTCACTTTCTGGGGTTGCAGTGGAGCTTTAAGACCCCACAGAGGTCTCCGCAGTTCTTCGGCACTGGCATTCCATACTCTACCCCTCTATGTTCATTTCAGCTTGACGCCACTCCCCCTCCTTTCTGCCTGTGTAAGCTCCAACATGCTTAGACAGATCCTCTCTGTTCCCGAAGACTTCCAGCCCCACGTAGGCTCCGTAACGCACACACTCTTCTGTTTTACTCTAGTGGTTTCATGTTTGCATGTCTTATCTCCTCTTTTTAAAAACTCTTCAGGGTACTTAGCAGAGTGCAAAGTACACAACTGACAATAAGGAATTCACTCATTGGTACTGACATTCTTCACATTCCATCAGATGAAACTGGGATCCTCTGGTCTTGCTACTCATGGGTGGGCTGGACCAGCACCTGCTCGGGCATCTTCTGGGAGCTTGGGAGGAATACAGAATTGCAGGCCTGGCCCTAGACCTGCTAAATCAGAACCTGAATTTTCACAAGATCCCCAGATGATTCGTGTGCACACTGAAGTTAGAGAAGCACTGCACTAAGTGACTTTGATTGCCAAATTCTTTATCTTTCTTCCTCACATGGCCCACGGATTTTGCTTCCCCTATACCTGGCTCTTACCCGCCTTTTCCTTCCTTTTCTCTCCCTAGTGCACCACTTTAGCCATTTTTTTCCAGTATCCTCAATCCTCCCACTCTTCTAGTCTCTCTATCCCTGCCTACAAAATGCCAGCGATTTACCTTCTCAGCTCTTTCCTTGTTCTTCCTTGAGCCTTTGGCACTTGCAGTGCTACCAATACACAGCAAGGCCTCCTGTGCTGTTGAATCAATACACACCTTGCTCATCAAATTGCCCTGTAAGAGGTGGTTAGCAAGAAATCTGACCTCAGTTTTCTCTTGAAAGGGTTATAGCTCTTTTAGTATTTCTGTTTATCAACACACTTCTAACTGAACAGTAGGGATTAATTGGCCAACAAAAAAGGTGGCAATGAATCTATTCTCTGCTTATACATTTACCAGCTAAAAAACAATTTGAGAACTATAGCAGTCTTCATTAGTTAAGATTAAACCTTTAACTCAAAAAAAGATAATCACTTGAAGACCAACAGAGAAAATCATACTTAGAAAAAGGAACGCTAGGGTTTGCTTTAAACAATAATTCTTCCACTTAAAAAAAAAAAAACAAAACTTCAAAGGGACTTTAAACTAGTAATCTTTAAAGTGACTTTCAAATTACATTTATTTACATATTGATAACCGCACAGGTATCTTGAAATTCAGGGGAGAGGGGAGACTTATCCTTAGTTTCAGTTGCCATATTCTATGGGGAATCCAGGAAAAAGCAGGGTTGCGACCTGAATTATACAGAAAATTCTCTGATTCCTCACTCTCTTTATTGTAGCAGGAACTAGCAGTTAAGTACTAGCTCCTGAACATCACATCCCTTTCTGGCTCTCTTCCTACCTGAGGATTGATTTACAGTGATAATTTTCTTTAGACATTTTAAAAAGTGACTGTTCATTAAAAAAAAAAAAGAAAGAAAGAGATATATTGGACAGCATCTTTCTGAATGTCAAAGGCTGACGATAATTGGGTCATTTGATTTCTCCTCATTTTTCTAAATTCTCTGATTGCTTGCACAATAACTTTCTTCCCCCAATCAATTAGTCTAACAATTCATATCCATATTTTATTTTTAATGGTTGACTACTCATTTCATTAAAAATGTAAGTGCATTAGCTTCCCATGAAATGATTCCATTGAGATGGGCATATTTAAATATTCATAACATAAAAATTAATAAATCTGAGAACAGTGGTTGCATTTTAAAAAGGCTACTGTCAGATGTACCATGTCCCAGATGAGATTCACTAAATTAAAACTCGAGCATCCTCTTTCTATTGATTCTTCTTTACAACGAAACAATGCAACAGAAATGCAATGGGAATAGGATTGCTACCCAGTAACTCACTGCTTCTCTCAGCTTCATTCAATTCTAGCTTGCTTCTCCTCCTTCTTGTCTTTCATGCTACTTTCCACCCCGTCACCTGGATTCTGACCGCTAAATCAGCCTTAATATCAAAGAAGTTAAACGCTGGGTGTGGGTAATATTTATTTACGTTCTATTCAATGTCTCTCTCTCCCTCTGCCGAAATAAATCCAATGGATCCCAATCGTGTACAGCAAGAGCTCTACGGAAAACCTTTCCCAATAAGCTTCCTCCCAGCTGTAGAAAGATCATACACTTCACGGTGAGTAAAAGCGATTTGTTGTTTGTGTGTTCATGAGCATTATATAGCCGTAGAATCAGCAAATTTGACAAATCAGTAGATTGACTTAGGAGGTAGAGGAAACCAACCAATGCAGGGCACCTCTATTAACTACCAGAGGCTTGAGAATGCCACTCAGAAAGAGGAAGAAACACTGAAATAGGCAAGATCTGCCCTCCCTCAAGAGCCCCCAGCAACCCAGCATGGGATTACACTTTCCTCACATTCAGCCCCAAATCATTCCTGTTAGTGAAACTTGCCTGGATTTTCTATGTTGGTGATATGGTTTGGCTGTATCCTCACCCAAATCTCTACTTTAATTGTATACCCCAGAACTCCCATGTGCTGTGGGATGGACCCAGGGGGAGGTAATTGAATCATGGGGGTCAGTCTTTCCCAAGCTATTCTCGTGATGGTAAGTCTCACTAGATCTGATCGGTTTATCAGGGGTTTCTGCTTTTGCTTCCTCCTCATTTTCTCTTGCCACTGCCATGAAAGAAGTGCCTTTCACTTCCCGCCACGATTCTCATTCCTCCCCAGCCATGCGGAACTGTAAGTCCAATTAAACCACTTTCTTTTTTTTGAGACGGAGTCTCGCTCTGTCATCCAGGCTGGAGTGCAGTGGCGCGATCTCGGCTCACGCCATTCTCCTGCCTCAGCCTCCCCATCAGCTGGGACTACAGGCACCAGCCACCAGGCCCGGCTAATTTTTTGTATTTGTAGTAGAGACGGGGTTTCACCGTGCTAGCCAGGATGGTCTCGATCTCCTGACCTTGTGATCCGCCCACCTTGGCCTTCCAAAGTGCTGAGATTACAGGCATGAACCACTGCTCCCGCCCTTAAACCACTTTTTGTTCCTAGCTTTGGTTATGTCTATCAGCAGCATGAAAACAGTCTAATACAGTTGGTCTTCAAGTGATACCTTTCTTTGAGGTAAAGGTTTAAGGTTAACTAATGAAGACTGCAGCAGTTCTCAAATTTTTTTCTAGCTGGTAAACCCATACACAAAGAACAGATTCACTACCACCTCATATTTTTTTGTGGGCCAATGAGTTTGTACCTTCTGCTCAGTTCAAAGCTGATAAACAGAAAGGCAAAAACAGCTACAACCTACCCATTCAAGAGAAGACTGAGGTCAGATTTTTTGCTAACTACCTCTCACTACTGAGAGCAAAACTTGTCTGGATTAGTGTCCTCCACTAATGTGGATGATTTATTATGAACTAGGTTATTGGGAAGAACATGGAATTTGGAGTCAGGAGACAGAAGTTCTAACCCTTAGCTATCAAATTTAAAAGTTCTAAAATTATGTATAAAAAGAGTAGGTATTGCAAGAGAAAGCCAGGGCTGGACTGGCAAATAGTGATTTAAAAAGGGACCCCACCCTATCCCCAAAAGGCTGTAGATTACACTCATTTGCTTGGGGTCCATATAAAGCCTCTGAGTCCTTCTCTGCCCACTCTTTTGTTCAGCCTCTGCAAAATGATCATGAGTTGAAACCTATTTGCCATCTCTAAAGGTGAGTGATTAACAGAGGGGAAAAAAATTATTTTCACTTGGTCAAGGCAGGGCAGGGCAGGGCAGGGCAAATTGACTAATTTCCTGTCTCTGGAGGCCTCTATAAGGCATCAAATTTTGGAGCTCAAGACCCAGGTTTAAGACTGAAAAGAGTGAGAAGCCATCAGGATAGCAAAGATGAGATCCCCACATTTATTTGAAATCGTCCCTGAACCACTGAAGCCACATAGACATGTCTATGTTTATGTGGAGCCATGTTTGTGATTCTAGTCTTCTTTTATAAATTAAATTCCTCTTCTGGGTCAAATAAGGAAAGAAAATACTCAAATCCACACACTGTTTATTTGATTTTGCTGAAAACTTATAAAATTCAGTTGTTCTATTATAAAAGAGGCACATGTGGAATTCATACACAGTGGAGAGAGACAGAGGGTGTACAGTTTCTCCCTGCATGTATACACACAGGCTATGAATGCATAAAATATACAAAGAATGGAATGTTTCCAGGTTGTATATATATTATACAGCTGAAAAATCCTGGAGTCATCTATTCCAGAACTTCTCAAAGTGTGGTCCACCAACCACCTGCATCAGAACCTCCTGGGGTATCTGCTAAAATTCAGAATGGGGGCCCCACTCCAGACATTCTGAATCGATCTTCTCCATACCCCCACCAAGACTGATTCTGGGTCAATGATGTATGACTGGTTGACAGGGAGCCTTTTGAATATGCATATGTTACTCTGTAGCTCTGAGGACCCAGGCATGTGTTTCCGGGCATGGCTGTATTTCATAGGCAAGTGTAAATGTGTTTTTAAGTTACCAGTGGCTTTAGTCTTATCTTGACCCCTCCCCTGACCCATCAGCTAATCATGCCTTTAATTCAGTCTGGGTTGCATTTTTAGTTCTTCCTCCCAGATTTGTAGTGCATTATATTCAGCAATGGTGAAGCGTCTTAGAACCATCCCTTGTTATATCTGAACTTACTTCTTCCCCCCAAGTCAATTATAGCCTCTTTGCAGTTTTCCTGCTGTGCTCTTATCATAACTGAATGGTCTTGATTTTCTGAAATCCAGTAGTTAATGGGAGAGAATGAGCTACAGTAAAAATGAACAATAGCAATGCTACATATTTATCCTCTTTTCTCACCTGGAGGCCCCACACACATTTAAGCTGATAGGATTAACTGGGAATACAGTGAATCTCTTTATCATTACAGAAAATCAGGCCCCTTGAGGGGTAATTATGGCACCTGCTTAGTTACATTAAAATCATGACTTAAAAGATTTAGGTGGTAGTTAAGTAATATGCCAGAAGAGACAGAAAGTGAAGGGAGAAGTCAGAAGTTAAACATGCTCAAGAACTCAACTTGGCCCGGGCTTCAAGCACAGTGCCCTAATTTGTAGACTCCAGTGTTAGCCATACAGAATAAGCAACTGGGAGGTTGGAGAGCTTTTTAGCATCAGTTCAGGACCAGAGAGGAGAAGGTAGCCATCTTCTGAGGAATTACCTGGATAATCCTGCACAAATGTGGTAGGCTGACAGCTGGGACATGAAACAGCTGATGGCCACAGGGTTCAAAACACTCAGCCAAGCTCCTGAAAGTTCTGATTGGCCAGTGCTTTGTGGGGTTGACAGCGATTTTTCTCCCGGAGAGTTTAATTTTTCCCTAGCATAGACGTCCTCTGTGCTGTCCTTAGGGAAAAGAGCTGTTGTCAAAATCTCTGCTCAAGGAAGAATCTTGTAGATTTTATTATGCTATAAATTGTTGCATGTCACCTCGAGAAAGAATTTATCTCGACTCTTTTGTAGGATAAGGGGATACAGGTGCATGATAACTCTTGTGGTGGGGGCTGAGAGAAAGCTGTGTAGCTAGGGATACCAAGGCCCCTGCTTCCCTAGGCCTGCTTTGGCAGATATCACAAAAATGTGACAAGGCTGCAAGCCCTGCTTTGAGCTGTGTAAACAGCAGAGCTGGAAAAGGGGCCAGTGGATCTACTCCGGTACCTGGGAGGGCAATGGAGACCACCAGTCCCCAGCATGGTAGAAGCCCACATTCACTGAGCACTTTCCAAGTGCCGATTACTGTGATCAGTTTCCTTTCCTTTCCGTTCCTTTCCCTCCCTCCCTCCCTCCCTTCCTCCCTCTCTCTCTTCCTTTCTTTCTTCTTTCCTTCTTTCCTTCTGTCTCTCATTTTCTCTTTCCTTCTTTCCTTCTTTCTCAGGATCTTGCTGTGTTGCCCAGGCATGCAGTGGCATGATCACAGCTTAGTGCAGCCTTGACCTGTAAGACTCAAGCGATCCTCCCCCATCAGCCTCCTGAGTAGTGGGGACTACGGGTGCACGACATTACACCTGAGTAATTTTTTGATTTTCTGTAGAGACAAGGTCTTGCTTTGTTACCCAGGCTTGTCTCCAACCACTGGGCTCAAGCAATCCTCTGGACTTGACCTTCCACAGTGCTGGGATTACAGGCGTGAGCCACCACTCCCAGCCTGTGATAACAGTTTCTTACTACTACTACTACCACTGTCATCACTACTATTACCAACAAGTAAGTACCTAGACACATCATCTCACATAATCCCCACAAGAAGCCCATGAGGTTCACAGGCTTACTGTACAGATAAGGAGAAGGTAGATTAGGGAATTATGTCACTTGGTCAAGGTCATGTGATGTGATTACAGAGGAGCCGCTTTTAACCCCTCCTCTACATGCCTGATGTTTTCAGTGCTTGATGGTACTTCAGGCTCACAACAGCTCCATCCCCCTTCTTAAAGATAAGGAAATAAAATGGAGGCCTAGAGAGCTTAGGAGGTGTTTCCTACAGTGACGCCTCTGAAGTGATAACACTAAGATTCACGCCCAGGTCTACCTAATGCAGAGAACAGTGGCCTGGCTGGGGAAGACCTTTAGTTGTTGGAGAGTTGTTAATCTTCAAGGCAACAATAAACACTGGCTGAAGACTGTTTGATTCAGACCCTGATATAGGATCTTGCCTGGTGCCACCTCAGACTGGAGCTAACATCAACCCAAACCCTGGATGCAGTTATGCAGACAGGACTCTCATACCTTAAGCCAAAGTACAAATTCAGACAACATAATTGAATGACAAAATGCATGGCTGAGGCAACAATGGGTGGTCAGGAGGGGCAGAAAAAAATCAACGTGAGTCAGTGGTTGGGGAAGGTTTCCTGGAGAAATAGGATTTGAGATGCATAGAAAATATGGGTGATATTTGAGGAAGCAAAGGATTATTTAATATGCATCTTTTTCTCCATTACCTGCAAATGTTTGCAAGGTGCTAAACATGATGGGGGAGGCTAAAGAAATAGGAAATTCATTTTCTAGTTGTAAATGGCTGGTAGTGTAGTCAGTGAAATAGGACCTACAGGAGATGGTGATGACAAATACTAGCCAGTATCCAGTTAATGGCTAAGTTAGGTTCTATTCTCTCTGAGTACAGCGGAGTTTCAGAGGTCAGTAAGGGGTAGGGTGGTCAGGAAGGGCTTCCTGCAGGAGGAACGACTTGAGACATGCCTTGGAAGATGCAACAGTGACATGGAGGATATACAGTCAGTAAATTCACAGAACAGGGAGAGAACGTGGGTGCTCACGGGCTGGTGAGCAGTGGAGCCATCAGGGATGGTGGCAAACCTCAGAGACATCTTCCATATTTGGGGGCTGGGGTAAACTAAGTCCCTTAAAGCTACCCAAATAATTTGGAATTAAGGTTGCTATCCTATCAGTTAAACTATAAAACATGCATAGGGTGGATAAAAGCAAGAGAGGCCAAATCATCGAATGGGAAATGCCTCCAGCCTTACAAAAAATTAGAAGTGTCATTTCTCCATCTCTAAAGAAAGAATATGGCCATCAGAAAAAGAGATAGTCAGCTCCCAAACTAGGAACCTCATGGGGTGAACATTGACTATGCTCATCTCAGCACTATCCAGGAAGAATGGATCCCAACCTAGTTGTCCATTCCGAGTGGCTGGTCTATGTCTTGCTTCTAATCATACCAGCCTCTGTGAGCACCACTAAGGTGGGTTCTTCCCTGATAGAGGCCTCTATTCCCCTCACAAATGAGGTGGCTAAACCTCCAAAACTGATGTTCAGGCCCAGGCTGTGGCAAAACCACCCAATACAGCCACTCCATGGACATGTGTTTGTCAGCCGCTGGCTTCCCCCTGGGCTGTTGCACGTCCCTCACTGGTTATGCACTGCATACTCTGGGGGTCATCACCTAGCACCCCCTGCACAAATGCACTGGCAACCTATGCAGCCTCTTCACTGAGTTCCCATTTAAGCATCAATGAATATATTCCAAAGGTCCTCAGCCATTCCTAGTGCTAGGGAGCAAGGAGAGTTAAATCAGGGTCTACTTTTGGCCCCTCCTGGGCTCCAGCAGCTGCAAGAGTGTAGCCCCTGGCCTCAGGAACCACACATAGAGGGGGAGTGATTCCCCTTCACTACCATCATGGGGCGGCATAGTTGGCATTCCCACGCTATCTTTCACACAGCTCCAGGTTCTGGCAGCTATCAGAATATCATCAGCCTCCCCAGCCTAGCACACGAAATGGACAAGATTGTGGAACCAGCTACCGGAGATAATTTAAAACTCCAGGCTGTGGTTTTTCTGACCCAACATTGACCTGATTTTGAAGACAGTCTTATTTCCTTGGTGGTGAGTTTCATGCCAGAAAATTCTTCTGTTTTGTAAATAAGTGGCCAATCCTCCTGGGCAGATGGGGGCTCCTAGTGTCAAGGCTTGAGGCACAGCCCCAGAAATCTTGAATGGAAATGAGGACAGGCACCTGACTAAGAGCAAGTGAGTACTGAGAGCTCCGGGGTTTCTGCAGAAGATGAGGTTCCGTGAAATCTCTCTCTCCAGGTAATATGGTTTGGTTTTGTCCCTACCCAAATCTCATCTTGAATTATAGCTCCCATAATTCCCTCATGTTATGGGAGGGACCCAGTGGGAGATAATTGAATCATGGGGGCAGTTTCCCCCATACTGCTCTCGTGATGGTGAATCAGTCTCACGATATCTGACGGTTTCATAAGAGGAAACCCCTTTCTCTTGGCTCTCACTCTTCTCTTGTCTGCCGCCATGTGAGACCTTCCTTTCACTTTCCGCCATAATTGTGAGGCCTCCCCAGCCATGTGGAATCGTGAGTCCATTAAACCTCTTTCTTTTGTAAATTGCCCAGTCTTTGGTATGCCTTTATCAGCAGTGTGAAAATGGACTAATATACCAGGTGAGTCCATGGCAGCCTCATTAGTGATGTTTTCTCTCAGTGGAAGGAAGCCAGGTGCCCTCCCAGGCTGGACAGTCCAGCTTGACACAGTAGGGGTCCAAGATCTCTAGAGGAAGAGAGCAGAGGTTGGGAAATTTCAAACAGGGAGGAAAGTGTGTGTGTGTGCGCATGTTGGAGGATACTTAGAATAAAGAGGGGTGAAGGGTTTCCTCTGAATATTGAAGTTGTTTTGGATTTAGGAAGTTCACACATAACACCAATTTTCTCCACCTGAATTCCCAATCCAGAGAGAGGAAGGTGCAGGCGGTCCACTGTTGGAGATCAGCAGGTCAGCTGTGTTACTAACACGCTGGTGAGCAGGTGTGGTCTTATACCTGCAGCCTAAGCATTGTGCCAGCACTTTATCCCTATGGACCCTCCCAGTTCCAGGTGAGGCCAGAGCTTACCAGGCCTTCCCCACAGAGCTGGGTCCCTCTGCAAGGATGGAGGCACCAGGATGGATCGGTGTTGCCTGCAGACAGATCTGGAGCAAGAATGAACGAAGAAAAGCTGTGTCACCCAGGCCCAGATTCTTCTCCCAGTCACCATCCTGATGACTTTCTCTCTCCTGAGAGTGTGGGGGTGAATGGAGGCTAAGGTAGGGGAAAGTACGTTAAAAGAGGTTCCTCCTCATGGAAGCACACACCCATGGGGAAGAAGTTCTCCTAACCCTTAAGAAGTTCTATGCCAACATGAAGGAACAACTAGAATCTATATTGCACTATAAGGTTTTCCTCATTTGTGATTGATGTAAACTGACGAGAAATCAGGTGTCTCTATGAATATCCCATAGACTTCCAAGATGTGCACAGGTATTGCTGTTGCAAGGCTTAGTTTACGGACCCAGAGAGGCTTATATGTCACAGTGATGATGTATGAGAATGGGGTCAGAAGAGGAGATGTGCCTATAGGTCAAGAGGGCACCCCCAAAAACTCCCTGGGCTTCTTACATTCCCCGAGTTTTTGACGTACTTCTGTCCAGATAGAAATGCAAGTGCCTTGAGAGGAGGGCACGTGTATGATCTTTCTCAGAATTGGCCCTGTTCATCTTCGGTGTGGCTCAGCAATGGTTCCATGATTTTTTTCTCCATCCACATGGGACTGAAAACTGGCAGATCTAGATATTAACTTGGATTGTTCCTATCAACTCTGACCTTGACGGCTATTGCAACCATTAAATGCACAGTTGGAAGGTCACCTTGTCCAATCTCCTACCCCTGAAAAATTCCCTCAACAATCCCTTTAGATAGTAACTTACATAGCTTCTGTCCTCCACAAACTCCTTTAGTAACTGCCCTACTGAATCCTGAATTTTTTTGAGACCATCATCTCAATTAGCTAGATGCTTTGTGGCAGGATTATGTTTAATTTAATCTTAAGCTTCACTGGTGCCTTACTCATTCTTTTAAAATGCCTGTGATATTAAAAAAATCTTTCTAAAGTATGTGAGCTCTATATGTGTATTAAAAGAAGTTTAGGCTCTCCCTGCTGAGAATGGCAGTCGGATTAATCTGAGATGGGACTAGGCTAATGAGATGAGGTTGAATATTCAGATGATGGTGGGGGTTGCAGCCGGAAGCCAGATCCAGAACATGGAAGAACAGGTCCAGCTTGCTAAGCCATGGGAAAGAAGAGAAGATGTCAGAGTTGGCAGTGATTTTGCTTATGGCTCAGGGTCAAAAATAGAAGACAGTCAGGGGCCAATAGAGAACAGAGATGTTTCAAGCACCAACTGACCCCTCTTCATGTACAGGGGTTGCAGGGTGGTTGTTAGTCTCTAACCTCTACCTCCCTTCAAGATCCTGGCATCCTGCTATATTAGCAGGGGAACCTGGACACAGCCAAAGGCCTTGCAACACCTAACACAATAATTCTGAACATTACAATTCTTACGCAAAAAGCCCTTATGTATATTTCAGATATTATTCTGCAAAGTACTTCTATGTGCATAAAAATGGAAGTAAGATATTAAATGGAGTGCACTACGTCATTTAATATACATGGAAGGGAATATAAGGTTATTGGCAACCAAGTTAGGGAGAGTTTAGTGCAATCATATTTAATCTTATTTTCTGCCCATGTTATGATGACATATACAAAGACTGGGAAGCTCTTTTTGCAAGTCTTTACCCAGATCTAGAAAATGCTACTCTCCCTGATTAATGAGATGAGTTTGGTCTTGCCTCTTGGTGTGACATTGGAGGGTACCCAGGCAACAGAAGTGAACGTGACTTTAGGAAATGATGTTCTCTCTAAGTCTTGTTTACTTCTGAACCCCGGCGGCTTCAGCATCAACCAGAGTAGAATAAACATACATGTAGATATTCTATCTCTGAATTGCATTGTAGCCAGTATTACCATCTCTTGTTCTTTGCCCTTTAATATAGTTGAAATGTCCCAGTATGAGCTAGAAGAAAAGTCTGTGTTTCTCAATGAAATCCAATTGCATGGACATTACCAGGTTCATAAATCTTCCAAATTTAGTCCTCTGGAATTTTCCCAGATTGAAATCAAATACTCACACTCCTACCTGGCTCTCAAGTTCCAAATCAGCAGTATCTCTCATTGCACACAGCCTGTATGTGACACTTTTGCGGGAGGTTATCACAATATAAGGACTGTCTGAGTACTCAGAGCTTATCTAATCAGGTTTTCTTGACACTTGTTTTATTGTGCTCAGTACTCACAGGCTGATCAAGTGACTGGACTGTTTAGTGAGCTGTAAGGAAGGAGAGCTTCCTTGCAAATGCCTGTCCTTGTTTTAAACCCATTCTCCCACAAGTTAGAGGAGTCTTGCCTCATCCAGCCTGACTGATCACTACCTTGGAAACCTGGGCCTTAGTCTTATCTCTCTAGTTTTAGAAACTATTCCTGAATGGGATAGGTTTTTGGATAAGATGATTCTTAAGGTCCCTTTGTAGACACTAAAATATAATTGCTGCAGCATCTAGCACAATTCCTTCCTGCTCCTTATCACCAAAATAAGTATTTAATTATGGAATAAATGAATGAGTGAGTGAGTGAATAAATGAATAAATAGAATCATCAGGTAACTCTGAGGACATCAAGTCCTCTTCCCAGTTCTGTCCTGGTAAGCCATTTTGCTTTGGATAAAAACTCTTGCAAAAAAAAAAAAAAAAAAAAAAAAAAAGACTCCTGGTGCCAGATATGCTCTTTGATATGCCAGAGCTCCAGTGGTAGGAAGCCAACCTTATATACTCTTGGGTTTCTTGCCACATGGAGATGTAACTGACATCCTTCAAAACAATGGGGTTACCACTTCACACTCATTAGGATGGCTGTTATCAAAAATGGAAATGGACAAGTGTTCATGAGAATGTGGATACGTTGGAACTATTACGATTGTTGGTGGGAATGCAAAATGGTGCAGTTGCTATGAAAAACAGTGTTGCTTCCTCAAAAAGTTACACATAGAATCCAGCAATAACCAGGAAAGGACATAACCAAAAAAGAAAACTACAGACCATTATCCCTGATGAACATAGATGCAGAAACTCTTAACTAAATGCTAGCTAACCAAATCCAACAACATATCAAAAAGATAACCCACCATGATCAAGTGGGTTTCATACCAAGGATGCAGGGATGGTTTAACATACACAAGTCAATAAATGTGAGACACCACATAAACAGAATTAAGAACAAAAGTCACATGTTCATCTCAACAGATGCAGAAAAAGCATTTGACAAAATCCAACAACACTTTATGATTAAAACTCTCAGCAAAATCAGCATAGAAGGGACATACCTCAATGTACTAAAAGCCATCCATGACAAACCCACAGCCAACATAATACTGAACAGGGAAAAGTTGAAAACATTCCCTCTGAGAACTGGAACATGACAAGGATGCCCACTCTCACCATTTCTATTCACCATAGTACTGGAAGTCCTACCCATAGCAATCAGACAAGAGAAAGAAATAAAGGGCGTCCATGTTGATAAAGAGGAAGTCAAACTGTTGCTATTTGCTGATGATATGATTGTATATCTAGAAAATCCCAAAGACTGCTCCAAAAGCTCCTAGAACTGATAAAAGAATTCAGCAAAGTTTCAGGATACAAAATTAATGTACACAAATCAGTAGCTCTCCATACACCAACAGCGACCAAGCTGAGAATAAAACCAAGAACTCAACTCCTTTTATAATAACTGCCAAACAATACAATACTTAGGAATGTACCTAAGCAAGGAAGTGAAAGACCTCTACAAGGAAAACTATAAAACACTGCTGAAAGAAATGATAAATGACACAAACAAATGGAAACACATCCCATACTCATGGATGGGTAGAATCAATATTGTGAAAATGACCATACTGCCAAAATCAATCTACAAATTCAACGCAATTCCCATCAAAATACCACAATCATTCTTCACAGAACTAGAAAAACAATCCTAAAATTCATATGGAACCAAAAAAGAGCCCACATAGCCAAAAATAAAAGACTAAGCAAAAAGAACAAATCTAGAGGCATCACATTGCCTGATTTCAAATTATATTATAAGGCTATAGTCACCAAAACAGTATGGTACTGGCATAAAAATAGGCACATAGACCAATGGAACAGAATAGAGAACCCAGAAGTAAACCCAAATACTTACAGCCAACTGATCTTCAACAAGGAAAACAAAAAAACTATGTGGGGAAAGACACCCTTTTCAACAAATGGTGCCGGGATAATTGGCAAGCCACATGTAGGAGAATGAAACTGGATCCTCATCTCTCACCTTAGACAAAAATCAATTCAAGATCGATCAAGGACTGAAATCTAAGACCTGAAACTATAAAAATTCTAGAGGATAACATTGGAAAAACTCTTCTAGACATTGGCTTAAGCAAGGATTTCATGACCAAGGACCCAAAAGCAAATGCAATAAAAACAAAGATAAATAGCTGGGACTTAATTAAACTAAAGAGCTTTTGCATGGCAAAAGGAACAGTCAGCAGAGTAGACAACCCACAGAGTGGCAGAAAATCTTCACAATCTATACATCTGACAAAGGACTAATGTCCAGCATCTACAATGAACTCAAACAAATTAGCAAGAAAAAAAATAATCTCACCAAAAAGAGGGCTAAGTACATAAATAGTTCTCAAAAGAAGATAAACAAATGGCCAACAAACATGAAAAAATGCTCAACATCACTAATGATCAGGGAAATGCAAATCAAAACCACAATGTGATACCACTTTACTCCTTCAAGAATGGCCATAATAAAAAAATAATAGATGTTGGCATGGATGCGGTGAAAAGGGAACACTTCTACACTGCTGGTGGGAATGTAAACAAGTACAATCACTGTGGAAAACAGTGTGGAGATTTTTTAAAGAACTAAAAGTAGAACTGCCATTTGATCCAGCAATCCCACTACTGGGTATCTATCCAGCGGGAAAAAAGTCATTATACGAAAAAGACCCCTGTACATGCCTCTTTATAGCAACACGATTCACAATTGCAACAATATGGAACCAGCCCAAATGTCCATCAGTCAATGAGTGGATAAAGGAATTGTGATGTGTGTGTGTGTGTGTGTGTGTGTGTGTGTGTGTGTGTATACTCACTACTTAGCCACAAAAATGAATGAATTAATGGCATTCACAGCAACCTGAATGGCATTGGAGACTATTATTCTAAGTGAAATACCTCAGGAATGGAAAACCAAACATCGTATACTCTCACTCGTAAGCGGGAGTTAGACTCTGAGGATGCAAAGGCATAAGAATGACACAATGGACTTTGGGTACTTGGGAAGAAAGCTTGGGAAGGAAGTGAGGTATAAAAGACTACAAAATTGGTTTAGTGTATACTGCTTGGGTGGTGGGTTCACCAAAATCTCACAAATCACCACTAAAGAACTTACTCATGTAAGCAAATACCACCAGTTCCCCAAAAACCTATGGAAATAAAAAAGTTAAAAAAAAAAAAAGAATCTAGCAATAAACAATAAACATGTGATTCAGCAACTCCACTTCTAGGGATATTCCCAAAAGAATTAAAAGCAGAACTCAGGCCGGCTGCAGTGGCTCACACCTGTAATTCCAGCACTTTGGGAGGCCGAGGCAGGAGGATCGCTTGAGTTCAGGAGCTTGAGACCAGCCTGGGCAACATGTCAAAACATCATTTCTAGCAAAACTACAAAAAAATGGGACAGGCATGGTGGCTCATGCCTGTAATCCCAGCACTTTGGGAGGCTGAGGTAGGAGAATCGCTTGAAGCCTGGCAGCAGAGGTTGCAGCGAGCCAAGACTGCATCGCTACACCCCAGCCTGGGCGATAGAGTGAAACTCTGTAAAAAAAAAAAAAAAAAAAAAAAAATAGCTGGGCGTGGCGGTACACATCTGTAAGTTGCAGCTACTCTGGAGGCTGAGGTAGGAAGATGGTTTGAGCCTGGGAGATGGAGGTTGCAGCGAGCGGAGATTGCACTATTACACTCCAGCCTGGGCAACAGAATCAGACCCTGTCTCAAAAAATAATAATAATAAAAGTAGAACTCAAATAGATATTTGTACACCATGTTCATAGCAGTATCATCCACAATAGCCAAAATATAGAAACGACCGAAATATTCATCAGCGGATGAATAGATACACAAAATGAGTATATATGTATGCAATAAAATACTATCTCGCCTTAAGAAGACTTCTGATACCTGCTACAACATGCATAAATCTTGAAAATATTGTATTATGTGAAATAAACTAAACATAAAAGGACTAATATGTACTGTTTCACTCCACCAATGTGAGGTCCCTCACAGGCAAATTCTTAGAGACAGAAAGTATACCATAGGTTACCAGAGGTAGGGGAACAGGGGGATGGTGACTTATTGTTTCATGGGTACAGTCTCAATTTGGGATGATGAAAAAGTACTGGAGAGGGATCATTGCAATGGTCGTATGACATTGTTAATGCAATTAATGCCTCTGGATGTACATTTAAGAATGGTTCCAGTTCTTACTTCAGCAGCACATATACTAAAATTGGAATGATACGGAGAAAATCAGCATGGCCCCTGTGCCAGGATGACATGCACATTCGTGAAGCATGCTATATTAAAAAAAAAAAAATTAAATCAGCTGGGCACACTGGCTCATGCCTGTAATCCTAGCACTCTGGGAGGCTGAGGCGGGTGGATAACTTGAGGCCAGGAGTTTGAGACCAGCCTGGTCAACATGGTGAAACCCTGTCTCTATTAAAAATATAAAAATTAGGCAGGCGTGGTGGCATATGCCTGTAGTCCCAGCTACTCGGGAGGCTGAGGCAGGAGAATGGCGTGAACCCGGGAAGCGGAGCTTGCAGTGAGCCGAGATTGCGCCACTGCAGTCCGCAGTCCGGCCTGGGCGACAGAGCGAGACTCCGTCTCAAAAAAAAAAAAAAAAAAAAAAAAAAAAAAAAAACAGAAAATCAAATACTGCAAGTTCTCACTTATAAGTAGGGACTAAACAATGGGTACAATGCGTACATGTGGACATACGGAGGGAAATTAGACACTAGGGACTCCAAGGAGAGGGAAGATGGAGGGAACTGAGGGTTGAAAAATGATCTACTCGGTACAGTCTTCATTATTCAAGTTGATGGGCAAACTAGAAGTCCAAATCTCACCATTACACAATATATCCATGCAACAAACCTACACACGTACACCCTGAATCTATTTTTACAAAATTTTTTTTCTGCACCCTTAAAAAAAAAGAATTCTGAGAAATGTCTTTATCGAAACTCTGAATAAAATACTCAGCACTAACATATAAGTTGTATCCATTTTTAAGTATACAATCTAGGGCAGTTAAATACAATTTACAAATATAATTTAAAAAATGGTTATTGGGGTAAAATGTTGTTATGTATATTTTAGCATAATAAAATAGTAAAACCAAACACAAAAGCAAATGCAATATTTGAGAGGCTGAAGATAGGAGACAAATATCAGGTAAGTAAATGATGCCTTAAAATTCTGCTAACTCCATTAGCCAGCATTTCATGTTGCTTTGTAGCTTCCAGGTGCCCTGGTATACCACTGTCTCTATCCTTAAAGCATCTCTCAGGCATGGGATTATAAGCCTATTCACAAATGACTAAGTGAGGCTCAGAGATGTTGACTCACCCAGCGCCTTATCACTAGTCAGTAGCAGAGCTGTGACTTGAACACATTTCTCTACACTCAAAATACTGTGCTTTTTCAGTTTCTGCACAGTCACCTTCCTACAGTGGTTACCATGCAGATTGCAGAAATGAAGCTCATTCCTAGTACCAGAGAGAAAGGCTAGTGAGCCGGCGATGTGTGCTGGCCCCAAGGACAAGACAGCCTGCACCCCACACCTGGCCTTACTCTCACCCTCCCCTTCCTGGGGAGGGTGATAAAGTCTACAGTTGGGTTGACAGCATGAAATGCATTCCCTTCAAAAATACATCTTGACCATAAAATAAACAGAACCCCCACCACTCCCCGCTTAAAGCTTTATGTATTCAGGGATCTTTTTAAGGCATTGACCTCAAATTTTAATCTTCTGCATGTTCAAAACCAGTACTTCTCTCACAGCCCCATGGCACTCTCTCAAGAAAACTTTTCCATAGTTTCACATTTGAAGCCAGCATCCTTGGCATGAAACTGCTATTTGCAAGTATGACGAGGAGTCTTCCCCACCTGGTGAAATTCATTCATATAATTTTCACTTTGTATGTGAGGTTAATCTCTTCAGGGCCCCATTTAGCACAGAGATAACCATATATCTCCCAATTTTATGGTTGCAGAAGTCACTACATCAAACCATCCACCGGCTTTTTCTGAGCAAAGTCATGCATCTGTGTAATTAATCTAGACTCCTCTGCCTAAACCAAGCAAGTGCAGCTCTGCCTGTTGCAATCCATGGCAGCTTGAAAGACGGCAGGGAAGGCCCTTCAATTCTGATTTTCAACCCCAAGGCATCCACTCATGGATTTCCCATTTTTCTTGGCATTCCTGCAGTGTGCTGTTAATTAAACTCCCCGAATTGTTATTTCCAGGCAGTGACTGCCTTGAGATGCCAAGAGTGGGTTAAGCAGACTCCACCTACTGACCATGTGCCCTGGATTTGCAGAATGCTTCTCTGGAACAGCAAATGTTGGGTTTCCAGGCCGGGCAGTGTTCTCACCCAAACACTGCCCACTGAAGCTGAGGAGAGGCAGTGGAGCCTTGTGGTTAGGAACACGGGCTCTAAACCAGACCACTGGGGTTTCAATCCTAACTCCACCACAAGCAAGTTCTGTGACACTGAGAAAGCCTCTTAACTTCTCAATACCTGGTTTCCTCATCTAAAAAATGGAGATAATAATAGCATACTCACCCTGTAAGTAGTTGGGATTAAATAGATTCTAATATGCAAAGTCCTAAAAATAGTGCTGGAAGTTGGGTAAGAGCTCAGTATAGGTTAATTACTACCACTCTTAGTATTACTAATATATATCTTGATTTACAGAGTAATTCACTAAAATGCAAACCCTCAGACATTCCCTGGCAGTGCTTGTCAAAATCCACGGCTTTAATACTCAAAAGCAATTATGTTGAGTGACATCCCTTGGCCTTCCCCAAATCCTCTTAAATCTTTAGAGACTGCAGCAACTTGGAGGTTAAAGATTACAAATCTCCAGTTGTCAAAGTTTTGAGTCATTTACCTCCACACTTGTCATTTGAAGATGACTTTATAATTTACAGAAGACTTTCTCTGATGACTCTACCCTGGCAAAGCTCTAGCCTCGTGCCATATTGATTCATCTCTAAGGTCTCATGAATTCTGGTGCTCTCTCAACTTTTGCATATGCCTTTCTCTTTGTGTAGCATGGCCACCTGGGAACATTTTGACCTTTTCCATTTTCCATAACTCTTCACGTGGCTCTAGCCGATTAGAAACTGTAAAAATCTAACCGATTATAAACTGTAAAAATGAGGAATGAAAGAAAGGAAGGAAGGAAAGAAATAAAGGAATTGCATGCTGCAGTGTGAATGAGTGACTTACTCCCTAAAGTCTGCTAGGGAGGTCTGGCTAGGATCCCATGAGCAGTGCAGGTGAGTGGTTACCTTTGCCCACCTAGAGCTCTCCCTTCCGGAGAGCCAAGCCCACTGTGTGCACCCTTGAGCTTGGGGGCTCCTTTTCCCCTTCCCCTACACAAGTTCCCAATTAAATGGCAAATTCTCTTATTTTTTATTGTGAGTCCCTTCTAGATCTCAGCTAGCAGCTTATGTTCCGCCTCCCCCAAGAACTTCTCCAACTGGCCTTCCCAGTCTGCATGTGCATCCTCTTTCCCGTGTTCCCAACACCAGCAATGATCACTCACTACTGCCATGGCTTGTTGACTTTTCCCTGCTAGACCTTAAGTTCCTTGAGGGCAGAGACCGTGTTGTTTCTTATGGTCTCTCTTGTCCAACATGGTATTTCAAGAGTGTTCAGAAAATAAGTAAAGCACCCACTGAGGAATACAGAACTTGCTAAGAAGGGTACTTAGAGGAAATGGTCAATATGACTGAGAAATTTGGAGAAACCTTCACAGCAGAAGCGACAGATGTGCTGGGTTTTAAATGATGAGAATAATTTTGACAAGCAGAGGAGAAAAAGCAAGAGTCTCCAGACCAAAGGACCAACAGGAGTGAGGCTCCCAGGCCTGGAGCTCTATGCTGTTGAAACGTGGGGTGGGGTGGGAGGGAGAGGAAGAAGCTGGAAGGAAGGAGGGGGTCACTGAACTGGAAGGAGATACTCATTTGGGGAGTTATAAAGGATGTTTCATACCAGAAAAAGTTTGGACTTTATTTTGCAGAGAACCAGGATCTATTAAAGTATTTTAAGTGGGTAGTGTTTTAAAAAGTGTTTTTTAAACAGCAAGGTGCAGAAGATGCATATATGCTTGCATTTATGCAGGACATAGATAAATAGACACTTTCACCTGTAGTATCTCTGGAAAGATACTGTAGAAACTGGTAGCAGTGGTTAGCTCTACCAAAGGGAACTTTTGTAGGAAGACAGGGATGGAAGGAAGATAATTTTTGCTGTATTCCTTTTGCCCTGTTTGTATTTTTCTCATATGTTTGTATTATATTTTCTAAAAGAACACACAATTTAAACTGATTGTAAAAATGAGGAATGAAAGAAGGAAGGAAGGAAGGAAGGGAGGGGAAGGAAAGGAAAGGAAAGGAAAGGAAAGGAAAGGAAAGGAAAGGAAAGGAAAGGAAAGGAAAGGAAAGGAAAGGAAAGGAAAGGAAAGGAAAGGAAAGGAAAGGAAAGGAAAGGAAAGGAAAGGAAAGGAAAGGAAAGGAAAGGAAAGGAAAGGAAAGGAAAGGAAAGGAAAGGAAAGGAAAGGAAAGGAAAGGAAAGGAAAGGAAAGGAATTGCGTACTGCAGTATGAATGAGTGACTTACTCCCGAAAGTCTGGTAGGGAGGTCTGGCTGGGAGCCTGTGAGCAGTGCAGGCGAGCGGTTACCTTTGCCCACTTAGAGCTCTCCTTTCTGGAGAGCCAAGCCCACTGTGTGCAGCCTTGAGCTCGGGGGCTGCTTTTTTCCTTCCCATACATAAGTTCCTAATTCAATAACAAATTATCTTATTTTTTATTGCAAGTCCAACCTCAAATTTTCAAAAAGGCAAATCCATCCTTAGTTGTCCTGGAAGAGAGGGCTCTTAGTCTTCTGCTGGAAGAGATGGCTCTTCCTCTCTTGGCTTCATGTGTGGTGCACTCAGTGGGCGCCCAGCTCTCCTGGCCCTGGCCCTGCTCACTTTGCTGATGCTTTGTGCTTAGACCAGCTCCCTCTCAGTGAGCCCAGGCAGGAGGGAGGAGAAGGGCTTGGTCCGCTCCTCAGAAGAGCACTTTGGAGCGCAAATGGAGAGACAGAGATTAGCTATTTGACCTCCCAAGCTGCCCCTCTGCTTTTTGGACGTCTGCAATCCTAAAAAGAAAGCGCTCCAGGCACATGAGAAGCCCAAAGTCAGGCACTGAGGGAGAAAGCAAATCAGCACCGCGACCTACCTCAGATCCCAAAATGATGGCTTTGGGATTATGAATAGCTAACAGTTTTGGACTCCTAATGAGAGAAACTTCTAAAGAAATCACTTTTTTTTTTTTCCATGCAGGAAAAGTTATAATTTAAGGCACTGAGACAACACAAATAAAAGATGCGTTTCAGTTTAAGTAAACCCAACTAAAAAAAAAAAAAAACAAAACCTGGACTGTGGAGCTAGATGTGAAGAGTATACTGAACACAAATGTAATGTTTACAGTCTGGGTTTCGGGAACACCTCTCTGGTACTGTCGGGTTGATCCTGAGTAAATGACTTCATCCATCTGGACGTTGAGTTTTCCCTTTAGATCCCCACGATACATTTCAATTCTTGCCTTCATTCCAGCAGTGTGCATTTGCATTCTGAAATGCTTCTTGATTTATTCATAGATGTCCTGTCACCTGTTATCCTAGAGTATGCAGAGCATCATTCCTCAGGATGCTGACGGCTCGTCTGAGCCAGGGGTGGTATGGGGGAAGGCGGAGTAACTAAGGCGCTTTGTTCTAAATCATCCAGTGCTTTAGGCCTTCAAACAGGCTAGAGTCATGTCTAGTGCTGGCATCACATGACTAAAGCTGGGAAGTGCCCATGATGGGGACCCTCGAGGTGGCAGCAAGAACTTTCTTTTGCACATGGGTTTGTTCATATGAAAATCACGCTTCTGATACTGCCACCAAATCAGGACTTGTGTCTGTCAGTGTTTCAAAAACCTCTGGATGATGGGAGGCCGACTCTTGCTTACTAGCAAGGATCTGAAAGTGGTTTGAAATCACCGGAACACATTTTTCAAGATGTTCTGCCTTTTGGGAGATCTTGCCAACAGTAAATATCACCAGAATTAACTGTGCCAAGCAAACATACTCTCACAATTTAAATTGAATTGTCAGCTTTGTGTAATAAAAGTTTAAAATTATGTGTTGCATGAAGAAAAAATTTACCCTATTATTTGAGTCAAAATTAAATTAAAGACTGGATGCACTTACTTTGTAATAGGCTTTTTACATTGTTGTGGGATGTCCCTTAGTCATTTCTATCCAAGCCATATTTCTTTAAAGCGAGTCATATACATTTGCTATCTCTAGTGTCCTTGACATTACCAAAGCACACAATATTTCTTCAGTATAACTTTCTTTCCTAGTAATAACAGTTGATCCATCTTAATATTGCTAAAGTTTGGACTTTCAGATTCGTATGAAGAATGATCTGTTTCCACACAGTTTCACTCTATTTAATTTTTGGAGACTCTGGCCACAATAGCAAATGCTACAGATACTGCTTCTCACTCCTGTGGTCCAACAGACCCTCTAGAGTAGGGTGGCCAGGTAGAAGAGAGGACTGGGTGTTTCTTTTTTTATTTGCTAGGTCTGACAATCCTACAGCAGAGCCCTTCGAACATTCTCAGACCTCCTGTCTATACCGGCCTCCACTTCCACCCTCTCTCTCCTCCCATTATCCCCCTTCTACTTGCTCCAGCCTTTCAGATCCCACAGGGCCCCCCTACTGGTCTCCCCTGAGCTGTTGTTCACGTGCTTGCTTCTGTGCCTCTCCCCAACCCCCATCTTGAAGTGCTGAATTTATAGGCAGGATACTCCCCACTGTAGAGTCCCGTCTCTAGCCTTGGATAGCTCAGCTTTCCTCTTAGCCGAAGTTTACCCTTGTGGCAATTTCTCCTATGTCTGTCATGTCCATGTGCTTGGCCCTTTGCTGAGTGTGCCAAGAGGAATTTACCTTGGCCCAACAGCATCTTTTATTCATAATGGTGGATGACCAAAGCATTGGGCTGAAACTAAAAGTAAAGAGAATTAAAAAGCCATCACTCTGCGGGTGGGTTGCTACCGTAAAGGAACTTCTTAATGTGAAAATCATGTTTGCAATACCACAACTAAATCTTCCTGTGTGTCTGCAGGCCCTCCAGACACAGGCCATGGGCTCTGCTTTCTTATTACCAAGTCACTGTTTCATTAAATGAGTTGGACTCAATAGAGTACAAGCAGAAAGCAATTACTTTTTTGTGTGTTAAGTTGCACGCTTCAGCTTTGCTCCTGGATGAAATCCCAGGCAGGTCTTATAGAATTACCAAATAGCCTCATTTCTCAGATAATAAAAATGTCCAGTTTAATTCAAAATTGAAATTTGTCATACAATTTAAACTCTTTTCTTCCCACCAAGTTGGACCTGATACAAGATTGGGAGCCAAGAGTGGGGTAGCATCGTGGTTGGCTAGATCACTATTTCCACCCCTCCTCCCTCATTCTGCTCCCCCAGAACTGTAGAAGGATGGAAAGAAGAAAGGAAAGACACAAGAAAGGGCTCCCCTGGTTGTCACCATGAGTTTGGTGTTAGGCTGTTTCTTTCTCCTGCACAGCACTCTTCTGTGTTCGTTGGAGTCTTCCTTTGACATCTCACTAAACATCATGGGAATCTCCAACCTGCAATTCTAAAGCAGGCAATGGCTGGGCACTGTGGCTCGTGCTTGTAATCCCAGCACTTTGAGAGGCTGAGGTGGAGGATCACTTGAGCCCAAGAGTTTGAGACCAACCTGGGCAATATAGTGAGACCCTGTGTCTTTTCTTTCTTTTTTTTTTTTTTTTTTTGAGATGGAGTCTTCTCAGTCGCCCAGGCTGGAGTGCAGTGGCGCTATCTCAGCTCACTGCAAGCTCCACCTCCCTGGTTCACGCCATTCTCCTGCCTCAGCCTCCTGAGGAGCTGGGACTACAGGCGCCCGCCACCACACCCGGCTAATTTTTTTTTGTATTTTTAGTAGAGACAGGGTTTCACCATATTAGCCAGGATGGTAGAGAGACCTTGTTTCTAAAAAAAAAATTTATAAATTACCCAGGCATGGCGGTGAGCACCTGTAGTCTCAGCTACTCGGGAGGCTGAGGTGGGAGGATCACTTGAAACCAGGAGTTGGGGGCCCCAGTGAGCTATGATTGCACCCGTGCACTCCAGCCTGGGTGACAGAGTGAGACCCTGTCTCTAATAAATAAATAAATAAATGTTTTAAAATAAATAAATAAAACAGGTAAAGTATCTATCTGCCCACTCGCCTGCCAACCCCTGCAGCCCCTGGTACTCCCCTCTGTCCGTGGGGATGCCTTCATCTCTCAAGCCCTGTCTCTTCTCTGCTCCCTGGCAAGGGAGGCTCCAATCACAATCTTCTCTTTGGGCTTTACAACTGGAAGGCAGATACCAGACTCTGTACCCACCAGTTCTGAGCCACACAGGTAAATCTTTCTGAGTGGTCTCTGAGGCCTCTCTTGCTTCGTCTAGAGTGAGAAGAAAATACCCACGCCCCTTCCTCCACGCCAGGGGCTGGGGTGCAGGTGGTGGGAATGCCCAGCTTCTGCCAATGCTCTTCAAACCAATCCTTGCCACTGGTTGCTTCAACCTCCTCCTAAATTCCTAGTCTTCTCTTTTGCATTATTGAAGGAGGTGACCAGAACAAGTTTTGGGCTACCCCCACAAAGATGATCTAGAATCCCCTTTGAGGTAGTTTTCGGCTTTGGGGGCGTCACCCAAATTTCAACACAGAAGAGTATCATCTTAATATCCCATTGCAGTTACTGTTTCCTAAACAACCTCTATAGTGTTGAAAAGTCACTTTTGGATGGAGAGCTTCTAAAATATAATCACGCTAAATTTTGACTCATTTTACTCCTAAATTTATTTCTCGGGAGAGAGAGGAAGTGACACAAAAGATGCTGCTCTGAACCTAATATAAGTACTTTGAAGGGAACAGAAGGCATAATCAGATGTGCATCTCATATTTTAAGAAAGGAGATATCAAAGGGTGAAGGGTGCATTTCAAATGCACCCACAGGGAGAAACTAAAAGGGAAGATGGGGTATGAGGCGCTCATAAATGCAGAATTACAACAAATATTCTACTAAAAAAGGAAAAGGAGCAGGTCTTCGGGAAAAGCCACGCGGTTGTATGTGCTGTTGAGTTGGGTGCTCTCAGCCCATGCGCATGAGCTAGAAAAAGCAGAGCACAGCCAGAGACACAAGCGAAGGGGCAGCCAGAGCCTGGAAGGAAGGCGGAAGGAAAGCCCGGGCCCAGGAAGAGCTGAAGCCTGCAAGACAGGACAGACGGCACAGTGGCTGGTGTTCAGTGAAAGAACTACGCTCTGTACCGGGCTCTGCCCTGAGCCTTCCATTTGAACTTGTTTGATCATCACAATACCTCGATGATATTATTATCCTTATTTTACAGGTGAAGAAATGGAGGCACAGGCTGGGCGCAGTGGCTCACGTCTGTAATCCCAGGACGTTGGGAGGCCAAGGAAGGTAGATCGCCTGAGGTCAGGAGTTCAAGACCAGCCTGACCAACATGGTGAAACCCCATCTCTACTAAAAAAAAAAAAAAATACAATAATTAGCTTGGCATTGGTGGCAGGCACCCGTCATCCCACCTACTCAGGAGGCTGAGGCAGGAGAATCGCTTGAACCCGGAAAGTGGAGGTTGCAGTGAGCCGAGATCGCACCATTGCACTCCAGCCTGGGTGACAGAGCAAGACTCTGTCTCAAAAAAAAAAAAAAAAAAAAAGAAAGAAATGGAGGCGCAGAGAATTAAAATATCTTGTCCAAAGTTGGGCAGCTGGGAAGAGGCTAAGCCAGAATTCAAACCGGGGATCTCAGGCCTCAGAAACTGCCCTTAACTATTGCCTTGCTGCTTTTCTGTGCATTGGTCCATTCTGGTCTCTACCAGGTCTCTGAGACTCTGAGAGCATGGCTTATGCTTTGCTCATCTCTGTAATCCCAGCATGTAGCTCCATGCCTGGTGTGTGGCAAATGCTTCAAGTTTGTGGAGCTGAACAAGCGGGTCTGGTGGAATGAGACTCCTCCTGTGTCTTATTTTTGCCAAAGCCTCCAAACTGAGGTTCGTGGATGATAAGTGCCCTCCATATTCTGAAGAGAAGGGTCAGCCATGGTCAGCTTAAATCTACACAGAGTGCAACACAAGGGTCTGGAACATGTGGGTCCAGCAACCACCTATGCCTCTGATGAGACTAGTGGCTCTTGGAAGAGAAGAAAGAGGTCTTTGAAGAGAATGTATAGAACTACAGAGAGCAGTGTTGCCTTTCTCCTCCTCCCTGCCTCCAACCCCACTAAAGGTAAGTGAACAAGGGCCTTGGAGAACCACCAGATGGGGGCTGTTTTCTGGAAGGGGAAGCTGGCACTCACTCGCTGGCCAAGTGTGGGCTGAGCGTCCCCCAGGCTGTGGCTGCACAGGGCACAGGAGGGTCCCCGGGAGAGCTTGAAACATGGCCCTTGGGTTTGAGGGTCCTGAAACTGGGGACTGAAGCAGCCCAACGGCAGAGAGGTGGCTGAAGCCCCCACTAGGCAGGGAGAGAAGAGTGGGCAGCCAATGGAGTGCCCTGCAATCCCCCAGTTTGAAAAAAACCAGAGCCAAGCGGGATGCCTGCCAGAGGGGAAGGAGCCTGGAAGCAGACTACAGGCAGGGAGAGCTCAGGGGCACCCTAAGAAATAATCTAAAAGCCCATGGCCCCTGTCGAGGATGGTGTCCTTATGCACCGCCACGTGGATCTGAGAGAGTTGTTTGTCAGGAGGTGGGGAGGTGTCCCTAAAGAATCCACAAAAGGGTCCAATGGGAAATTTCCAATATGTGTACATAGGCAATGAGAGAAAGCATTACACAGCTCAGAGCAAACCACAGCTGAACCACAGGTCCCTGGACCAAACCAGGAGCTGCAGAGAGTAGGTTAGAGGCAGGAAATGTGGTGCGGGGAGAGAAGGGAAAAACTTCTATTGGATGAGAGAGTGAAGTTTTGGTTTGGATTACACTGCACTTGCTAATATCTGAAAGTCGACCAGATCTCTTTAAGATCTGCCCAAGATGTAACCAAGCTGTAGTGAAGGGACAGCTCAATCAGCTGTCGAGAGGCCATGATGGAGAAACTCAAGGCTATTTCCTGATGTTGCCGAGCAAACCAGCCTTTTCTGTCACCAGGTGCACAAGGAAGCAGCAGGCAGGTGGGTGGGTAGCAGAATGCTAACAGGTAACTGCATTTCCCCAGTTCTAAGGCACAATTTTCTTTAAAGAGAACATTTTGACGTTTCTGAAATTCAATGCCCTATAAATCTAAGTTCACATTTATTATTTTTCCTCCAAAGACATTTTTAAAATTTATGCTGTCTTAAAATACATCACATCTTAGGATGGAGATTAGTTTGTAATGACAGAGCTGATGACAGGCTTTATGTTTCTTCAAGTGCTCTCGCTGGCACTATCACAGGTTGAATGTCACTCTCTGTCCTTCCTTGTTCTTGTCCAGCCTGCGTAGGAAAAGCCAGAATAGGAGTGAGCAGGGATGGCCTGAGGTTGTAGGGTACAAAGCACAGGGTACTCGCACCCAAGTTATTGGCCAAGGATGTCCAGGAAGCACAAGATTACCCAAGATTTTGAGTTCCAGTGATGAGGTAGGACCAAGAATATAATCTAAAGTACAAGGTTGGCCATATAGAATATGAAAGTGAGTGAGCCACGAGAGATTTTTAAAGAAAGATGCAAGGGAAGGAAGGTAGGAAGTGAGGGAAAAAGGAAGGAAGGGAGGGAGGGAGGGAAGTAGGAAGGGAAGGGTAACTGCCTTCAGTTGAATTCATGGAGAGGAAGAGAGCTGTTAAGGGGACTAAGATGATATAGTCACAACTACATAAACTTAGACAAAGGAAGGATTTTATACATGAGAAAATTGAATCCTATGAAATAGGGGTAAGCAGTGTGTCCGAGGTTACATGACTAGTAAACAACAGAATTAATCAACTTCAATTTTTCTTCCATGTTCTCCCCTAATGAGAAAAAAAGTGTCCATAATGAAAGGGGTAAAAGAAAGATGCTTAGAAAGAAAATACCACTTCAGATGGTTAAAAAAAATAGTAAGAAAACATCTAGGCTGGGGGTGGTGGCTCAGACCTGTAATCTCAACTCTTTGGGAGGCTGAGGCAGGAGGATGACTTAACCTCAGAAGTTGGAGACTGCCGTGAGCCATGAATGTGCCATGGCACCGTAGCCTGGGCAACAGAGAAAGACCCCATCTCTAAAATTAAAAAAAAAAACAAAAGAAAAGAATCTGAGAGTCCACAAAAACAAATATTCATTTTTTTATGGGTGCAATACTAATCTCATTTTCTTCATAGTGTTAGTATCCTAGCATGTTAAGGGAATTCACGGAACAAAACAAATTTGAAAAAGTTCCTTAAAAACAGGTAGAAATACACAAGTTGAATGAAATACGGTTTGGAAAATTCCTAAGCGATTAAAAACTCATACCCAAAGAGAATAAGCTGTACTGTGAATGAATATTAAGAAATCATTGTCCAAAGGAAAGGAACATTTATTTATTTCTCTATTTATTGCTTTTACTGCCATTAAAATTCTTATTAATGATTCAAAACAATAGAAAAAAAAATCCTGGTGGAATTATCTAACATTTTTACCAAGACCATGGTTATTTGGGTTAGTAACGTGTATGACCTTTATTTGTGGGTAAGAGTAACTTGGTTCCTTGTTTATGGAGAACAGTGGTTTGTAGAACATTTTTATTTAAACCTTAAGTCCTCTTAGGTGATGAGAGCAGGGAGTTTCATGCTGCAGATACTACCTTTTACTCTTCCAGCTCTTCTGGTGGTATATTACGGATATTGCTTCATAGTCATAAAATTCTGATGATATTCAAGGTGTCAATCATTCTCCATGTCACAATCAATTATCCCTTCTAGCTAAACATACCGGGTTCTTTCAAGCCATAATATGTTATGGCACTTAGACCTTTAACCTTCTGTCTATCCATGAACATTGCCTAGTTTACTAGTGTTGCCCTTAAGATTTGACAGCTAATTATCAACTCCAATTCTCCAGGTAAGGTGTAATCACTTAAAAGCACAAGATAATGATGTCCAGCCTTGATCTAGAAACTCTTCCTCTATTAAAACAGACGGAAATTGTACCATTTCTGTAGTATGGGCTTCATACGTCTGGCACTGACTGAGTTTGTAAGCTGAAGCTCTCCAGTATTTTTCATTTGAACTGCTATTGAAACAAGTGTTCTTCATCTTGTCCCTATTGAATTCCTAGGAATAGAATAAATGGCTAGAAATTAATTTCTGTTGCATTTCACTTCTTAATTTTAGCTTAACACATCAGCTAATTTTTTTTGGGGGGGGACAGAGTCTTTTTCTGTTACCCAGGCTGGAGTGCAGTGGCACAATCTTGGCTCACTGCAAGCTCTGCCTCCCGGGTTCACGCCATTCTCCTGCCTCAGCCTCCTGAGTAGCTGGGACTACAGGTGCCCGCCACCACGCCTGGCTAATTTTTTGTATTTTTAGTAGAGACAGGCTTTCACCATGTTAGCCAGGATGGTCTCGATCTCCTGACCTCGTGATCCACCCGCCTCGGACTCCCAAAGTGCTGGGATTACAGGCGTGAGCCACCGCGCCCGGCCACATTTTTTTAACTTAAATGTATCATTGATGTATTAGTTTAGCACAAGTCATCTTCATTCATTCAACAAAATCTTGAGTACCTAAAATACACTGGGTATGTCATAAGCAATAAATCTTTAAGATATGAGGTTCAAATATTTATAATCCACCATAGAACCAATATATTTTAGAAGAAATAACCAAGGAATTCTAAATAGCTGGAAGCTATTCCATACCTGCGACAGGTTTCTCTGACAGCATCAGTTCATCAGGGAAGGCAATGGAGCTTCCCCTGGCCCTCGGCCAGTTCAGCTCCCAATTCTGCTTGCTTCAGATGTGATTAGATTCACATTTTCTTCACAGTCTAAACAAGCTCTTCATTTCTCTTTACCCCCAGAAATTATATCTTCAAATGTTTTCAGTCCTATAAGATTCCCTGGATTTACATGTCAACTCTCATCCCTTTGATGTTGGTGGCTTGAACTTTTCCCTCTTCCATGAATTCATCACTTCTACATAGGAAACAGTCGGGTATTCATTTGGGGGCACGGTAGCAAGAGTAAATTTCTCAGAATGAGGAGAACTGGTTTTTCCTAAAAACATCTGTGTGAGAGAAAGCCAGTCATGCTACTTCTCCAAGCCTCGGCTTCGTTCTTTGTCAACAGAGTGTCATGATGACGGGCTTAACAGAATCATTGACTCGTCCTGTGTGCTAGGGCGTTACAGTGCACTGGTTTGGGATGCCTCTGTAGAGGACCCTCCTTGTGACAATGAAAATGCTTGGGTTTGCAGATAAGGACAGGTAAGAGAAAGCTTGGTAGAAGAGTTCTGCTGGCTACAATGAAGTTCTGGCTTTAGACTGACTCTGAACCCCGCAAAAATGGTCTGTATACTCAGCTTTGAATCATTAATTTTGAAAACTGTGGCCCCTTTCAGAAAAGTTTTCTTTTGAAGGAGATAGGGCAAGAAAGAAGGAGAGATACTTCAAGTGTGTAGGTGTGTGTGTAATCTACACAGAGAAAAATTATTAAAGTTGAACATACAGTTATACAGAGAACATTTGTATAACCACTGGGAGATCCCTTTTAAAATAGAATTTAGTTTTAGAGTACTTTTATTTATTTATTCATTCATTCATTTAATAGAGATGGGGTCTTGCTCTGTCACCCAGGTCGGAGTACAGTGGCATGATTATGGTTCACCATAACCTTGAACTTTTAGGCCCAAGGATCCTTCTTCCTCAGCCTCCCAAGTAGCTGGAACTACAGGCACATGGCATCATGCCTGGCTTATTTGTTTTTTATTTTTTGTAGAGATGGGGTCTTGCTATGTTGCCCAGACTGGTCTCAAACTCCCAGCCTCAAGCGATCTTTCTACTTTGGCCTTCCAAAGTGTTGGGATTACAGGCATGAGCTACCACACCTACCTTAGAGTAGTTTTAGATTCACAGGAAAATTGAGCATAAGGTACACAGATACCATATCTGTGTACCCCTAATCCCTCACCCCCTAATCCCACAACTTCCTGGATTATCAAAATCTCCCACCAGGTGACACATTTGTTAAAATGAATGAACCTATATTGACATCATTATCACATGAAGTCCAGCGTGCTCATTAGGGTTCACTCCTGGTGTTGTACATTCTATTTTTCTTTTTTTTTTTTTTTTTTTTTTTTTGAGACAGAGTCTCACTCTGTTGCCCAGGCTGGAGTGCAGTGATGTGATCTCGGCTCAATGCAACCTCCGCCTCCTGGGTTCAAGTGATTCTCTTGCCTTAGCCTCCCAAGTAGCTGGGATTACAGGTGCCTGCCACAACGCCAGTTAATTTTTGTATTTGTAATAGAGATGGGGTTTCGTCCTGCTGGTCAGGCTGGTCTCGTACTCCTGACCTCAAGTGATCCGGATTTGCCCACCTCGGCCTCCCAAAGTGCTGAGATAACTGGTGTGAGCCACTGCGCCTGGCTGGTGTTGTACATTCTATAGATCTGGATATATGACATGTATCCACCATTATGAGACCTTTTTTAAATTGCTCAAAATGCCCAGACTGAAAGTTCAACACCAAAGAGAGCTCGCTGATTCCAGGATGTCAGCTCACTAGAGCTGGGGACCTAGGTTTTCTGTCCAGCTGATTCCTCTCTTTCAAGCCTGGAAAGTACAAATAACCACTTGTATGCTGGGCAATCCTGCCTTACCCTGGCTCCCAGGGAGGCCAGATGGGAAAGCCTTCCAAAGGACCAGAAGAACAAGAGCTCTTTGGGGCTCTGGCAGGAGATACGTCCCCCTCTGAGAAGGGGGGTCACTGCAGTCACTGTACATTTCAGTCAGGAGTCCAGCTCTGCCATCTGGCTGGAAAGACCAGCCTGGAAAGAAACTGTGAACTAGGGAAGCTCATCTTTGGGGCTCCTCCCGCTGACTCTTAACACCCCCTACCACTTTCCCCATTAGCCACCTAATTGTCTTCCTAACATATGGACGAGAATTTAGATTCCTCCTGCTACATACCAACCCCAAGTGAATGGGAACTCAAGGTTATCTGGTAAGAGTTTAGAGAGTAGCTGCCAGGGAGCACCCTTTCAGCTTCGAAGGAAGGAAGCTATGAAGTTGGAGCAAAAGGCAAAAGAGAGGAAGATTTCCCTTGGCCCCCTCTCTCTCTGCCCTGCCCCAAAAAAGACTGCAAGGTCATCGTGACGCGCCAAACTTCCAGTCCAGCTGGCCTGCCGTGGGGTGACCAGCCCTCTCCATTCTCTCCTCCAAAACAGGGCACAATTTGAAATTCTGTTCAAGTACGTGGAAACACAACTTCCAAGCAAGTTCATTAAGCAAACAAACAAAAAAAAAAACCCAAACTGTGAGTGTGCTGCTGCTCATCACACAGAGACTGCACAAGGTCAAGGATACATTTTGTGAGCACAGAGTTCACAAGACACCTCCCCATAAGTGCCAAACGTGACTCACTGGCATCATCTTTATCAATGACAATTTAATGCCATGCCTTTTTGGAAGAACATTCAGCGTATTACAAAGATTCTGAATTAACGTCTAGAATTATAAAATGCTATGGAGAAAGCCAAGTGTATGTTTCATCTCTAGCTCCTGTGGCTTTCTTAACCAGCATCCCTCTACAGAAGCAAGGACGAATGGGGGAGCCACATTCTCTCTCCTTCCCTTGTTCCCTCTAACTAACTATAGTTGTCCTAAGATGCCAGGGCCTTCTCTCCACTACCACTGGCGAGTCTGAGAGTGTTCAGGTTCAAAGCTCATAGCATTTTGATGGGCATGCCAGCTGGAGCCAGACTATCTGGCTTCCAGTCCCAGCCGAGTTCAACCCTTCGTGTGCCTCAGTTCTCTCAACTGTAAAACAGTAATAACAACACAACATCCCTCATGGAATTAAACACATAAATATCATTATTTCCTGCCATGCCCTCATCAATCTTGTCTTCTCATCACTTGTTGCGGGAAGTCACGGACGCCGAACGGAGGGACCAGCTGAAGCCATGGCAGAAGAACATAAACTGTGAAGACTTCATGGACATTTATTAGTTCCCCAAATTAATGTTTTTATAATTTCTTATGCCTGTCTTTACTGCAGTGTCTGAACATAAATTGTGAAGATTTCATGGACATTTATCACTTCCCCAATCAATACTCTTGTGATTTCCTACGCCTGTCTTTAATCTCTTAATCCCGTCATCTTCATAAGCTGAGGATGTATGTTGCCTCAGGACCCTGTGATGATTGAGTCAACTGCACAAATTGTTTAAACAATATGAAATGTGGGCACCTTGAAAAAAGAACAGGATGACACCGATGTTCAGGAACAAGGGAGATAACCTTAAAGTCTGGCTGCCTGCGGGCTGGGCAGGACAGAGCCATATTTCTCTTATTACTGAAAACAGGTAAGAGAAGTATCGCTTAATTATTTCCCCAGTAAGAAATATTAATAATTAACAGCGCTGGGAAAAGAATGCACTCCCGGGGGGGACTCTAAAATGGCTGCCCTAGGAATGTCTGCCTTATGCAGATGTAGATAGTGATGAAACACGCCCTAGTCTCCTGCAGCGCCCCCAGGCTTGCTAGGATTAGGAAATTCCATCCTGGCAAATTCTAGTTAGACCAGTTCTCTGCTCTTGAACCCTGACAATGCATGCACAGTGGGACGTGGAAGTTCATTAGTGATTCTAGTTTCGCCCTGACCTCCTGCCTTGTGATCTTTTGTTACCCTTGAAGCATGTGATCTCTGTGACCCACACCCTATTCGTACACTCCCTCCCCTTTGAAAATTGCTAATAAAAACATGCTGGTTTTACGGCTCAGGGGGCATCACGGAACCTGCCGACATGTGATGTCTCCCCTGGATACCCAGCTTTAAAATTTCTCTCTTTTGTACTCTGTCCCTTTATTTCTCAGACCGGCCGACACTTAGGGAAATAGAAAAGAACCTACGTGAAATACCATTGAATTATCGGGGGTGGGTTTCCCCGATAATCACTCATCTGAACAGCTCTTATTAAGGCTGCTGTAATATCCCAACGGAAATTTGTTAGGCCTCATCTTATTTGGCCTATCCACAGCACTTGACATAGTTGATTGTCCCTTTTATGGAGCACTGCTTTCCTTGGCTCTCAGAATAACAGTGTATTCTGGTTTTCCTTCTGCCTCACTAGTTGTATCTTGATCTCTTTTTCTTTATGATTCCTCCTCATTTTCTTGCCATCAGCATGCCCCAGAGCTCAGTGCTGGGACTTCTCTTCCAACCTCACTCAACACTCAGTTCATCTTTCTGGTCTTGTGATGTTAAATGCCATCTAAGCCCACCTTTGTATTCCTAGGCTGCACTCTCCCATGGACTGCAGACTAACCCAATGCTTCCCTCAAGTTCTCAAGTTAGATCTGTCATAAGCATCTCAAACTTAATAATATGCAAACCCAAACTCCCATTTCACCTCTTCTCTAAATAGCTTCTTGGGCAATTTCTCCCATTTCAGTAAAAATCAACTCTATTACTCTAGTTGCTCAGGAAAAAGTCCTTGGAAACGTCACTGACTTCTGTCTTCCTCTTGTGTACCACATCCAATCCATCAGCAGATCCTGTGGGATCTACCTTCAAAATGTAACCAGGTACCGACCCCTTCTCACCACTTCCACTGTTAATACCACAAGGCGAGAGCCACAATCACCTCCTGCCTGGATAATTGCAGTAGCCATTTAATTGGCCCCCTTATGTTCACCCTGATGTCCCAGTCTATTTTCAACCCAGCAGCCAGAGGATGCTTTCATTTTATTTTTATTGACAAATAATTGCATCTATTTGTGGGGTACAATGTGATGTTTTAATATATGTAGACATCGTGGAATGATTAAATTGAGCTAATTACCATAACCATCACTAGAGGAGGCTTTTAAAACACGCCATGCCTATGCTCACAATTCTCTGCTGTGCTGCCTGTCCAACTCAGGGTAAAAGCCTATGCCCTCCTAGAGCCCTGCAAGTTCCCACACGAACTTTCTCTCCCAGCTACCTCTGGTCTCATACACCACTCTCCTTCCTCCCCACCCCTCCCCTCCCCCCCTCCTTCCCCCCTTCCCTCCTTCCCCCCTTCCTTCCTTCCTTTCCTTCCTTTTTCTCAAGTATGCGAAGCTGCTCACACCTTGGGGTCTTGGTTTCCTCTGGCTGATTTTGTCCTGGGTTGTTCACTTCCTTCAGGCCCCTGCTCAAATGCCACCTCATCAATGAGGCCTAATTACAGCAATATCTACCACCTGCATCATCTGTTCCCCTCATCTGCTTTCTTTTTCTCCATATGACTCAATACTACCTGATGTTCTACCTGTTTTCTTGTTTATTTGTGCTTTGCCTGGCAACCCCCAGTAAAGCACCATCTCCACAAAGACAGAGGTTCTGTGTGGGTCATCCCTATATCCCCAGAGCCTAAATCTGTGCTTTGCATACAGAAGGCTTTCAGAAAAATACATGAATGAATGAATGAATGAATGAATGAATGAATGAAAAAATAGTATTTAAAACATAGGGGCTGGGTGCGGTGGCTCACACCTATAATCCTAGCACTTTGGGAGGCCGAGGCAGGCAGATCATGAGGTCAGGAGATTGAGACCATCCTGGCTAACACGGTGAAATCCCGTCTCTACTAAAAAATTCAAAAAAATTAGCTGGGTGTGGTGGTGGGAGCCTGTAGTCCCAGCTATTTGGGAGGCTGAGGCAAGAGAATGGCGTGAACCCAGGAGGCAGAGCTTGCAGTGAGCCGAGATCGCGCCACTGCACTCCAGCCTGGGTGACAGAGCGAGACCCAGTCTCAAAAAACAAAACAAAAAAACATAGGAAAGACTCAACTGATTCTTGCTGGGTGAATTAACAAATGAAAAGTATTTATAGCAAGACTTCACACATAAGAGGTCAAGCACTAGATGAATGAATGAATAAATACCACTTAGAAGTGGCAGGCACATGGGAAGCACTCTAGAAATACTTGTTGAATGAATGAAATAAAGCATTTACAGCAGTAGCAATACATGGTAAGCCTTCAATAAATTTTAACATTTACTATTCCAATGTCAAAATTCTATCATCAAGGGGTACTCCTCTCCCTCACACTCACAAAGGATAAAAGAAGCTCCCAAGTTGGTGCTGAGAGTAGGGAGGGGGGGGGAAATGTAGAATGGATAGGAGCAGGAGGCCCATCCCTGAGAACCTGGGAAGGGATGTCCAGGAGGTCCCAGGACAGGCCCTGGGAAAGAAAGGGCCCTGAGTGGGCTCACAATCTCTTTCTTGCATTTCCATCCTGAGGCTTCCAGAATTCTTGTCCATTCTGATTGTGGAGCTCTGAATATTTGGGGATTAACAGTATGATCTGCTATTCCCAGATGCAACATTTCCTTACCATCAAACAGTCCCCTTCCAAGTACAGCTTAAGGAGCACAGGAAATGGAGGTAACTACCACAATGGAAAATTTCTATTTTGTCCTTGATCTTTGTGAAGTCAATGCCATCCTTCAAGACATTACATTTTCAACCCTGAAACTGTGAAACTGGGACGCTTGAGTTTCTAAAAAGTATTAAAACTGCTTCAGAGATCTATCAGCTGCTTGCTTTTCAGTGTGAATTAATTTCCTCGGCCTTCTCCTCCAAACCCCTTATTGATACCAGCCTTAACTCAAGAGGGAGGGTTTTGCTTGGGATGGGAGAAAGATTGAGGGAGAAATTTTATTGTCAAGTTACCAGGGTAAAGAACAGTGAAGGCCTTTTTGTGAATACATGGGCCTCAGCATGATAACAGTTAAGTTGGTTGGAGGGTGGAAGTTCAGGGTTAAGGGTGAGATCAAATGTAAATTTCTTCCAAATGAAAGCCAGGCAGTCTCCATATTGACTGCAATCATTGTGTGAGGCTGAGCAACTCAACTCTCACAACCCTCTTCCAGGGCAAGGTTTTGATGCTAATTCGGCTGGGCAACTGGGACCCAAGGGAAACCTCCCTGCAAACGTTCCTCTCAACTTCTTTTTTCTTTTCGCTCCTTTGAAGGATCTCAGCTTACAAGGCTATGTCAACACTTGAGCAATCCCAATGAAGTGTATGAGTGTCCAGTACTCTGAGGTCCAGAGTTGGCATCGATTCCATGAATGCAATGGCCTGGCAGGCATTTGTCCTCCTCCTTCTTCCTTGCATGGAAATTTTTTGAATTTTGTGGGTTTGACACATTAACTTTGCAAATGCTGACTCTTATCTATAAGTAGCACTGCTGCCTCCTTGCCTAGAATTTGCAGCCACAGGGATGAGTTAGGAAGCATTTGCTTTCCTCGCAAAGACCAGGGCCTAGGTCTTTCCCAGGGAGCTGCATGAGTAAAATTACAGGAACCAAGTTTTAAGAAAACTCACCAAGGAAAACTTGTAGGTTAATAAATTAGAGGGGGCTTATTTCTAATATTTGTTTGTAGATTATCAATTACTCAATGGATAATCTGTAAGATCAGAGAAATTTAAAGCAAAAATTATAAACTTCCAGGGCTGCTTAGAGATCTGTGATTCATATTTGGGATCCCAGATCTGTCCCTGTTTGGAATCTCAGGAAACTTAAAGTCACTGATGTGCATCATCGATGTCCAGTCCTTCTGTCTTTTCTGCAATGTTCCAGCATCTTATCCTTAAGCTACTTGCCTTAGGAACGAACCGACACCACTGAGATGACCAGTCCATCCTGGGTTAACTTTACCTCTCGGAAAATTCTTTATAATTGGCAATAACCAATAACTCCAATTGATAATAAATTCAATTAAAAAAATTAAATATGATTTGTGAAATGACAGTAGGGATAGCCCTAACTACACCCTAATTTGGTTCCTGCAAATCCATGGAAGTCACTGCTTATAAAAGTGAAATCCCATGGCTATGAAAGTCACCACCAACCCTCCTTTATACACTGCGCGCCTTTCCAACAGGCAGGGCAATTTGACTTTGTGAGCAATGCTACTATTAACAGCTACCGATGACACAGTGCTTACCACGAGATGGGCATTGTGTGTGTGCTGGCACCTAAGTGGATCCCCTCATTCCCACAGCAGCCCTGTGAATAGGATGGTGTTTTCTCCACTTTGCAGATGAGAAAACTGAGAGGTTAGGGTGGTGGTATGAGTCAGTCACAGAGCTGACAACTGACCCCTGGCAGGTTTCTTTTCCAAGCTCCTGCTTTCCCCACGATGTCTTCTCTCAGGTGAACCCTCTCTCTAGGCACTCCCTGTGGGTCCAATGGCAGCAGTCAAAGAAGAGTGCTGGGGCCAACCATGGGGCCACCCAAAGGAGCCAGTTCAGCATCATTCCCTTCTAATGTCCCCTCAGCTTAATGGAAATGCAACTCCAACTGTCAATTCCTAAAAGGGATTTCAGGAAGGTACTAATAGTCAATGACATTTCTGGATTCCCTTAAAATCTGCGATGCATTTATCTTTTATATAACAATAACTTACATAATCACAGAATCCCAGAATTTCAGAGTTGGTTAGGACTTTGCACATCATCTAATTCAGGCTTCTTCCTGATGTATCTGTTGGGAATAATTTCATAAAGAGGGAACTGAAAGTTCTTTTTTTTTTAAGAAGTGAATAAATGTGAGTGGCAGGCCTAGAATAGTTGCTTTGCTCTGCAGCCCTTTTGGGAAAAATAAGAGAACCTGAAGTGAAGTCCTTGGCTTTAAAGGTTTGAAGGGTGGAAGACAAACACTAGAGCCAAATCAGAGCGTTCTACTGGCCTCCCGTGTTCTCTGGCTCAGTGTACTCATGGTCCAACTACTGCTATGTAGAGAAATATCCCTGTGATATAGATTTCTATTAGCTACCTGGGACTAAGAAGGCAACTAACCATTTCCCAACCTTTTTCTAGAAGCCGTAGAGGACGAAAAAGGTGGAAAGTCTCTAATATATGAGGCTGATATTTTCAAGAACCCAAACTGTTGGTCTGTTCTCCCATACATGGAGCTGCTGTCTGCCCTCATAGCTTAGTTACTATCTCTAGGCTCCAATTTTCTTATCTTCAAAGGGAGAATATCAAATGTACCTAACTCCTAGGATTCCCATGAGGATTAAATAAGAAAGCCTTAGTAATCTGCTGAGAAAAGGCCCTAGCAGAGGTTAGCACTCAACTAAATAATGCCTATTGTCATTCTTATCACTCTATGGCTGGTGAAAGAGACAGATTAGGGACCATTTCTGCATAAAAATACTTTATATTTGCATTTTGATTGGTCTTTTAAATTTTCTTTAACCATCTATCAGTGCCCGTTTTCTTCCAATTCATGCCATGAGTATTTAAGGCTTTTGTTGAAACTGAACTGTTTGTAGATGTGTCTCCAGACCAATATGGGAGGTAGCGAATGGGAAAATATAAACAAAGGAATCGAGGAATTTTTGCCTTGTTTCCCAGATACATAAGCTCAGAGGGAAAAAAATCTTCACTGCCTTATTCTAGGAGGAAACTCTTAGAAAGTCTCTGGTTAGTTTTATCAATAATCAGTCATTGATTGAGAATTTAATGTGCTTAATCACTGTGTACATTATCTCATCCAATCCTCACAACTGTTAGTTGAGATAGATTAGTTTGTCCCATTCTCTGGATGGCTTTCCCAAGATCACTTACTTGGCATGTAGCACAGACAGGCTCTGAGCCTATTTTTATCTCACCCCAAGGCCCAGGCTCCCAACCACCACGCTATACATGTTTACAAAAAAGCCAGTGGATCTATGTCCTGTCTTAAGGCTCAGCCCAGTGAAACTGAGAAAGAAAATAGGAGTGCATCATTGTGTTATTTTCAGAATACCTACTCTGGCAAATTTAGGGATCTCTAAAGGAGGTCAGAAGGACTGGGTAATCTCTGATAAATCTCTTTAAGAGCAGGGCTTTGATAAAGTAGCGTTGCAACACAATTGCTCTAACGGGCCCAACTGGGTAGTTTCTGGGAGCAGTTTCTAACGGGGGACTCACTGAGAGGCAGCTGAAATGGCTTATACGTAGCCTCCAAGGTTACCCATTGCCAAGAATGCCTCTGTCCTGTCATCTCCCCAGCATGTAGGGCCAACCGCGGCCCACAGCCCTGATCTCCCTCAATCCTTCAAATCACTCCAAATAAAAATGATAAAAATAACATTTTATAGGAGCAAGTAATATTTAATCTTACATTTAGAGTAAATAAGTCTTGAAAAATATTATTGAAAATGGTATCAAACATTAGGTTTTTTATTTCAATGTTCCTTTTAGATTCAGAGGGTTTATGTGCAGGTGTGTTACATGGGTATATTGTGTGATTCTGAGGTTTGGGGTAGGAATGATCCTGTCACCCAGGTACTGAGCATGGTACCCAGTAGGTAGTTTTTCAGCCCTTGCCTCTCTCCCTCCCTCCCCTCTCTAGTAGTCACCAGTGTCTATTGTTCCTATATGTGCTCAATGTTTAGCTCCCACTTATAAGTGAGAACATGTAGTATTAGGTTTTCTGTTCCTGCATTAATGCACTTAGGATAATGGCCCCCAGCTGCATCCACATTCCAGCAGAGGATATAATTTCATTCTTTTTCATGACTGCATAGTATTCCACAGTGTGTATATATATTTTCTGTATCCAATCCACCACTGATGGGCACCTAGGCTGATTCCATAACTTTGCTATACAAGTTTTTAAGAGGCTGCTTGCTTTGCAAACTCAGCTTTAAGACAGACCCCTGGCCCATCCCCCAAGTCAATGCTATATAGAAATCCTAGAACTGAGACAAGATGAAAAACGTGAAGAACAGAAAGCTTTGCTTGGTGTCTTAAGAATATGGGGCAGCCAGGAGTGGTGGGTCACACCTGTAATCCCAGCAATTTGGGATGCTGAGGCAGATGGATCAAGAGGTCAGGAGTTCCTGACCAGGCTGACCAACATGGTGAAACTCCATCTCTACTAAAAGTACAAAAATTAGCTGGGTGTGTTGGCATGTCCCTCTAATACCAACTACTCAGGAGGCTGAGGCAGGAGCAGGAGAATGGCTTGAACCTGGGAGGTGGAGGTTGCAGTGAGCTGAGATCAAGCCATTGCACTCCAGCCTGGGTGACAGAGCAAGACTCCATATCAAAAAAAAAAAAAAAAAAAAAAAAAAAAAAAAAATATATATATATATATATATATGGCACACCGGGCACCCAAGCAGAGATATGGTCTGCAATGCAAACTAGGGGAAATAAGAGCCTGGCAGCAACTCAGTGTAAATATTGAAAAGACATCTTGAAGTGACAGTGTTTGCTCTGGATGCTCTGTGCTTCCAGTAGGTTCCCCCATGATGTCTTATCTTAGGGTTAACCTCTCTCTAGCCACTCTCCAGGGACCCTGCCGGGTTGAAGGGTTGATTTTCTTCAGTTCTCCAGACCAGCCTTTTAAAAATAAAGACAAGAACTGGATGAACAGAACATTAAGAAAAATGTTTGGGAAGGATGTACATGGATATGGAGTTAGAAATAAGGCCCTGTGTGCTGACGCCAGTGTATTTTCTAGATTGCACTTCTAGTCTTTTATATGGATGTTTGACTCTGCTGTGTTCTCTCCCCTCTCCCTTCTCATGTGGAGGGAGAGGATAATCTCTGAATTGACCTTACCTAGGTATGGCTCTTGTTGAATCCAAGGGGAGAGTCAGCCATGAGTGGCACAGCCCAAGGCAGGACGAGTGAGAACCAGGAGACATATAACTTGTCTACAGACCCGGTGCTCAGGGGAGGAGATCCCAGTGATCAGAGCCTGCATTCAGGTCTTACAGGTTGGTAACTCATCTCTTTCAACGGGAGAAGTGTAAATACTACAGGGCAATAGATTATCTATAAGTCTTTTAATTCCAGAAATCTAAATGAGGCCATTAAAGGCGTTCAGAAGATCCTTGGAAACAAGGTAAGACACTAAAAGAAAGACTGGCATATAACTTTAAGAGTTGGGAGAATCTGCTGCAATGCACAATATGCAAGTGTTTCTCTAAACAGAGACCAGCGTGCTGTGCTCCATGATATATTGACGTCCGTGGCTGTGATTCATAATGACTACGGATTTGGCTCTTATAGGAATGTCTTCATCCAGTGAAGAAAATAATGTGAGGTTATGGGGACCTCCAGTCACCAACACTAATGTTCCTTAATATTACAGTAGGCCAACAGAAATCAGGGACTAATAAACTCTAGAAAAAGAGTAGCCCTGGTAATCAAGAGTGGCACTAACCAAATTTGGCAAACTCAATGAAGGTGTGTCAGTTTTGGAAACTTCTTTATTCAACGGAATGAGAATACTCCTAATTAATAAACTGGGTTTATTGGATTGGATCTGCAACCTTTTTTTTTAAATTTTTTTTATTTTTTTATTTTTATTTTTTGGAGACAGAGTCTCGCTCTGTCACCAGGCTGGAGTGCAGTGGTGCAATCTTGGCTCACTGCAACCTCTGCCTCCCGGGTTCAAGCGACTCTCCTGACTCAGTCTCCTGAGTAGCTGGGACTACAGGTGCACACCACCATGTCCAGCTAATTTTTGTATTTTTAGTAAAGATGGGGTTTCATCATGTTGGCTGATGGTCTTGATCTCTTGACCTCATGATCGGCCTGCCTCAGCTTCCCAAAATGCTGGGATTACAGGCGTGAGCCACGGCACCCGGCCTCAACCTTTTTCATTGTGGAGACATGCTTTCCAGAGCTGATGTTTAGTGCCATCTTCTGTACATCCCACATTGTGCTGTTGGCACTGAAAAAATATCAGATCCCTGCTTCTATCTGCCTTGCTGGTTCTCCTTGGTGTCCTGCTGCCATACACAGTACAGGGCAATAGGCACTCTTCATAGTAAGCCCAACATACCCTGTGTAATTGCCCCATTTGCCCTTAAGCCCAGGGCACTGATGAGTTAAATTCTAACAATGACATGACATAGGAATTGTTCCCAGTGTCTCCATTAGAGAAGGGTATTGATAGGCATTCATTCAACAGACTTAGACTGGGCACCTACTCTTTCCCAGGGACACTGGCATATCCCAAGGATGCTATTCCTCAGGATGTCTACATAAGAAACGTAAAACATTTCTTATCCTCAAGAATCTCACATGTGAGTCGAGAAGACAAATAGCTAATGATTGCTGTGCTACAAACGGTGTGTTGTGGTAGAGCCCTGGATGCATGGGGGACACAGGAACAGCAGCTCAATCTGACTGAAAGGCAGAAAAAGGCCTCTAGAAGGGAGATGACTCCAGAGCTGAGTGGGAAACGCAGTTACAACATAACAATGACTTATTGTTACATCAGCTGGGTTAGGGCACAAGAGAAAGTTCCGAGCACAGAGAACTGCATATGTGAAGGTGTGGCCTCATGAAACCACAGCACACTGTTAGGAGCTACCAGCCTGTCACAAGTGGGTGTGAAGGTTGCCTAGAGGAGACTACCAGGAGATAACACTGAAGGGGTGGATTAGGAAAGCCCTTGTGCACCATCTTGAACTTTACCTTGAATGCAATGGAGAGCTGTGAAAGGGCTTTAAGCAAGGCCCAGGCCTCACTGAATCTGTGGTTTAGAAAGAACTCTCTGGTTACAAGATGGAGCATGGATGCAAGCGAGGTGAGAATAGACAAGAGGGACAAAATAGTGACTAAAGGGTCAAAGTCTTTGCTTCATGCACTTCTTTGATCAGCGCCCCTGTGAACTGGCACTTGATACCATGGCAGTGAGCACTGTCCAAGTCTTTTGACAACATTTAGCCCCTCAACCCAAGAGCTCTGAAACCCCAGCATGTTTCCAAATGTCTTTATTTTACCCTCACCTTTGATTATGTTTATTCCATCTCCACATTGGATGTGTCAACAAAAAGAGCCAAACTCTGTAAAATATCTGAAGAAATTTATTCTGAGCCCAATATGAGTGACCAATGGCCTGTGACACAGCCCTCAGGAGATCCTGAGAACATGTGCCAAAAGTGGCCGGGCCACAACTTTTTTTTTTTTTGAGATGGAGTCTTGCTCTGTCACCTGGGTTGGAGAGCAATGGTGTGATCTCAGCTCACTGTAGCCTCCACCTCCCAGGTTCAAGCTATTCTGCTGCCTCAGCCTCCCGAGTAGCTGGGATTACAGGTGCCTGCCACTACACCTGGCTAATTTTTGTATTTTTAGTAGAGGCAGAGTTTTGCCACGTTGGCCAGGCTAGTCTCAAACTCCAAACTTCAGGTGATCCACCAGTCTCGGCCTCCCAAAGTACTGGGATTACAGGCATGAGCCACAGCACCTGGCCCCACAACTTGGTTTTATACAACTTAAGGAGACATAAGACATCAATCAATATATGTAAGACATACACTTCAAGGAAACTTTGCATTCATAGTAAGCTTTGCTGATGAGCAGTGGTTCTCAAACTACAGTGTGTACTTGGGGGTCTTGCCAAACTAAATCTCAGGCTGCCACCCTCAGTGTTTCAGATTCAGTCAGTCTGGAGCAGGGGGCAAGAACGTTCATGTTTAACAAGGTCCCAGGTGATGATAATACTAAAGATCAGAAAACCACTCAACCAGAACCATTGCTCTGACCAGCGGAATTCTTAAGGACTTCCTGAGAACAATATCTTCCGGTACTTCTCCTTGGGCTGGTCAGATTCCTCAAAGGCCGCTCTCGCAATCTCATGCTTAGGGTCTAGGCCTGGCTGCCAGTATTTTGGTAAACTAAGAGGGCTTGTAGGTCTTATCATTAAATATGTAAATGTCCATTTGATCACCCTGTTATGGTATCTTTGCCATCAGCTAATTCTACAGTCTCCCCATTCCAGAGAAACTCTGCTTCAACCTCTCCAGAGACTAGAAACCTCTCAACTCATGTCAGTGTGGATGATGGGCAGGGCCTCAGCTGTGCAGGATGAAGGAGAAAACGGAAGACAAATGCTTCCTAAGCAGACTCCCAGCTGAGTTTTTATAGCCCCACCTTTGCTGCAATTCCTGGAACCATCAATTCCTGAGTATTTGGGGTGTTCTGCAGTGTAATAAGTTTGCTTTTCACCTCCCACTCTACCAGCTGAGAAGAAGTCTGCATTTTTGGATCTGCAAAGTCAGCTGAATGTGTCCTCCTCCCTCCAGCTTCCAGGACTGTGTTGTTCTTGTCTCCTCCATCATTTTCTTTGTCCTTGTGGGCGTATGCTCTGTTTAAGCCCCATTGCTGTTATTTTTGTTGGCTTTCAAGAGGAAAAGGAGATAAATGAAAGTAGTCAATCTTCTGTCTTTACCCAAAGTCCTTCACAGGATTTTACCCAAAAGTCCTCTAAAAAGATTTGGTTGAGTACTAGTTGCTGATAATGCTGAGCTGCTTGTGTTTGTAAAGACAGATGTGGCCTCATTGTGACTATTTCAGGTTTATGGGTCATGTTTTTTCTTTCTGTTCTAAAGAAAGCTTCCTATTTCAAAATAATTTTCTTTAAAAAAAAAAAACAGCACATCCCCAGTCATGACCCCCAGAATAAAATATGGAGACTCTCCCTTTTCTGACTTCTCAGATGTATATTAATTAGAAAGTACCCTCAAGAAACAGTGGAGCTCTAAATCGGATTCATTTCTATATTCAGTGTAACATAATCAAGTTGTCAGAATTTTTACAATGCTTCTAATGAAGTGCCCAGCATAATGAATTGTACAATTATAATAAAATGGGGTTCTAATTAACAATTACCATTCAAAGCAAGAACACTCCAGGTTTTTTTTATCCTCCTCTCAAACTGGAGGCTAACAAGTAGTTAGGAAAAAAATTAACAGGGGGTATGTGTGGAAAGGAGCACAGTACTCGAAATGACTAACAAAGCTAGTTTTTCCTCTAAGTTTGTAAGTGACAGTATAACTTGAGAGAATATATTCTCAGGTATGGTTGCAGGAACTTTTCTGATCATCTGAGCTTTCCCAGATATGATATGGTGGTGTATAAACTTGGGTGTTTAAGCACGAATTAATGACTTACTAACAATAGCTTTCAATTGAGTCTCATCCAAGGAGTCATATCCTTCCCTTCTGTCCTGTGAATTCATGGTATCAAGTGACAATAGGAGGGTAAATGGACCAGAGGTTCTTTGCTGCCATCAAGGGTCTGAGGGAGAAAAAGTCTACGAATCACTGTAGTCATTAAAATAAAAGCTGCTGGCCAGGTGCAGTGGCTCACGCCTGTAATTCCAGCACCTTGGAAGGCTGAGGCTGGCAGATCACTAGAGTTCAGGACTTAGAGACCAGCCTGGGCAAGAGGGTAAAACCCCATCTCTGCAAAAAAAATACAAAAATTAGCCGGTTTTGGTGGTGTGTGCCTGTAGTCTCAGCTACTTCTGGGGGCCGAGGCCGGAGAATCAATTCAGCCCGGGAGGTTGAGGCTGCAGATCACGCCACTACACTCCAGCCTGGGTGACAAAGTGAGACCCTGTCTCAAAAAACAAAGAAAAATACATAAATAAAATAAAATAAAATAAAAGCTGCCCTTTCCTGAAAGGACCAGTAAGCATTATGCTAGATAATTCAGCGTGCATTATTTAGTATTTTCACAACCCGCGAGGTGTATATTTTACAGATGAGAAAAGCTAAAGCTTAAAGATGCTCAGAGGTCAAAGTCATAACCAAAAAGAACCCGAGCCTGGTGTGGCGAGCTCCAAACTCTAGCTGGCCCTCTAGAGAAAACACTGTCTCAGCTTGATTCTGGCTTTGGCGCTGATCCATTTTGCAGCCTGCAGCAAGCCATTTGCTCACTGCTTTCTGGAACCTGCTTTGTGAAACTCCGGGGGGCACCGGTGATGATCTATCCTAGAGTTTTATAATGCGAGAGCTCTGCTTTCACCATCTGCTTTTCTCATTGGGATGCAAAAAAATGGTGAAAATTACCATTGTGGTTGGTTATGATGTTTCTGTTTCAAGTAACGAAACTCCCAACTGGACAGTTTATAAAAGGAGAGAGAGAAAGAGAGAGAGAGAAAGAGAGAGAAAGAGAGAGAAAGAGAGAGAAAGAGAAAGAGAGAGAAAGAGAAAGAGAGAGAAAGAGAAAGAGAGCAAGAGAGAGAGAAAAAGAGAGCAAGAGAGAGAGAAAGAGAGAGCAAGAGAGAGAGAAAGAGAGAGAGAGAGAAAGAGAGAGAAAAATGGAGAAAAAGAGAGAAAGAAAAAGAAAAAGAGAGAGAAAGAGAGAGAAAGAGAGAGAGAGAAAGAAAGAGAGAGAAAGAAAGAAAGAGAGAAAGAGAGACAGAGAGGGAGAAAAAGAGAGAAAGAGAAAGAGAAACAAAGAGAAAGAAAGAAAGAGAGAAAGAGAAAGAGAAAGAAAAAGAGAGAGAGAGAAAGACAAAGAGAGACAATGAGGATGAAGACCTTTATGATAATCCATTTCCACTTAATAAATAGTAAATCCATTGTCTCTTCCTTATGATTTCCTAAACATTTTCTTTTCTCTAGCTTACTTTATTGTAAGAATATAGTATATAATACAGTAACATACAAAGTGTGTGTTCATCAACTGTTTATATTATCAGTAAGGCTTCCAGTCAGTGGCAGTTTATAACAAATGGTTGTTTCTGATATTCGTTGGCAGCCTTTAGTCCTTTTTTATTTTTTATTTTTTGAGACAGGATCTTACTCTGTTGCCCAGGATGGAGTGCCAGGAGGTTCTGGTGTAGCCCAGATCACTGCGTGAGCAGTGGCCTGTTGGGGACCATCTTGGAAATGTTACCTTGATTTTGAAGAGCAGTAATGCAAACATTTGTTCCTCTTTTTCCATTGGTTGTTATTGTGTCAGGATATGGTGCCTAGAACCATAGTGGCCACCTTGCAGCCCTGGAGGGCCCAGTGGAAGCAATGCTAGTACCTTGAAGGTGACAGGGCAGGAAGACAGGAGCCCAGGGTCCCGATGACATTGTGAAGTCACTGATGTAACCAGACCCAGAGTTGGGCTACACCAGAACGTCATTTGCAGGATCAGACCCAGAGTTGGGCTACTCACGCCCAAGTGACCAGGATGAGATCACCCCAAACTCATTCCTGACAAGGGGCACGGGGTGGTCATGATAAGATTAGACTAATTTGCGTTTGCTCCTGAGTCAGGTTAGAAAAAAGTGAACATCTGGACAAAATGAGGACTCTTGACTGTAAGGAGGAAGGAAAGAAGTGGCCACTGGGTGGAGAACCAAGTGTAACTTCATCCAAGTGAAGTGTGAAAACTTCTCTGAAAAAAGATCATATAAAATCTGGATTCTCATGTTGCCGTATTTTCTACTGTCCTCCGGACTGGGGGTGTGGGGAAGAAAAGCATTGGTTTGGGACCTTAGTTGAGGAGGCACAGAAGAAACTAAAATAGCTTCATCTATGTTAGGACTTAAGCTAAATTTCCATGTATTTAGACAAATACTGTAACAAATGCATTTAACTCTCAATACTATAAAGCAGCAGAAGGATTGAGAATCCATGAATAAATGGATATTTACCTTTTGGTTATAGTTTAAGATACAGGCTATTATTAGCTGATCAGTAACAAGCTAAGGTTAAAATTCAAAGGTGCCAATGACAACATTCACAAGGGGTTTCTGCACATCCCTGCAATCTAATTTCAGTATTTTGGGCTATACTGTGGAGTTGTCATGTTGCTCTGGTTCTCCCAGTGGTATTTGGAAAGAGTTCTCTGCGAGGCTGACATATACAACCTGCATCTCTTCTTACAGATCATTTGTGCTGTCAGCATGCAGTTTTTCCAGTTCAGTAAAGTAGGTCATATAGGAATATTGGATTCATCTGTGCCACTCTTGAAGCCTTTGAAGATTAATGAGTTTCTGCAATGCATGCAAAGTGTTTTAAATTCTTGGAAGACAAGATTTGCCTGTTATGAAACAGCAACATCCCCAATTATCAGCCATTAAGCTTCCCACCAACCTCAGCCAACAATCAAATGCATGGAAAAGAAAATCTCTTTTTAAAACATAAATCTGATGATGTCACTACCTACTCAAAAAGCTTTCATGGTGTCACATTGCCTGCAGGAGGGAATCCAAGCTGTTTTTAAAAACACTCAAGATTCCCTTGGTTGGGAATCTGACCCCTCTTTGTCCTCCATTCCTGTTTCCTCCAGTCTTACCAAGTCCTTCACTATTTCTGCCTGGTATGAACTGCTGACATCTGTGCCTTTGTCTAACTGCAGTACTTTATGTCCACCATTTAAATATCTATTAATGCATTAACACCCTGATCAAACCCAGTTCCTCTAGCAACCTCCCTGTGTCTGCTATCCCCTATTGATTAATCAGAATTAATCAATCTCATCTCTGCGGGCTCCCATCTTTGTTTCTGCCTCTCTAACAATTTTTTACAGTTGGTCCTCCTAATAATAAACATACTTTTGCATCTGCTGATCTTTCTGGGCCACTAAATGAAGAGCTTCCTAGGATGGAAACCAGCTATATCTCCAGCAATCTGGTTTCCTCTTCCTGGACACACAGGGAGACATCACTTCCTAGTCTTCCTCGAGGTTAGTTGGAGGCTGTGTGTTTGGGTTCTGACTGATGTGATGGGGTAGAAGTGATTGTAACCATCTTCCAGGATTGGCCTTTTAAAATATCTCAAATGAGCCTCCAGTCCTCTCTTCACCCAATGTAGATAGAGGCCAGCGTCACAAGATGAAAGGAGACAGGATTCCTGATTAATTACACTTAACCTTGAACAACACGGGGTTGAACTGCTGCAACCACAATATTTTTTCAGTAAAAGTTACAACACGGAGTGTGCCTGTCTCTCCTGCCTCCCCTTCCACTTCCTCCAACTCTTCCACTGCTGTCACCCCTGGCACAGCAGAAGCAACCCCTCTTCTTCCTCCTCTCCAGCCTACTCATGCAAAGACAATGCCCAGCAGTTGTCAGCTGTCCAGCAAGGGTCCATGAAAGCATCCAAATACGGCAAGGTGTTTCTTTGATGTTTCTCAGTCTCAGCATTGGGCTTTTGTTTCTATGAATGTTTTTCTACCAAATAAGATGTTTCTATCACTAAGTCCTATGGTATTATTTAAGTTACACAAACAGCAATTTTGAACGAAAGCAGATTTGGACGGCTGGGACCTATTTGGATGTGTGATGCCAATGAGCTGTATAATCTAGCTCTTTGTTCAGTCAGTGCTGAAATGTGACATCCCTGGGCTGTGATTAGACTCCCTAGTCATTCAGACGGCTGTTCAGAAATTCTCCCCACTTCCTCGTGGAGATGGGCATCTGAAGGATACGTTTCCCCATGCTTCTTGAATATGAAGTAACAACATTTAAACATCTTTCATTCAATCACCATTTAGCTATCAAGGTCATGAAACAGCATGAAATGAAGCACTCAGTCAATTATCTAAAGATAGGCTTTTTAAGCAGTGACCACTGTCCCTGTCATAATTACATCTCTAACAGGAAGGGGAGAAACCCCACCTGGTTTCCTTTTGCCAAACACAAAGTTGCTCCTGTGGGTTCTGGATCTAGAAGTGGAGAGTTTTACTAAGTCAAAGAGGCTGCTTGGGGGTACCAACTCCCGGCCAGAAGGCTGGCAGGTGACCAGGACAGTCACTGCTCTGGTCCCATGGGGATGGCTGCCCTGTCTCCCTTTGCTCAGGGGGATTGGTCTGGGGACTCGTTTGCTAATGAACCTGCCTTGTTAACTCTTTTGTCCCTTGAATCACAATCCAGAAGCTGCTTGTGATCTTGGTCCAGTCCAGGGGGAAATCAGTCCCGTTCTATCAACAACCACCAGGCACAATGATCAGACATCAATTACTTGGCTGAGTGAGGACAAAATAATTGAATTGGAACGTGTTGCACGTGCAATTTCTCTAACTTTGGGCTGACACTTATCTAGCCCTGGAGCAGTGAGCAATTTTCCTGTGAACAGTTGCTAATTAGAGAGGGTGTGTTTTCTTTAATGGATTCATAATTCATCCTATTATACTTTAAAACAATGTTTTAAAGTTTGTTACCTCAGGACAGAAATGGTAAACTGAAGGAGATAGTGGCAAAGGTCAGGCATTGGATTTTTAGAATGCAGGATTTTTGTTTGTTTTTGGTTTTTTGAAACGGAGCCTCGCTCTGTCGCCCAGGCTGGAGTGCAGTGGCGCGATCTCCGCTCACTGCAAGCTCTGCCTCCCACCTCTCGCCTCTCCTGCTCCAGCCTCCCAAGTAGTTGGGACTACAGGCGCCCACCACCATACCCGGCTAATTTTTTTGTACTTTTTTAGTAGAGACCGGGTTTCACCGTATTAGCCAGGATGGTCTCGATCTCCTGACCTTGTGATCTGCCCACCTCCCCAAGTGCTGCAATTACGGGCGTGAGCCACAACGCCCGGCCAGAAAGTAGGATTTTTCAAATGCCATTAGTCTAAAAAGCTTCGAGATACTTCACAGTGATGTTTCAGGAGATCTTACCATCTGTGTATGTCTCAGTTGTGGTGAATTACTTAGCAATGCTTTTAGGAGGCAGAATCAGACATCATGCTCCTTCCTTCCTCCCTCTCCCCCTTCCCCCTCTCCCCCTTCCCCCTCCCCCTCCCTCTCTTTGCCAACAGGGTCTTGCTCTGTCACCCAGGAGGTAGTGCAGTGGCACAATCTTGGCTCACTGCAACCTCTGCTTCCCAGGTTCATGCAATCCCAAGTAGCTGTGATTGTGGGGTTTCACAGTGTTGGCCAGTTTGGTCTCAAAGTCCTGACCTCAAATGATCCACCTGCCTCAGCCTCCCAAAGTGCTAGGATTAACAGGTGTGAGCCACCGTGCCCAGCCCCAGCCTGTTTTTATATTTTCTGCATGCTGTGTAATGACTCATCGCCCTCCTCTTCCTCCAGTGAAGGTGAGAGATGATGCAGTGGGTCCCCATCAGTGTTGGATATGATTCCTCAGGTGAGTTCTGACTTAGCTTGTGACTCCACCAATGACCACAGCTGAGCCTCTACTCAGACGGGCCTTCTCTGTCCTTCAGCCTAAAGAACCAACCTCACCTCATCATTTTCCATCAAGCTGCTATGATTTGCTTTCTTAATAGCACCTGTGGCCACCTGGAATGGTTTTGTGCATTTATTTTCTATCTTCTCTACAAAGATGGGAGAAAGAAGGGGCTGGGCTGACTGTCCAGGGCTCTATCTTCAGCACTCAGAACAGTACTAGGCCACAGCCAAGCCTAACATATTTCTTGGGTGAATACTGTGAGTGGGATCAGAACACAGGAGGGGCTGAAGAACAGATGAATTGGGTCTTCTTCCTGGCTCTCCATTAACTAGCAGTATCCACTTGGAAACCCTGCTTTAGTTTTTCTCCTCGCCTAGACTTAGATAATAATGGAGACTCCTTCAAGGTCTAAGTTCTATAACTAGCAGAGGAAAAGGCTTAACTAAGAGAAGAAATTGCTGCTGAACCTTCATTCATAAGCAGACCAGAGCAACTATTAGGCCCTGTAATGCTTCACGAATCAAAGTATTATATTCCTTTCTTACAGTTTTTTATTTTACATATATACATTTTGAGACAGGGTCTCACTCTGTCACCCGGGATGGAGTGCAGTGGTACGATCTTGGCTCACTGCAGCCTTGACGTCCCCAGGCTCCCATCTCAGCCTCTGGAGTACCTGGGGCTACAGGTGCAGGCCACAATGCCCAGCTAAAATTTTGGTATTTTTTAGATACGGGATTTTGCCATGTTGCTCATGCTGGTCTTGAACTCCTTGGCTCAAGCCATTTTCCTGCCTCGGCCTCCCAAAGTGCTGGGATTACAGATGTGAGCCACAGAGTTTTGGGTCGTAAATGAGCTGCCAAGGGAGGGGTTTTTCCCGAGTCCTCACCTCCTCGCTTGTCTGCTCTGGGTGGCCTAGGGATACGCTTGTCTTGTGGAGGCGCGAGCACTGTGGGCTCAAGAGTGGGGAGCCTCTTTCCCTGGTAAGGGGAGAGCACCAGTGGGATCACTGGTGCCATCTCCTGCAATGGATCTTCTGATGTTGGGTTGAACAGAACTTCAGGAGTTGATTTCCCTGGGCGAGTGGAGCAGGATCCTTCCTTAGCTATCTGTCCCTTTGCTACTAGCATTGCTGCTCCCTGCCCTCTTAGCCACTGTGGGGGGTCTAGCACCAGCTGTAACGAAGAGTCTATGTATGGGAACTAGTCTAACTATCCTTTACCAGTTACCTTGTGCCACTCCTTAGAAGTAAGGGGCCTGTCCAGGCTTCCTTCTGATGGCCAACCCACTTCTAATGTTGGCCAATCGATTTCACACAAAGCTCTAAGTTTCCCTGCTGTCATAGTAACCCCATAGTCTCCACTAAATCCTTCCTTGAAATTTTTCAACATAGCTCCTAGCGGAGTAGGCTTACTTTGTATCTGACCCATGTTTCCTGGAGACAAAACACCACGCTCACACCACACGCACACCACAGAACAAAGAACGGGTAAAAAGGGCACACACACTCTTTTTCATTTTACACCAGACCAGAATCAAAACTAAAATCGGAGTATCCAGAAATCCAAGCCAGGTCAAAACCAAAACCAAAGTATCAAGCAATTCAAGTCAAGTCAAAAACAAGAACCAAAGTGCTGGTAGAGGCACGCCGTGGGTGATCAGGCCACGCTTCCACTCAGATGGAGTGGGCAAGTTCCAAACACCAGTCTTACCAAGTTTCAGACGTCCAGACTTCTAGTGCCAGTTCCTTCCCGGTGTTCAGCCACCACGTTGATCCTCCGCGGGGGCCTGCCACACACTGCTCTGACGAGGTGTTCCACCAGGGCAATTGCCTACCCGGGAGCGCTCTCAGGATGCCCGTCGCTCAAGCTGGCCAGAGTCCCTTGCAGGGACGCTCCACAGGGCAGGCCTAAGCAGCCTAAGGGGCTGCCTCGACCGTCCTTCAATCACCTCGCTTCCCGGTCACGGAACCAAGAAATGTAGCAGGACGAGTCGCAAACAAAACTCCTCAGACACCGGATTAAAGAAGGAAGAGGTTTTTGTAACCAAGAAATGTAGCAGGACGAGTCGCAGACAAAACTCCTCGGACACCGGATTAAAGAAGGAAGAGGTTTTTGTAACCAAGAAATGTAGCAGGACGAGTCGCACACAAAACTCCTCGGACACCGGATTAAAGAAGGAAGAGGTTTTTTATTCGGCCAGGAACGTCGGCAGACACGCGTCTTAAGAGCAGAGCTCCCCGAAGACAGAGTTCCTGGCCCTTTTAAGGGCTTACAACTCTAAGGGGTTCCACGTGAAAGGGTCGTGATGGATTGAGAGCACATGTGGTTAGAGTTGGGGGGTTAATCTTTTAACCTCAGGCCGGGTCATCAGTGGCACCGGCTGGTCTTGCCACTGACTTCATTCCTGTTGTTTTTCAACTTTTACTTCCTCCTCCTCTTCAGAGACAGGAGACAGTAAGAGAAATGGCTTCTCTCCTCAGTAGCACTCAATCAATCATAGCATTTTCTAGATTAGAATGACTCATTTCCCCCAGTGGTGGCTTGTGGTGCGCTTATGAAAGTGAGTTCTGAGTTAGTCCTGTGGCGCCACCAATGAGCACCGCTAAAGAGCACAAAGGCCTTGCTCATTATCTGAGTCTCTCCATCCACAGAGGAATGGGAATCAAAATGCAGGAGTGGCTTGAGAATGGATGAATTGGGCTTTCTTTCTAAGCCTCAGCTTTAGGTGGGAAGCTGAGGTACTGAGCATACTGTGTGACTGTGCCCTGTCACACACCACACGGGGCAGATCCAGATCCAGGACTCTATCCAGGAGCTGTTCTTTCCTTCCTAGCACAGTACTGTAAACTCATCCCCGGGAGAGCTAGCTGGGCTTGTGTCTTCCCTTCTGAGGCCCAGACAATGCTCTTATTCTTTCAGCCAACCAATGTTGGAGTGTCTACTCTCCGAGGTAGTGTCCTCTCTCACAAGGTTTTCCCTTTGTGGCAGAAACATCAAAGAGTACAACTTCAATTGCCCATGCTTCTCTAACTCAAAATGGTTTTGGTCTCTTCTTCTAATTCCTAAACCCAGTAAAACCAGGAACTGTGCTCTGCAACCTCAATTACAAACATACAGGAGTCGGTTAATAAATGTTTAAAAATCTGTGAATGATTACATTGGGATAAGGGACAAGAAGTAGATCTTTTCAAAGAATCAATATGCTATAATCTTAGAAAAGCTGCAATTCAGGTAGGTAACTTGAGACTTCTGTATAAAAGAAAAGACTAGAATATTGTTTTTTGTTTTTTTCTTGTTGTTGTTGTTTGTTTTTTGTAAGTTCATCCCAAAGTTGAGGGCTGGCCAAAGAAGTTTTCAGCTAATTGCCTCTTGCCTAGTTTCAGGATTAAACTGTATTTGATTTGATTATATAAGAAAAAGAAGAGAGACTTTGCCCTGAGTAACAAACTGTGGGTCATCCTTATCTAAAGTGTACAGAGGGGTACTTTTTCATTCCTAAAATAAGGCTGACTCACATACACACACATAAAATATGCCAGCGTGGCATGCGGCCCCATTTTTCCAAATCCTTGGCCTGGGAATGTGGAGCTGACAGCCTGGCCTAGATGCAGAGAAAATCCAGGCTTCCCAGGAACTGAAAAGCAAATCGATCTTGGTTCAACATCTTCAGACATTCAACATTTAAGATTATTCAGCATTTCGGCCAGGCGTGATGGCTCACGTCTGTAATTCCAGCACTTTGGGAGGCCAAGGCAGGCAGATCACAAGGTCAGGAGATCAAGACCATCCTGGCTAACACGGAGAAACCCCATCTCTACTAAAAAGACAAAAAAAAAAAAAAAAGACTATTCAGCATTTCAACTGCCACACACAGCTCCCGGTTGTAATTCGGTCACAATTCTGGTTTTAGCTTTGTCTATACAAAGTTGTCTTCAAGGCTCTAAGGATCCAAAGGATCAAAGACATAAGTTTAGCTTCTGGTTTCCTGCGTAAAACTCTGCAAAGAGCCCTGCTGGCTACCCAAGAACACCTTCACCCTGCCAGGTTCTGCGTTGAACCTCATGTGTCCCTGTGGGGACCTCAGGGTCTACTGAGATTGCAAGTTACACCTGGACCTTCTGATAAGCTTGACATGAAAATACAACTTGGATCCAAAGACTAAGGTTTCCAAACTCAAACCAGGACCTATGGTCTGGAATGTAGACTGGTAATGGGTGGGTCCCAGAGTACTAAACACTGTGTTTGTCACTTTGATCACTTACAGGAAACTCTAGTACGTTGGTTTTAGATACTGGTTTAGCATGGACAGATGCGTATGTGAATCCTGACTAGGTCTTCTGTTAACAAATCTTCCTTGAATGGATAACACTTGGGGTAGACAGAATAACACCCCCAACCCCAGCCCCACCAAAGATGCCCACAGCTTAATCCATTGTACCTGTGAATATGCTACCTCAAATGGCAAAAGCGACTTGGCAAAGGTGATTAAATTAAGGATCTTGAAATGAGATGGTGAATCCAGATTACCCAGGTGGGCCCAGTATTACAACGAACGAGGTTGTAAGAAGGAAGTGGGCGGAAAGAAAAGAACGAAAGCCTATCATTCACAGCAACATGAATGGAACTGGAGGTCATTATGTTAAGTGAAATAAGCCAGGCACAGAAAGACAAATAACCCATGTTCTCAATTATATCTGAGAGCTGAAAAGGTGGATCTCATGAAGATGGAGAGTAAATTGGTGGTTACCAGGAGCTGAGAAGGGTGGCAGGGAGAAAGGGAGAAAGAGGTTGATTAATGGCTATAAACACACTTAGAAGAAATAAGACCCGGTGGCTGATAGATCAATAGGGCGACTACGGTTAACATTAATCAATTGTTCATTTCAAAATGGCTCGGCTTTCCTAGCAAAAAGAAAAGCCACATATTTAATGGGATGGATATCCCAATTACACTTTGATTACATGAATGTAGCAAATTCTCAAATGCCTCCTGAAAACATGTACATCTATTATGTTTCAATCAACTTTTTAAAAATTTTAAATGATAGCCAGGCATCGTGGTGCACACCTGTAATCCCAGCTACTCTGGAGGCTGAGTCATGAGAATCTCTTGAACCCTAGAGGCAGAGGTTGCAGCGAACCGAGATTGCACCACTGCACTCCAGCCCGGGCAACAGAGCAAGACCTCATCTCAAAAAATTAAAAATTTAGGCCGGGCGTGGTGGCTCATGCCTGTAATCCCAGGCCAAGGTGGGTGGATCACTTGAGGTCAGGAGTTCGTGACCAGCCTGGCCAACATGGTGAAACCTCATCTCTACTAAAAATGCAAAAATTAGCTGGGCATCATGGCGCATGCCTGTAATCCCAGCTGCTTGGGAGGCTGAGGCAGGAGAATCGCTTGAACCCAGAAGGTGCAGGTTGCAGTGAGCTGAGATTGCACCACTGCACTCCAGCCTGAGTGACAGAGGGAGACTCCATCTCAAAATAAATAAATAAATAAAAGTTTAAAAATTCAAAATACGTTTAAATGAAACGAAGAGGTGGATAGGAGATCAGAGTGACTATGGGAACAAGGGTTATAGACAGGGAGAGAGAGATTTGAAGACGTCATGCTGGCTGTGAAGATGGAGGAAGGGGTCTACCCCACAGAGCAGGAACTCTACGTGATTCACTGATACCCGTATAGCACCCAGAATAGCATCTGGCACATATTAGCCGTCCAATAAACAGTCATTGAATGAACAAAGAATTAGAAACTACTTGCAGGTTCTTTGGTGAGGGGGCAGGAACCCACATTTTGCTGGATTTTCCCAAGAGGCCAGCACTGTGTGAACCCTTATGTCATCTCCTAAGAAACACACTAGGATGAAGGTGTTATCCTCACTGCGCATATGAGATGAACAGACAGCACATCTTAACAAAACGCAAACTAGAAATTCTAATGCAAAGATGATCTAACATAATGTATGGTCCTATTATTGTGAAGTCACTGTATGGACACAATTAACTGATCTGAATTCGATATGGAAGAAAAAGATGAGCACAGTCTTAAATTTATCTACTATCCCTACTATCCCACCAAATGAGTGTATGCCCCCCAGTGAGTGAAACAAGGGAAGCACGAACTCACTGGCCTTATGTTCTGCATGTCTCTCATCTTATGAGTATCTTTCCAGGCTGAGAATGAGTCCAGTGTTTAGAGATACACATTTTCCCCTATGCAATACAGCCCTCAAATGGAAGACCGCTATTTCATTTGATGTTCAACTAAAGAAACATTACCAGCACTGGAGAAAACAAAACAAAACAAGACTAGCTATGTTGAACTAGTTGCAAATAATGGTTATCCTTGAGTTATTATTGATTCTTATTTTCCCCACAACCTGTGTCCAACCCACCAGCTGTCCCTGTCAATGCCCCCTACAAAGCATGAACTGAATCTGCTGCAACTTCCCAACCTCAACCCCACCACAAAGGAGGCCAAGCTTCCAGCATCTCCGGCCTGCACTGCTGCAAAACCTCCTAGCTGGCCTCCCTGCTTCCCCCACTACCAGCCTGCAATCCATGCTCCCCATAGAACACGAAAAGAGAATGAGAGAACTCGAAAAGGGAATTCAGATCATGAAGTGTCCTTGCTCAGAACTCTCCCAACACACTTGGAAAACAAACCCCAAAGCATCTATAATTCCCTGCCTGCTTGGCTCCATCCCGGGCCAGTCTCCCTGGGGCTGCTTTGTCCTGGCTTATTCTCTCCGCAGGAGCTTATCCTAGCTCTTCCCTCTGCCTGGATGATCTTTTTTCCTTCCATCTTTGCCTGAGGCTCCTTCTTGTCACTCAGATCTCGGCTGAAATGTCACCTCCTGGGAGAAGACTTTCCTTGTCATTTCCTATTACCATGTAGGTCTTTGAATAGTGCTTAATACCCACTGATGTGTGCTGACTGGAACCCTGCACCAGATGCCAGGCTCTATAAGAGCAGGGACCTTGCCTGCCTCGATCACATCTGCCACCCCAGTAGAGAAAGTTGCCTGACATATATGGGGGTTCCAAGTGTACCCCTCAAATGGATTTATTAAGGACACGCTTACTTATCTTTGTTTTTTGCTTACTTGGTTACTTCAGAACTTGCCCCAGGGAAAAAATATGTGAATCTGCTATAGAAAAGAAGTAGGTATTTTATAGATGAAGAAATGGACGGCTAAAGAGACCATGTGATTTGCCCAAGATCACACGGCTGTAAGTGGTGAGTTGGGCTTTAAACCCAGGCCTGTCCGATTCTAATTCTCAGGTTCTTTCTACCATGCCACAATGCCTTCCTGGGCGTTGGGAGCCCAAGAACAGGATGGAGCTGGCCTGGGAAGCACTTCGGCTAGGAGAGGTGGATGGGATCCCCAGTGGAGGTGCGCTGAAAGCCAGCATGCTGAGAGCTCAGGCTCAGGCGACCCCCATGCAGCAGCTCAGTGGCCTTGCAAGAAACTTAAGTTCTCTAAATTTCTGCTTCCTCCAGTGGAAAATGAAGACTATAGTAGCTATTCCATAGGACAGGTATAAGGATTTCATGAGCTATTATACATACTATATTTAGCAAGGTACCTGGTGCACAGTAGGCCCTTCATAAATAGTAGCATCATTGCTATCAGTATCACCAGGACAAAATTTGCACATTCACAGTTATCTGCAAAGCCACACTAAGTCTTGACTCTACCAGTGGTGGGTCAGAGGGTCCCCCTAAATGACCAGTTACTTCTCCTTTCAGCCAAGGCTTCAACTGAGCAGGAGCTGACTATATGCCTCTTTGGGTAGACTTGAGGGAAGGGGCCCAGGAACCTTGTCCATATCTAGCTTGAGAAAAATGAGAACTAGTCTTTTTCTTTTTCAGAATCACCACCCAAGCCCCAGTGGTACTCATAGCTGCTAACTCTGGCTTGATTTCAATACCATCTTCCCCTTCTCAAACACCTGCCGTGGCCTATGGTGTCTGCACAAGTCCACTAGAATTAGACTATTAGAAAAAGCCCACTTACACTAATTTAAAAAAAATCTATCTCCCTTTTGCTTATTGTTGGCCCTTGTGACAATTTAGAGCGAGTCTAATGGTCCAGCCGTAGCCCTTTCCACATTGGGAAGCAGCTGTCAGTCTTCCTATTTCCTTCAGCGTCAGCTCTCATGGGAATGATCTCCAGCCCTATCACTCATCTGGTTACTCTTTTTAGTTTGTCTAAATCCTTTTTAAAATGCTGTGCTCAGAATGACATGCAGTACTCCAGATATGATCTGATAGTGTGGGGATCGCTATCACAACAGACAGTGTGGGGTTATAACCTCTCCATTCTCTATTTAACTCAAGGCATTGGGCAACCATGTGACATAGATACCTTTTGCAGTGTTTACTGTCAAATGAAATTCCGCAGTTGTTTTTCGACATCGGCCTCCAGCCTTCCCTTTCATGCATGGGTATCTCAGAGTCAGGGAATATTTTGGGAGGTTTTGGTGCCACAGAGTTGGCTCCACATACATCAAGTTCTGATGTTGCAACATTAGCTAGTAGCTGAGACCACATCAAGACCTTGTTCTAGGGTCAGGGCTTGGTGACAGTGGCCCAAGGCACACAGAGTCATAGATTCTTTTTTTTTAAAGACAGATTCTGCACTCTGTCGCCCATGCTGCAGTGCAGTGGCATGATCTCAGCTCACTGCAACCTCCGCCTCCCAGGTTCAAGCGATTCTCCTGGCTCAGCCTCCTGAGTAGCTGGGATTACAGGTGCATGTCACCATGCCCAACTATTTTTTTTTTTTTTTGTATTTTTTTAGTAGAGATGGCATTTCACCACGTTGGCCAGGCTACTCTCAAACTCCTGACCTCACATGATCCACATGCCTCGGCCCCTCAAAGTGCTGGGATTACAGGTATGAGCCACTGTGCCTGGCCCTGAGTCATAGACTCTAAGGAATCCAGTTTAGTGTAGGGCCTGCTGTTCTTGCCTCTGACCCAACAAGTGCAGGGATCCTTGGGAATTCTGCTAAGCTTTAAGATTTGACCATGGGTGCACAAGTCCAAAGATAAGTCAAAAACCACAGCATCAGTCTGTGTGTTTGTTATGAGTAAGATCCCAGACTTTCTTCAGTCCAGATATTTACCAGCAAAGATCCCAGCACATAGGGGAGAAACACCTGGAAGTCTGGGAGAGGTACAGAGAGACTGGGTCCCTGGGGCTGAGTATTAAGAAAGTAGGGTACACAGTGGTCCTCAGTAACATAGGAACCAAACGCAGATCAGGAATCAGAACAGGGTGCTGAGGTCAGACAGACACTGCTTCATGCTGCACTGCAGCCTTTCTAGTGTTCAGCAACCTATTTTATTCTAGGACATGGTCTCAGCTCCAGAGTAAGTGAAAGCGAGACAGAACCTTGTCTTTGTTCATTGTCCAGCAGCATGGGGTTCTGGTTCTCCTGTGTTCCTGGCTTCCCCAGTGGAATCCCTTTCTCTTACCTCCATCACTGGATTTCTAGAGAGATGACCAGTTCGGGGGCACATTTTTGTCTGCTGTTAATTAATAACAGTTTGTGTATCTATGGATGTTAAATGCAAGTTAATCACCTTCCATTTGGTATTTGTTTCCATTTTAAAAACCAATATCACAGTTCCTCCTTTGTCTCCAACCTAAGTTAGATGCTAATTAGAATTCTTTTTTGAATTCTCATTGTATGCTATGCTTTCCTTTCTTAACTTTGGCTACAAAGATAAAGAAAGATGTGTATAATGACTTGTTCGATGTCTATCTCCCTAATAGACTGTGAGGCCTGTGAAGACAGGAGCTACATCTTTCTTTCTTTTTTTTTTTTTTCAAATGGAGTGTCATTCTGTCACCGAAGCTGGAGTGCAGAGTTCAATGGCACGATCTCAGCTCACTGCAACCCCCGCCTCCCAGGTTCAAGCAATTCTCCTGCCTTAGCCTCCTGAGTAGCTGGGATTACAGGCATGTGCCATCATGCCTGGCTAATTTTTGTATTTTTAGTGGAGACGGGGTTTCACCATGTTGGCCAGGCTGGTCGAGAACTCCTGACCTCAGTGATCCACCTGCCTTGGCCTCCCAAAGTGCTGGGATTACAGGCGTGACCCCTGTGCCCAGCCAGGAGCTATATCCCCTGCACCCAGCCAGGAGCTACATCTACCTCATTCCATGGCTTATCTTCCAGTACAGTGCCTGGTGCACAGTGGTTGTTCATAAATATTAGATGAGTGAGTGAGTCAATGAGTGAATGAATGAATGAATGAGGCAAATCATGGTTACAGTTGGGACTTGACTTTGTGACCAAGATTTTTCCACTAGGCGCTACATCGCCCTGGGGTTAGAAGGTAGACCAGCTGGCCCACCCCATTTATCCAACCTGCTTGCAATCCTGTGTCTACCTGCAACCCCCAGCCTTATAACTCTAGTTAGTCATCTTTGAGGTCAACCCCTCCCCATTTTATTTGTGTCTTTCTCCATTTGTCTGTCTTTGGAATTCAATTTCTTCCATCCCTATTGTCTGGCTTCTGATATGGGACTGGCTTTCTTATTAAAAGGAATTCCAGTTGTGTTTTTTCTTGGTTTATTTTATTCTTGTCTAGGCTATAGGTGTCCCTGCATTCTGAGGCCACTAATGTTAGATTGTCTCTTTTTCATTTAGTACCTTTTGGGACCTTATCAAGCTGCTACTGCTCCAATCTGGCCTCACTGAAAGGCCTGATCATATACCCTGTTTGGTTCTATACAGGCTTTATACGATAAAGCCAAGAGGAGGTTGGGCACAGCGGCTCCCACCTGTAATTCTAGCACTTTGGGATGCCAAAGTGGGAGGATCACTTGAGCTCAGAAGTTCAAGACGAGACTTGGCAACCTCAGGAAACCCCATCTCTACAAGAAAAAAAAAAAAAAAAATTTAGCTGGGCATAGTGACATGTGCCTGTAGTCCCAGCCAGTCAGGAAGCTGAAGCAGGGGGATGACCTGAGCCCAGGATGTTGAGGGTGCAGGCAGCCGTGACTGAGCCACTGCACTCCAGCCTGGGTGACAGAGTGAGACACTGTCTCAAAAAAAAGACAAGGGGATTTCTAGTCAACATTTACTTACATTATAATATAGAACATGTAAGACTTTTTTGTTCTTCAAACTTCATAGTATTTTTGAGGAGGAGCTGCTTTACAATAGAATGGAGAGGAAAGAACTGGGGTGATACCTAAGACGAGAACATCAAGATACACTATTAAAGATCACTGGGCTACTCAAGATGCACAGGCTAGCAGTGTGACCATGAACAAGTCACTTTTGTGGGCTACAGCTTCCGAATTTGTAAAACAAAGGTATCAGTAGTTTCTCAGATTCCTTCGAAGTTTTATGATTCTCTAGTATTTTGAGTTTTTCAGAAGAAAGTTTGTTATAGAAATACTAAGAATAATTGCTAACTGCCCCAGTTTGCACACAATCAGAACTTTGTGTTAATTTGTTCATAGACCAAGTTGAATTTGCATTAGTGCCCTTGACAAAATAAGTATTGGCTTTTTAAATTCTTTAATTACCACGAGACTGGTGTATTGACATGGTTCTCAGAGCAATCTTAGAGAACAAGGAACTGTTTATGAGTCTAGTAATCTTGCAGTAGGCTATTCATTCTTTGGTATTTGGTTTGACCTTTATTTTTCTTTTTCAGTCACATTGATTTAAATATCATTAGCCCAAAAATGTACCAAAGGGTAACTGCATTCACTGTTATGGCTCCCCTCAGCTATTACTTTGCAATTCATCTTTTATGGCAAAGCTTCCCTCATAAATGAGCCAAGAGGGCTGAGTTTGAATCGCAGTCACACTTTTTGCAGCAAGTGGGGAGTGTACTTTAAATGTAACAAAAGCAAAGCACAGGATCAGGGAAAACATTTGCTAAATGGCAAATGGCTATTTGGATCTATTCAAGGGAGTGTATGTTATGAGAGGTGTGAATGGCACTATTCAATTGTATTATATTAAAAAGGAAAATGAGTGAAAATCAGTTCCCATGAAACTGTACATTTCCATTGAAAAATCTCCCTGGTTGATTACATTTTGGATCTTACAATTAACCCATTAATATTCCACCATTTCTTAATTGTACAATTGTACAATGGATGTTTCGTGGAAGCTGGTGGGTCTATCCCTAAACTGAAGAACTACATTTCTTAATTGTACAATTATACAATTAATTAGTAGTACAATTAACAGGGGTTAATTGGAAGATTCAGTTGGCCAGGTGCAGTGCCTCATGTCTGTAATCCCAGCAATTTGGGAGGCCAAGGCAAGTGGATTGCTTGACCCAGGAGTTCGAGACCAATCTGGGCAACATGACAAGACTCTGTCTCTATGAAGCATTTTTTTTTTTTTTTTTTAAAAAGAAAGCCTGGCATGGTGGTAAGCGCCTGTAGTCCCAGCTACTCAGGAGGCTTAGGTGGGAGGATCCCTTGGAATTCACCTGGTGGCAGAGCAAGACCCTGACTGAGAGAGAGAGAGAGAGAGAGAGAGAGAGAGAGAGAGAGAGAGAGAGAAATTGTAAGATTCAAATAGCCCAAAGGTTTCTAAGAGCCACCAGAGAAGAAAGAGAATCTTTAGGGATGCAGGACTTATTGTTTCCAAATGTGATATCTTTCATCCCATAAGGTCAGAGCTCAGAAAAAAGGAAAAGAGTAAGAAAGCCTCTGTCACCTCAGAATTTAAACATTTTTGGTTAACTGTCTTTTTAAGTCTATTTTCTCTGACTGAAATTCCAAAGCTGGGGGAGATTTGGATTGTAGGGAAGGAGTCTCCCAGGTTCATCTTATCCTTGTTAAACATCTGTCATGATGTTAATGGATGTTTAGTGGAAGCTGGTGGGTCTAACCCTCAACTAAAGCAGTTTTTTCCCACAGCCCTTCTGCTGGATTTGTGTTGGGAACCACTTTTTATAATTAACCAGCCAGTGCCCTGTCTTTGGGGCAAAAGAAGAGTCAGCTACAATGTGACGAAAAGAAACAATGAAGAATTTAAAAACTCATATTCCTGTAGCGCTCCTGTTTTGTGGAGGGTTTGTGTATTTTCACTGTCCTCTCCTCTCCCCTCCCAATCTCCCTCCTCCCCAGCCTCTAAAATGCTTGCCCTTTCCATAGGTTACTCTTTTCTTATCCAAGTTTTCAAACCTGAATTTGCAACACCTACCATTCTTAAGAAATGGTGGAAAATTCTTCCAAGAATCCTCATTCATTCCAACTAAAGGAAGAAAGTATGTTTTCTCTTTCAAAAACTAGAGGCAGAGGGAGGGGCTTAAAGAAGCAAATAAAAGAGGTTTCAGAAGACTAAACAAAGTTAACAATGCAACTACTAAAAAGGGATTGGAAATTATTGAATTCTACAAACTTATTGTTAGATTTTTTTTAAAAAACTGGAAAACTGAAGAAGACACCAGATCAAAATGTAAAGTGAAGCCCCATATGATGCCAGTTCACCAAAACCTACTGACCTTCCACAGTGAGAGAAGTGTGGCTGATGTGCAGCCCAGGCAGGCACCACATCTCCAGGACCCCATGGAGTGGATGGTGGTCACGTGACCACATTCTGGCCAATGGATGAGAAGGGTGCTACTTCTAGACAAGTCTGTCACACTTTGCAAGCATGCCCCTCACGTTCTTCCCTTTTTTTTCCTGCTGGCTGGCTATCTGGGCATGACACCTAGACAGGCAAGACAAATGGTTTAGAGAATAGAGAATAAACAAGCAGGAAGCAACCTGGGTCCCTGAGTCACTGCGTGGACAAAGCCTCCTGCTGATCAGGCGCACCACCCAGGACTGTTAGGTAAGAAAGGAATCAACTTCTATCTTACCTGAGTCATTGCATTTTTGGGGTCTTCTCATTACAATAGTTTATTGTGATGCTAACTGATAATTTAGGTGTTGGTCTTTAGCAATTAAATCACAAAGCATATGAACAATAGACTTTTTGTCAACGACCTTATGATTGCTGTATTGGCAGAGAATCCATGGCAGTGTGACTGTCCCCTTACGTGAGCCCTACGCAGGCAGAAACCATGCCTCCCCCTTACTTACCCTTTGCACAGAAACAGTGCTTCTGTGTGCAAGGCCAAAAATCACTGGGAGGTAATGCTCCATAGTGACAATGGTGAAGACGACTAGCATGAATCTCTATGATGCAGGTCTGCACTTCTTTGTCTCCCCTGCTCATTTTCAAAGCTGGCTGAATTCAGCAGGAGGGAAATCTGGCATTAAGCTCAGCTGTTCTCTGTGCTGGGGTGCCACAGAAAATCAACAGTGGGCACAAGCGTACCCTTGTTTGTCCTTTCTCCAGGACACAACAGCCTCTTTCAATTGGCACCTCAGCAGTGGCAACTTCTTCCACCAAACCAGTCTCTATACTAATGTCCTGTTATCATGGAGGTCTCATCTACCTTTGATGGAGGGCTTTCCAATGTCCCTCTTGGGCTCCACTCCGTCCTCAATGCTAGAGCTTCTCCCAGTGCTGCTGCAGAAAGCCCTGAGCATCCAGCTATCCATCTATCCAGCTATCCACCACTTCCATTGCCTGACCACAGCCCCATCTCCCCACAAGCAAATAACAGCTTCAAGTTACCTTCCGGTTACCTTTTGAGATGGGTCCGTTCTTCTTGTAATGTTTGCAAAACATTGTAGAGGAGAGAGCTAACTACAGGAAATGCTCTAGGTTTCAAATAATACACATATAAATTGTCTATTCAAATCTGTCAGTTGACACCTGCCACTGAAGATGGCACTGGCAGAGTAAAGGATCTATCTTATTTTTGGTGGTATATTGGAGCAAAACTACAGAAATAACTCACATGTCCAGAAATTAGCAGCCTGACAACCTGACTCATCTTGAATACAGGTAAATATCAGGAAGTAACAAAAAGGGTCTCCAAGTGGCTAGCATACATGAGGAGAGTGGAAAACAAAGATGAAAAGTGGAAAACCCAGAGGAGAGTTCCTAAGACCGTATATTGAAGCCTTTGTCTTTTAAAAATAACAATTAGAATAAGTTAACTTCATCTGGATTCCCAGTCCACAGAGAGTCAGAAACAAAAGCTGAGAATGAAAAATGAAACCCCATTGGCTGAAAGTGATGCTGCAGACAAAAAAAAAAAGGAAGAAAGGAAAGAAAGAAAGAGAGAGAGAGAAAGAAAGAAAGAAAGAAAGAAAGAAAGAAAGAAAGAAAGAAAGAGAGAAAAAGAAAGAAAGAAAAGAAAGAAAGAAAGAAAGAAAGAAAGAAAGAAAGAAAGAAAGAAAGAAAGAGATATTAAAACAGACACAACTAAGAAACCCATAAGGCTCACAGAGCATTGAGTGAACAACTCACTGTCTGACTAGCCTCAGTTACCCTGAGGATACATCTGTATTATAACACAGTTTTACAAGTGATGCACCCAATAGGTTTTTGAGCTTTGGTGTTTAAAAACACTGGACTTTCATCAGTCTGTAAATTTTAATATATAATTGAAGTACTCACTATTCAGAAATGCCTTTAAATGAGCTATCATGCTGGTGCAGTGGCTCACGCCTGTAATCCAGGCACTTTAGGAGGCCGAGGCAGGTGGACTGCTTGAGCTCAGGAGTTCAAGGCCAGCCTGGGCAACATGGTGGAACTCCATCTCTATGAAAATACAAAAATTAGCCAAGTGTCGTGGCATGCGCCTGTAGTCCAGTTACTTGGGAGGCTGAGGTGGGAAGACAGCCTGAGCCCCGGAGGTGGAGGTTGTAATGAGCTGTGATTGCGCCACTGCACTCTAGCCTGGATGACAGAACGAGACCCTGTCTCAAAATAAATAAATAAATAAATAAATAAATAAGCAAGCTATCGTTACCTCATTATAGAGATAAAAACCTCTGGATTAATAGTTCTGTGTTGTGCACACTCGTTGTGTAAATTAGACTCCCCATTTCCTCATGTACACTCATGCCAAGAGGCCAGCACTAGGAAAACGTCAGCATTCCTTGTGGTTATAAGTTGACAACAGAAACAATCCATAGTCTGGAGGTGACCAGGACTCTTGGAAGATGGAGGAACATTTTTCTTGAGGGTAGGTGAAGGCTATAAGCCAAAGGCAGAGGCTGAGGCACGAGTCAGAGCATGCCTGTGGCTTCTGCATCTGCAGAGCTGGAAGTCTTATCTGCAAAGTTAGTGAAGGAGGCAAAGCTCTCACCTAATATGCTCTTCCACTCTTTCTGTACTTATCTGACACTTTCCTCTTCTTTTAAGGTTGAGTTCAAGCTGTATCTTACAGTGCCATTTATGACCACATTGGCCCTTCCTGGTCTTCCCCTTCTTAAGTCTGCTCATATGATTATCTAAATTACTCATTTGGCACTTGTCATAACTGTTTTATTTTGTTGTGTATGTATTGTTAAAACAAATAAGAAGGAAGCCATTAGCTGGAGGTTGTCTTGGTAACCAGAGCTCTTATATAAGCAAACCAGAACTTAACTTGAAAACATTTCTTGTAATTGACTTTAAAACAAAATGAGCCTCAGCCAATTGCAAGCAGCCAACTAGCCAATTGGTTATATAACTAGAGACCTCACATCAGACCATACTCAAATAAGGCAAACACTTATCTATAGCCAATCAGGTAATTTTGCCTCTGTGTTCAGTCTATAAAAGCTTGCTGCTCATGCTGCTGGAGTGAAGCTCCCTGAATCTCTTTAAGTTCTGATCACTGCCCAACTTATGAATCATTCTTTGCTCAAATAAAATCTGTTAAATTTGTCTAAAGTTTTTCTTTTAACAATTTGGTGTCATAAGTGAGATCTGAAGGAACCCTTATGCAACTCTCAGGAGCAGTGAGTGATGAAGCAAAGGTACACACCAGGCTCACTGTGCCCACTGCTCTTTCATTACAACTGAAGGTCATGGGTGAGTTCCTTCTTAGCTTCCAACTCTGCAAGTTTACATTTTGAGCTCTCTCTGTAACTCTATTTGAATAATTATTTAGCCAGATTGGATTCAAAATCAGATTGGATCTGATAATTAACTTTACTGAATCCAGTTAGGAGCCTTGGGTAGGTGGCTTCTGAAAACAGGTTCTTTTAAGATTCCAGGAGTCTGGGACTTCATTTTGTGAGACACTAGCTACATTTATGTACAAAACTTATGGTTCAAAAACCTGTGTATTTTTGGATAAATAGGTTAACCTTACTAAAGATAACATAATTACAGTGTTAACAACAGGGAAGTTTAAACTGGCAAGGCACATTAGAAGAAAAAAGCAGATTCCAAAGTGCCTCAAAAACAATGGGATGGATTTTTAATTGGCATGCTGAGGCTTCTAAAAAACTAAACGAATCAAAGACTGCCTTTCCAAAAGACTCTTTACAAAAGGCAAATGAGAACTTTTAAGTATTTTTTCCACAAATACTCATTGAAAACTTTAGCCATCTAGATCGGTAATGTTGTTCCACGGGCCAGAAATACAGCTCAAATCCAGATTTTTTAACAAACGAATGAGCTTTATATTATTGTACCTGGCACATGACTCACACAATTAAAATTTAATAATGAAAGCCTCAGCCAATCACAAACAGCCAACCAGGTTATTGGAGATACAATTAGGGACCTCCCATAGGACCATATCCAAATAATGCAAATAACTCATTATATAATACTCAAATACAGCTATATTGTATAGACAGAACAATACATGAATTGTTCTCTGCTGAAGTAAACTCTATTAAATTTAATCTGTGACAAGACATGGTGGCTCATGCTTATAATACCAGCACTTTGGGAGGCCAAAGCAGGAGGACTGCTTGAGCCCAGGAAGTAGAGGATGCAGTGAGCTATGATCATACCACTGCATTCTAGCCTGGGCAACAGAGCAAATCCCCATCTCTCAAAAAAATAAAAAATAAATAAAATAAATGTAATTTGTCTAAAGTAATTTTATAATGGTATATATGTATGCACATATGTATATATTTTAATTTTTGTTATAGTATAATTTATATATTTCAAATAGACAAAAATTAATATCATTTACAGTATCTTAAGATAAATTGCCTTTGAATGAGAGCTTTCTTCTCTATAGTTTGAGGTCTACAAGACATAGCTAGAAAACTTACTACTGTGGAGAACAAAGACCGATGAAATCAAATGAGGGAAGGGGAAGACCTATATTTTTTTCTTTTTAATTTCTGTAATATTGTCGTTCAGGTGACTGAGAGAGTTTCATATTTTCTTTAGATACCATTAGGCACCAAAGCTCTTACAGAACAACTCTAATGCAATATGAATTCTACCACTTTGCTAGCACTGATATGTGGCTCTTGGGCCCACTATTCTATTAGCACTATTATATTCATATTGATTTTGTTACAAATCTTACAAACTGGGGGTGCTTCTGGGGATTTAGGTTCACATTCCATTTTAAGGTTGTATATTCGGTTTTTATAAATTGTACTTGGAGGCCCAATGATTATCCTTGTCCATCTTGTATTATATCCTCATTATCTTCTAGACCCCAAGCTAACTGTGCCATCACTTCTTCCTTTCTGGTCTTCTTTGAGTTCTTGCAACAGTCAGAGATTTCAAGGCACTTTTATTCCTGAGCCTGCAGTGGCTGCCATCTTGCATCAGCATTCATGGAGATGGTATTTAAAACCGTGAGTGTGTGTAAGGTCACCAGTGGGGTGAGTGTTCATAGAGATGAAAAGAGATACAAGGACTCCTACTTCCTCTTTCCCCAACTGTTTTAGGGGGAAAAAAAGTCATAGGCTGGTGGCAAAATTAATTCTTCAAGAATTTGATGCTGTTTTAAGATAAGCATGTGTGAGTCCACACTTTGGAGCATGCAGAAATGAGAAATGAGAAGACAATCCAGCAGCTAAATGACAGAACCCATGGAGAGAAACAAATGCAGCAAATCCTCCAGTTACTACAGCTCACCCAGCTGTGCTGCTCAACTGCCTGTGGTTGTGGTTGAGCTTTATATTTTGTTTGTTTTGTGGCATTCTCATTTTGGAAGGAAGAGAAAAATAACTAGAAAACAAAGTTTCATCAGTATTTTAGGACAAAAAGTAACTTCCAGTCTCTATCCTTCAACTTTTGACAGTCTTTATTCCTGTTCTAAGAGCCGATGAGTAGAGTTAACCTAAAAAGCCACAAGGTCTTGGCTAAGCAAACAAAGGTTCAGTTTCATTCACTGAGCTATGCTTTAGAAGGCGGAGGTAGTAGGTAGGTAGATAGGTAGATGATAGATAGATAGATAGATAGATAGATAGATAGATACAGATATACAGATAGAGTTGTATACATAAAATATATATTATGTAAATATATACATAAGAAGGATGACATTAACAGGCATTTTCTAGTAAATTAAGAGTTAGCCAGGAAATGTAACCATGACACCTTTAACCCCCTCTCCCCAGAATCCCAGTTGACCTGGTATTTACTAGACACTATTGTTGAACCCATGGGAACAAGACTTTTCAAGTTGTTTTATATATATATATATATATATATATATATATTTGAAAAGTTGTATATATGTATATACACACACACAGGCACACAAGTAATAAGGCTGGCATTAACAGACACTATTGCTGATTTTTCAAAAACATATATATATTACTGTGATCAAATACACATACATAATCTTGAGCATATATTATATAGTGAGGCTGTCATTAAAAGACGATATTGTTGATTTTTCCACAATACTGTAATACTCTCCTTCAGGTGGCTGGGAGAGTATATACACATATATAATATAATATATTTGTGTGATATAATACACATATATAAATAATCTCACACATATATTACATATATAACATTCATAGTAAGGCTGGCATTAACACACACTATAGAACCACTGGGAGCAGGACTTTTCAAGTTCTAAGCACATAAGCCACATTAAACAAAACACTACCCAGCCCTTAGAGGATTAGGCTGTGGGTCTTTGACTTCTGTGTGCCTTTTGCCACGTTGGCAGGTGGTACAACTCCTCTTAAATCATCAACCCCAAGCCGTCCAGTTTGCCACAGCCGAAACAACCTTGGCCCTAACAGATGGAACAACGGTCCCACTCGAGGCAAGTTATCAATGAGGTTGTTAGCAGGAACTTTCCTTATTAGCTTCTGCCAGAAATTACAGTCGGGATGCCTCGTGACTTGGAATAGCGGCGGTAGGAACCTTGCCAATCAAGAGCATCTGTTTCCAAGTCATCTGCAGTGGCCCCAGAGAGGCTCCACCTGATTGGCTGGGAAGGTCATATACCTAGCCAATCAGAATATTCAAGAGGCCAGTTAAGCAATTTCGTCCACCCTGGAAGATTAAAATGAGCCTGAATGTACTATTGTAACATCTCTTTTCTTTTTCACCAGCCAGACTATCCTCTTGCTTACGTGGCTTTTCTAAAAGACCCAAGAAAGTAACCCCAAAGCTATTGTAGAAAAAAAGATAGCATTAAAGATTTTTGCCCTTTCATTCTCTTCCTCCTCTGGCCACGCCTCTCCTCTCCTCGGATCTTTCACAGCCTGGAGGGAGGGTCTTGCATCTCACTCCACCATCTTCTTTTTTATTTTTATTTTTTGGATTTTTTTTTTCTTTCTCTTCTGGAACTAGAGAGCTGAGTTTTGAAAGTCAGTTTCAGCGAAGCCTTTTTTTTTTAATTAACATTTTGTGTTAAGTGATACTGCCAGGCTAGGATTGACTTACCAAATAAAAGGACATTAGAAATCCACAGAGTCAGATCAATCTTTAATGAAAACCCAACACAAATTAAAAAGCCACTGCTAAGTAGCAAGGGGTTGAAGGCAACTCCAACTAATTGGCAGCTATAGCGCTTTCACTTGCTGCCAAATTCCGGAGAACTGGCTCTCAATGCTGCGCCACCAAATAAGGCCAGTTCTCTACAGGGCTTGTGTTGCTAAGTTGCTAATTAGGATAACGTGGGATACAGAACACCCCTAACCGAATGCAGTTTCTTCTCAGCATAGATGCTTCCCTGAAACTCCAGGAGATTTAAATGCCCCCTAAAACTCTCCCTGCCATTTTGTAACTTGCATCAGTTAGCGGTGATGAAATTGCTAAGCAGTATCTGTTCTCACTACATAACGCTATACCCACTCCCTAACAACGGCAGGACTGAACAGGGTAAAGAGCTCATTGGAGTAAGAAATATATTTCGTATCAGTGGGGCAATAGACCATGCTTTATCAAATCCAGGTCTTTTAAATGATAATACAGAATGATGCTCTTTGCAAACTTTAAATTGTCAGGGTTTTTCTAATCAACTAATTGTTTAGAGCCATTTTTCTCACCCGTAGCTGCATATGAGAATCAGCTGGGTTCGGGTAGTGGTGCCCAACAGAGGCCAATCATTCAGAAACTCTGAAGATGGAGCCCAGACATCAGTGCCTGCCTTTCCCCAGTCTCCCTAGCTGACTGGAATATGAAGGTGGGATTGAGAACTGCAGTTCCACAGGAATAAAGTTTATTGTTTCAAATGATTTTTACAAATGTAGAATGGGAAAAAAAAAAGTGTTGTGTAAGGTATTTTAAAACCTGATCATTTACAATCCCTATTTAGCCTTATAGCTTTGGATACTCATTCATGGAGTAGGTTTTACCTGCAAAATTAATATTTTTCTCAGAGGTGTCGAGAAAATGATGAGGAGCTGTATCAGTTTGCTGGGGCAGTTATACCAGAGTACCATAGACTAGGTGGTTTGAACAACAGAAACTGATTTTCTCCCTTCTGAAGGCTAGAAGTCCAAGGTCAAGGTGCTTGCAGGGTTGTTTTCTCTGAAGCCTCTCTCCTCGGCATGCAGATGGCCATGTCTTATTGCGTCTTCACGGATTCTTTCTTCTGTGTGTCTGTGTCCCAATCTCGTCTCAAGGATATCAGTCATGTTTGGATTTGATCCACACTTATGACCTCACTTTACATTAATTACCTTTATAAAGGCCCTATCACCAAACAGTCACATTCTGAAGTACTGAGAGTTAAGATGCCAACGTATGAATTTGGAGGTGGGGGGCACAATTCAGTACATAAAAGGCATTTTGAAGTGATAGTGGATGTTATGTGTGTGTGTGTGTGTGTGTGTGTGTGTGTGTGGATGCGGTAGAGTGACAGTTAAGATTGAGTGCCAACTAGATTGGATGGAAGGGTGCAAAGTATTATTTCTGGGTGTGTCTGTGAGGGTGTTGCCAAAGGAGATTAACATTTGAGTCAGTGGACTGGGAGAGGCACACCCACCCTCAATCTGGGTGGGCAGCATCTAATCAGCTGCCAGCACAGCTAGAATAAAGCAGGCAGAAGAAGGTGGAAGGAGCCGACGTGCTGAGTCTTCCAGGCTTCATCTTTCTCCTGTGCTGGATGCTTCCTGCCCTCGAACATCAGACTCCAAATTCTTCAGCTTTTGGACTCTTGGATTTACACCAGTGGTTTGCTAGAGCCTCTCGGGGCGTTGGCCACAGACCGAAGGCTGCACTATCGGCTTCCCTACTTTTGAGGTTTTGGGACTCAGAATGGCTTCCTTGCTCCTCAGCTTGCAGACAGACTATTGTGGGACGTCAACTTGTGATGGTGTGAGTCAATGCTCCTTAATAAACTCCCCTTCATATATACACATCTATCCTATTCTGGCCCTCTAGAGAACCCTGATACAGGTGGTGGTGCTGGGAAGGTGAAAATTCCTCTTTAAATCAAATTTATTTTTTTTAAAAAAGACACTGAGAATAGATTCAAAAGTTGCCTGGGCATGTGTAAAGATCTTGAACCACGGCCCATCATGATGGGAAGATTGTGCCAGAGGAAGGAAGTCTTAGGACCCACTGAAACTCTAGTGCTGCGGGTTTCCAGGAGATGCCTTGTAAAGACGTAAAGAATCACCTACTCATTTGAATTCTTCAATTGCCTCCATTGTTCAGAATGCACCAGACAGCCTAGGATGCTCTAAGAGCATGGCGTAATAGGCCTTCCCTTCCCAAAAGATCTCTCCTTTCTTGGCTCCTCAAATGCTTGCAAATTTTATATTCATTGAAAAGGTAAAGCAGTCTGTACAATGTGTGAAGTCTTGGTGCTCTTGAACTGTAGACATCTGTTTAGTTAAAACACTGAAAAATAATTTTTTTCACCTTAATAATCCACTCCCTAAAATTGTGGTTCCTGGGAAATATCGCCTCAGTGCGTTTGAACTTTAGTGCTGAGTTTAGCTTTTATAACATTGCATATTTCCAGAAATGAGAATGAGAGCAAATATAGAAACAAAACAGAAGGAGAAATTACAATATCTGTGTGTGTGCGTATGTTCATGTGTGTATGTGCGTATGTTCATGTGTGCACACATGTATATGTATCATGTGTGCATGTGTGTACATGTGTGTGCATGTGCATGTGAGCATGTATCTGTGTATACACGTGTGTATGTGTGTATATATGTGCACGTGTGCATGTGCATATACACATGTGTAAGTGCATGTATTATGTGTATGTCCACACATACATATGTGTATGCATGTATGTGTATTGTTCATGTGTGTATGAGTATGTGCCTGTGTATGTGTGCACATGTGTGTGCACACAAGTGTGTATGTGCATGGATGTGTTGAGTGTGTGTATGTATGGGGTGCACAGTTAAGGGAGCATAGGACCAGAAAACGCAAAATACAAGCTCAGGGAGGATGTGATCTGACCTGGTTGTGGATTTAGACCTGTCATGAGTGTGAGTTAGTTTGAATGAATCTCCCAGTTCCTTGACTTATCCTACAACAAGAACAAAGATAATCACCATTTGTGCAGATTCTATGCCCCAAATCAATCGCTGTCCATTCCTCTAGCAGAGTAGATTGTTTCTGAGAACCTTACATGTGCATAGCACTGTGCAGAGAGTCATGGCCAACACAAAAAGGTGCATGATATACTCAGTGAGCTTGGAGTTTAGTTGGACAGACAATGTATACTGTCGGAGATAAAGCCGGACACTAACGAAAGTGGCAAGGACAGCTTTTAGCAGTCGTATACTATTGCAATAGGGAAAAGAGTCCAGCATGAAGTGACCTCAATTTTGATTTGTGCAAAGTTAACCAGACATTTTAAAAAGAGAATGAAGGACTGGGGAAGGAGACAAGGGGGTTTCTCAATAGAGTCAAGGAAGTGAAAAATTACGAAAAGTGGAAGAGGGGATTGGTTCATGTGAACCCAGCTGAGTTTGCTCACTGACTCTGATTGAAGTTAGGCTTTCATCCTCCCATAGAGCCTGGGAAACAGGGGCCCTACCTTCAAGTGATGGCTGCAACCAACAGTAAATTCTTTTGACAGCCTTGAGTTTTCTCAGGTAGTCACACTAAGGGAGCTGGGGTCATCCTAGGGACGAGGCTTTGAACTGTCAAAAATTATGTTAGTGCTTGTTCAAGTCTATAGGCCAAAGTTGAGGCCTAGTAGAGAAGAAGGCTCAGAAGAGCCTGGTTAGGGTGTGGTCAAAGAGAGAGTCTTTGTCAATACACAAGTCCAAAGATACACAACACCGTGAAACTTACAGAGCAATGCAAAGGCTATCATGGGGTTATGGTATACAAATGCCCGTGTAGTGCCCCAAAAGAAAAAAATTCAATCCTTTCAGAACCAAAGGCTTCAGTGAGAGATGTGAATTTGGAGCCATCCCTGTGGACTGGACTTAGGACAAGGAAAACAGGGAAGAGAAACTTCGAGAATGAAAGGACTGGGATAGTTCTCATAATGAGTCAGGCACCACCATTTTCATTTGTTTGTTTTTCGCTGATTTGCACTTATCAGATTTCAAATTCAGGAGAAAAGCACTGAACACATTTGTAATAAAATGTAAGTCAAATTTGAGTCAATCTCTCAGTTTTGAACAGGTCTTTCTTTCAGTCCCATTCCTACTCTAAACAAAAAGGCAAACAAACATATGACTTCATGACCAGCTCACACTATGATTACTGTCAGTGGGAAACTAGATCTTGGCTAGGGGCATGGTAATTTAAAAGGGTTCAATTTGGCCCTCAATAAAAACTGGTCATTACAGAACATGTGAGACCTGACCCTCCTTCACGAAACTGCCCAGTGTGGCTAAAATTGGCCTCCTGAATTAGAAATTGCTCAGGAGAGAAAACACACCATGGGCTGAGGGACTTTCAAAACTCTTTTCTTGGTCCAAAAGGAAACTAGGCCAAAAACAGCAACCAGAGTGGACTCAAGTTTATAAAAGCTATCTAGATTCTACCACAGGAATGTGAAGGAAACGTAGGTCTTTTCTTTTTCTTTCTTTTTTTTTTTTTTTTTTTTTTCTAGACAGGGTCTCATTCTGTCACCCAGGCTGGAGTACATTGGCATGATCTTGACTCACTGCAACCTTGACCACCTGGGCTCAGGTGATCCTCCCACCTCAGCCTCCTGAGTAATCGGGACCACAGACAAGCACAACCTATGCACAGATAATTTTTGTGTCTTTTCTAGAGATGGAGTTTCACCATATTGGCCAGGCTGATCTCGAACTCCTGGACTCAAGCGATCCACCTGCCTTAGCCTCCCAAAGTGCTGGGATTACAAGGGTGAGCCACCGTCCCCGGCCATTAAGTCTTTTCTCAAGCAGTATCTTTTTATCCAATTTGCTTTTGAAAAAGAATTTGCTGTCATGTTTGGGTTACTGTCCCTTTTCTACTATATTTTTAAAAATTTAGTTACTTTAAAATAAAAGCCAAGAATATGGGATGCCATAGGAGATGACTTCTTAAGCGAGGAAGACTTTTCTCACTCTCCTGCCCCAGGCTGCAATACACATGGCGCAATACTAACCTGCTCTTTGGGCCTGGGAATGTGTGATCACATGATCTGATTTCCCTTTATCACTCTGAGACCCACGTGCCCCTTCATCTACCTGGTAGGCCAGCGAGCCTTTGTGCAACCCATTTGCTCTCACACAGACCTCAGGCTGTCACTACCCTGTCTTGTTGTTGTTGTTGTTGTTGTTGTTAGTAAGAGGGAAAATACATCCTTGTAAATGGTTAAGTCTACTATTGTAAGTAAGCTGAGATAATTGCATGGCTTTGGGCGAGTCGCTAACTAGCTTTCCTTGTTCATAGCTCTCCTGGGTAGGCAGTGGAAGGAAATGACAGTGAACTTGAAATGTGAGTGAGACTTCTCCTCACCCAGCTCCATGCTTTGTCCTCCTCCTCTTTCCGTTCCTCCTCTTGGAAACATATCCAGCTGGATGCAGCATCCAGGACCCTAATGAATATTCCCTTCCAGAATCTCCACCTTCACCCAACTGTTTTACCTCCCTGGCAATAAAACCATCATGAAAAAACCTGCGTTGTGCCACATTTTTGAGGGTATACTCTATACTGGCTTTCCAGTCAGGAAGATCAAGGGGTAGTGGCAACAGATGACTCATCAACTGGCTAGACAACTTCAATATGTGAATTTAGTGGTATCTGTGCACATGCCAAGGGATCTGGCAGCAGAGATGGTAGGCCCAGTATAATGCAGCTATTGTTATTCCACACCAGCCTGTTTCCCTGGGGAACACAGACCCAGGGTTATCTTGTGAGATTTCAAGGGAAGCTCAAACTCTGAAGGTTTATGTGAGATGTTCTGATTTTCCAAGGCTGGCTTAATTTCTTAAAACATTGCAAGAGCCAAACAAACTATGTCTGAAAGCCACCTTTATCCTTAGGCTGCCAGTGTAAAACCTGCCACTCTCATGGCTGCCATCTTGAAAGGGACTAACACCTCCTGTTTGCATGGGAATTAACATGCCATTGAATGTGAATGCCTACCTGGTTGCTTTCATACATTAAAAATGCAATACATATCTTCTTCCTGGTGTCTAGTTAAAAAACACGGCAATACAGAGTTACGGATACTGGTGGCTAGCTATGTGTTTTGTTTTGCTTCATTTTGTTTTAGAAATAGGATCTTGCTCTGTCACCCAGGCTGGGGTGCAGTGGTGCAACTGTAGCTCACTGCAGCCTCGGCCTTCTGGGATCAAGCAATCCCCACTCCTCAGCATCCCTAGTAGCTAGGACTACAGCTATGTGCCACCACACCCAACTAACAAACAATGTCTGAAAGCCACCGTTATCCTCATGCTCCCAATGTAAAACCTCTTTTATTTTTATTTTTTGAAGAGATGGGGTCTTGCTATGCTGCCCAGGCTAGTCTCATACTCCTGGCCTCAAGTGATCCTCCTCCCTTGGCCTCCCAAAGTGCTGGGATTGCAGGTGTAAGCCACCATTCCCAGTCGTTAGCTACGTTTTTTGCTGTCTTTGTTTGTAAGAAGGACAGCATGCTCAGACGCGCATTCATCACACAAATACTGAATGGTGACTCTGCCTGGGACTGACTCCAGCTGCCTCCCAATGAAAAGGTCTCTCCTCCAAAATCAAAGCCAAAGATACTGTTAAGGCAGAAAAACAATCTTGAAAAAATGTTACTTTTGTGTTTGCATAATAAATGATATTTGAGGACCAGGAATTGTGGAACTGGCAGTACCACAGCAAAGGACTTTCTGGTAAATATTTTATTAATGCTGAAAGAAGAGTAGGGTCTCAGTGGAGAAGAGCTAAAAGGAGGACAGGGCAGACATCTCCATCCCCTCTTTCCTCCGTCTGCTGGTGAAGGATGGGCAGGCTTAGTTAATGAGGTACCAGGCTAGCTTTTCCTAATGGGGAAGACTCGGGAGTAAGGTGTGGTGTGAGCCTTATGGAAAAACCCACATTCAACCCAGACATCAGCAGGGATAACATATTACATGGGAATTATAGAAAACTGTTCCATTTCAGTGTTCTCTCTCTGCTTTGCTAGACATTTTCTCCAGTCTCCTGCCCTTTTTTCAAGCCTCCTACACACTTGGCATCATGCTGCTCTCTGGCTGCCCAAGACTACCTTCTCCTCCCACATTCATCCACATACCAATACCCTCGGCCTGTGTCAAAATTTCCACTGCCTCTGGCCCAATGCAAGCTTGCTCTAATTATCCAATTGCAATAGAGGGAAGGTAGGGCTCACTTCAACTTCTAGAGAAATGCTGTCCAATAGAAACATTATGTGAACCAGAAATGTAAGCTACAGGTGTAATTTTAAATTTTCTACTAGTTACATTTCATAAGTAAAAAGAAAAAGTAAAATTATTTTTAATAATAGATTTTATTTAACTCAATATACCCAACATATTATCATTTCAATACACCATCGGTATTTTTCAAAAATTATTAATGTGATATTTTACATTCTTTTTTCTTTGCACTCAGTCTTTAAAATCCAATGTGTACTTTATACTTACGGCACATCTCTATTTGAACTAGCTACACTTAAGGTGATCACAGTCGTTAAGTGGCTAGTGACTATTATTTGGATTGCACAGACACTTCCTTAATGTGGGATAGTGATTAAATTCCCACCTCCTGGCCGGGCATGGTGGCTCATGCCTGTAATCTCATCTCTTTGGGAGGCCGAGGTGGGTGGTTCACTTGAGGTCATGAGTTAGAGACCAGTTTGGTCAACATGGTGAAATCCCATCTCTACTAAAAATGTGAAAAATTAGCCAGACATGGTGGTGGGTGCCTGTAGTCCCAGCTACTCGGGAGACTGAGGTAGGAGAATCGCTTGAACCCAGGAGGTGGAGGTTGCAGTAAGCCGAGTTTGCACCATTGCACTCCAGCCTGGGTGACAGAGTGAGACTCTGTCTCAAAAAAACAAAAGCAAAAACAAAATGAAAAATAAATTCCCACCTCCAGGTCTTTGTCAATCATATAATGCAATAGTGCCTAGACTATCCTATACTTACATATTTGAATAAAAATTAAAAATGTTTTTAACAAATTAAAATGGTCCGTTGACTCTTACAGAGTCAAAGGCAACTAGGCTAAATGAAAAATTCTATATTTAGACTCACAAAAGTCAATCACGTAAATACAGAATGAGGAAGACTGGCTTGGGAGTTCCTGTCGGGGGGAAAAAAATCTGTTTTTAAGTTAAGCACACTCTTCTAAGAGCTGCACTGTGATAGGATTTTTTTAAACAGATGCAATTGATGTAGCAACTCAGAACACAGGAAATAATCGGTCAGAGCCAGAGCGGGATTTAGGGGTGTCTCTACCATGCAAGTGTCCAGAAATCCAAACTATAAGATGCTCCATGTCATTGGATGTGTAAAGAGAGGAAAAAGAATGTCATTTTCTTGAATTCTTGGTTGAATGTGATACTTTGTGATACGCTCATTGCAGTGAAGGCTGAGCTCTCTGAGGCCAGTTTGAGTTATAATTGAGAGTCATTAAATGGCTTACAAGGAGGTGGGTGCAGTTATCTATAGTAGGACTAACGTTTGCTAGTAGGGTGTGCAGGACTGGGCCAGAGCTGAACTGATTAGAGCAGTAGAGAAGAGGACCAGAGCTGCTGCGAGCCAGTCTTCCTTGCTTGACCCCAAGTCACAGTTAGACAAATATTGAGAGCATATCCATTTGAAGGAACCTAAAATTATTAACTAATGACTATTATTTATTAACTGCCTAGGGTACCCGTAGTGTCCTCATCAGGCTATATCTAGAGAAGTGAGCTGAATTTTAAACATAACATTTCAAGATTGACTTTGGCAAATGTTAGCTTCTGAGGAGTGAGGGAGAAGGCTGAGAGGGATGAGGGAACTGTTGAGATCCAGAGCTGGAGTAAGGAGTGAGTCTGCCATGAAGGTGTCCAGGGATCCAAACTATAAGATGTTCAATATCACTGGATGTGTAAGGAGAGGGAGAAAATGTCATTTACCAGAATTCTTGGTTCAATGTGGTACCTCCTGATATGCTCATTGCAGTGATGAGTATATGGTCAATTGCCTCCCATGTGAGTTTGAAGAACTACAGACGTGCAACCTAAGAGAGAAGACTAAGAATATTCAGAAGATTCTCATGTAAATGGTGGAGCAGATTTATCCTAATCTCTGATTCTCTGGACATCAACTGGGTATCCAACAATTCAGTTTAATTCTGACACTACCTGGAGTTAGCCTCAGATCCCACAAGTTAAAGGGGCTCAGTCCCACACACTGCTCTCCCTTAAGACATCAGTTATAGGTACTGGGTTCCCAGGTCACCTGAATTTGTCTGACTTTGCTACAAGTTCCAGGGTTTGCAGCATGCCACCCGCCACCTGCCCTCGCCCCACGCCACATTTCCTTAATTTGCTAGAACAACTCAGAACTCAGGAAAATGCCATACTTGGAACTATATTTTATTATAAAGGATGGGAATGAACAGCCAGATGAAGAGGTACATAAGATGAGGTCCAAAAATGTCCTGAGCACAAGAGCCTCTGCCTCTTTGGAGTTGAGGTATGCCTCCCTCCCGGCACATGGATGTGTTCACCAACACAGAAGCTCTCATTCAGATTTTACGAAGGTTTCATTACGTTGGCTTGATGGATTAACTCATTGGCCATTGGTGATTGAATTCAATCTCCACTGCCTCTTTCCTCCCCATAGGTTGGGGACAAGAGCTGAAATTTCTAACCCTCAAATAATGGCGTCATGTTTGACCAGCCCCCATCCTGAAGCTATCTGGGAGTCCCACTCTGGGGGTTCATCTCATTAGCCTGAACTCAGGTGTGATAGAAAGGGGCTCTCATTACAAATAACAAAAGACACTCCTATCACTCAGGAAGAAGTTCCAAGGGTTTTTGTTTTGTTTTGTTTTGTTTTTAGAAGCTCTGTGCTAGGAACCAGGGACAAAGACTAGATATATTTCTTATTATGCCACATCTGTATTATCCCTAGCATGGATTACTAGTGGAAGTTACAAGAAGGCAAGTTTTAATTAAACATGAGAAAGGATTCCCTCAAAATTAGAGAGTCCCATCAGTTGAAGGTTGGTGTTGTCCCCTGGGTACTAAGACAATGAGCACCCTGCTCTCCAGATACAGCAGAGGGAGGCTAAGCTTATTAGGGTTGTAGAGATTCTCATTTAAAAAAAAAAAAAAAAAGTTGAATCCAAATACCTTTAAGATTTTACCAGCTGCGTATGGTGGCTCATGCCTGTAAACTTAGCACTTTGGGAGGCCAAGGCAGGTGGACTGTTTGAGCCCAGAGTTCAAGACCACCTTGGGCAACATGGCAAAAACTCGTCTCTACAAAAAATACAAAAATCAGCCAGGCATGGTTGTGCATGCCTGTAGTCCCAGCTACCTGGGAGACAGAGGTGGGAGAGTTGCTTGAGCCTGGGAGGTTGAGGCTGCAGTGAGCCAAGATCGCACCACTACACTCACCCTGGGCAACAGAATGAGACCCTATCTCAAAACATAAAAAAAATGTTTAGAAACCAACTTACCAACTTCGATATTCTAAACTTAAAAAGAAAAATCAAAGATTTAGGATTTATATTTTAAAAGAACAATTCTTTTAAAATGTCAAAGTAAATACAGATCACATGGAGAAATTTCACGTTTTTCAGGTATCTTGCCAAATATCAAAATGACTTCTGCAGTCGTCCCCGGGCAGACAGAGGAGAAAAACACCCAGGGAATCCACATTTCGGCTCAACACCATTGCTATTGCTTCACCAGCACAGTCCCCACACCCGACTTTGCAAACTTGTGCACGCATTCCTCTCAAAGAAAGAGGTAGATCTGGGGGAAGTGTTAGGGTTGACCCAGAAAATCTGACTAATAGGAAAAAAAAAAGGTGTGTAGAGAATCTTCCTCAAAGTGCAAACTTACTGTTCAATGCCTCTTTGGAAAACCCTTTAAATTAATTTGGTCAGAAGCTATAATCATTGCTGTTTGTGTAGCCACAGATTCGTCTCCAAGAATGCACATAATTACAATTGGAAAAATAAAAAATCAGGTTTCCTTCTAAATTTGTTGCTAAATACATTGGATTATTGGGCCCACAAGTCACCAATCCTGAATCAGCTCCATTTTCAGAGTACAGAAGTGGTGAGATTGTTCTTACAGAGGCAGGCTGACAACAGTATTGTTACTATTGGCATCCAGCACAGAAAGTACACATTAATATGGCTAGCCTAGAAGAATGACTTATTGACTAAACAAAAGACCTCTATATTTCCAACCCTAGTTGTCACTGCTCTGATCTCATCTTACTCAACTTCTAAATGGCATTTGATCTAGCTGACCACATCCCATTTCTTGAATTATTAGGTGCTGTAGATTTCCTTAACACCACATTCTTTGTGATAGTTGTATTCTTGTTCCCAAAGATTCACGGTGTATCCCTGTGAGAGAATTACCCATCCCCTCAACCACCAGATTGATCATGGAAAGTGAATGCAAGTGACAGATGCTGCATTCCGGGAGAATATTTTAGGGTCCTTGCCTGGTTCTACCATCTCTCTTTGGCCTCCCCTGCAGGCTGCTCTGATGGGCGTGTATCTTTCAGTCTGGGTCTGGAAGGAAGATGTAGAATAGACTGACAGTAGGACTGCAGCCACCATGTAACTTGAGTGAGAAATAGACCTTTTTTCTCAGAAGGCACTGAGCTACAGGGACTGTTTGTTGCCTTGCATAATAAAATTTGAATAATGCACACCCCCTCCCCAGTATTCTCTAACTTCAGTGTTCTTTTAACAGTGGAAGTGGTGAGCAGTGACCTGATGCAGAGCGTATGTCAGAGGGGAACCAGAGAATGGGCTGATAGGTTGAGTAAAAAATATACAAGATAGGATCAATGTCTGACTTCTAGATTTTTAAATTTAGGCAGCTGGCACATAGAAATGCCATTTACTGAAATGGAGAAGAGTGAGGCAGGAAAAAATTTTGGCAGGGGGACATCAAAAGTTTTGGTTGGGACACATTATACTTGAGCTATATATGAGTCTAGACTAGAAGTAATCAAACTTTTTCTTTTGGGATCATAGAGTCCCTGTTATACACTCTTCTTTGATTTTTTCCCTATCTTTTAAAAGTATAAAGACCTTTCTTAGCTTTTGGGCCATACGGAAATGGATGCCAGGCCACAGTTGGGCTGTAGTTTGTCAAACACTAATTTGGAGCTTGGTGGAAAAAGCAGGGATTGAAATATGCATTTGGGCACAGAGATTGACCTAAAATCCCAGGACTAGTCATGAGCTCATGCAGGCAGAGAGATGAGCTAGAGAGGAAGACAGAGAAAGAGTGAGTGTTCTTTACTGAACTCACTCTTTCTCTGTCTGAGTTTTCAAGGTCTTTAAAATCCTGGTCCAGGCTGCCATCATCTCTTGTCTGGAACCACAAGATTCACTTGGGCTCCTGCTCCCCTACCCCGTTTATTCTTATTTATGACAGTAGCTTGATTTGTCAGAGATGACTCTGAGACCCCATGACTTGCTGCTAAATGACCTTCAGTGGCTTCCCGTTTTCCCATGGCACCCCGATGATCTCACCACTACTCTCGCCTCTCCACCCAAACCTCCTAGCATGCACCACTTATTCTCTACCCTAGAGCCTCTCTGGTCCACTTTCCATCCCTCAAACACACCAAGACTGTGCCCAGGTCAGGGACTTTGCTCTTTCCTTCTGTCTGGATTAGTCCCCCCTAGACATTCACTCGGCTGCTTCTTCATGGCATTAGGGCTTGCTTCATATGTTCTATCTTCAGAGAGTCCTTCGCTGCCTCTGCAACAAATTTGAAACTGGTGAAGTAAAACAGAACATTCTTCAACACTTCTTTCCTTTTCTGGCCCAGATATTCAGGTCTCAGTCCACTTTTGCTTTAGCTATCAGAGCTGGCATTGTCATTGGAGGAGCCATCTCAGAACCTAGAAGTTGCATTTCAAGATTCCAGTTACATGTCTCTATGGCCTAGACAATTGATGTACTGATGTTGCTTGAGCTATGAAAAAGATATGGAAGCCCCAGAATCTGGACGTGGCTTTGATGGACAAAGAAAACACTCCTTCTATTTGGAGCAAAGTGAGACGTAAGCTGGGTGGGGCAAAGCAGTGTGGCAACCAGGATAGTAGCCTTTTGTTAGAAAGGAAAGTCTGAATCCAGGGGGTAATTAGAAAAGTCAATAAGGTGAAGTTTTCTGAGAAGCCTAATCCCTACTCCAAAGCACCACTACACAAGACCAAACATCCCTCCAAACAAGAAAGAGAGGCAACTCTCCATGGTTTTAATTTACAGGACTCAAGATTCCTGACATTCTCCTCCTCATCTACCACTGATACCAGAAAGGAAGTTTTAATTTTTTCCTTTTATCTTATGATACTGGTTCCCATTAGGTTGAAAATCTTCTTGGATACAGAAACTCTTAAAGACATTTAGAAGGACATGAAGAGACACTTTTCAGAAGACATACATGCGACCAAAAAGCACAAGAAAAAAATCTCAACATCACTGACCATTACAGAAATGCAGATCAAAACCACAGTGAGATACCATCTCACACTAGTCAGAATGGCTATTATAAAAATATCAAAATATAGCAGATGATGGCGAGGTTGCAGAGAAAAGAAAATGCTTATACACTGTTGGTGGGAGTGTAAATTAGTTCACCCATTGTGGAAAGCAATATGGCAATTCCTCAAAGAGCCAAAAACAGAACTACCATTTGACCTAGCAATCTCATTACTGGTATGTACCCATAGGAATATATATCTTTCTACCTTAAACATACAGTCATGCAGATGTTCACTGCAGCACTATTCACAATAACAAAGACATGGAATCAATCTAACTGCCCATCTGTGATAGACTGGATGAAGAAAATGTGGCACATATACAGCATGGAATACTGTGCAGCCATAAGAAAGAACAAGATTGTGTCCTTTGTGGGGAACATGGATGGAGCTGGATGCCATTATGCTTAGCAAACTATTGCAGGAACAGAAAACCAAATACTGCATGTTCTCACTTATAAGCATGAACTAAATGATGAGAGCACATGGACACAAAGAGGGGAACAACGCACACTGGGGCCTACTTGAGGGTGGAGGGTGGGAGGAGAGAGTCAGTCAGAAAAAATAACTATTGGGTGCTAGGCTTAGTACCTGGGTGATGAAATAATCTGTATAACAAACCCCCAAGACACTAGTTTACCTATATAACAAACCTGCACATGTACTCCGAGCCTAAAAGTTTCAAAAAAAATAAATCTAAAAACTACATTTGGAAGGAAGAAGGCAATTAACTTTTGTTAAATATATAGTATGTGACAAGTTCTGCATTCGAAACTTGAATTAGCTTATTTCATCCTTACAATCCTAGCATCCCTGTTTTACAAATAAGAAAACAGCAGCTCAGGGAGATGAGGTAAAATTGCCAGCGGTCAAACAGGTAGTAATTGGCTTCTAGAATTAGAACTCAGTCTGCAGGTGTCCTAAGCCACTGTTCTTTCCGCTCTATGATTGGCCCCTGTTTTGTCACAGATACTTGGGTTAGAATAAAAGGTTGCAAGGGCGAGGAAAGGGCAGGAGATTTGCAGATGGCTTCACAACTGAACAATGTGGATCCAGGATAAGGCAGGAAGCTGGGCACATGGATTTAGAATCCTAGACGATTCAAACTGGAAAGGACTTAAGGTATCACACGGCCCAACCAAGCCAACTTCACATGCAATAAAAATGAGCTTCAGAGAAGGGAATTATCTTTCTAAGTGGAAAGATAATTATTTAGACATTTTACTAGTAAGCGCTTACTAGATTATACTATGATTACAAACAACACTAGACCCCAGCTCTCAGTAGCTTACAATAACAAAGATTTGTTTCTCATGTGTGTTGGTTACATGTCAGCTGTGGACTGGCTCCAGATGCCAGCTCTGCACAACAGTAAGTTGGCTGTGGGTCTGTTCTACAAGTCCTCTTCCTTCTGGAATCCAGGCTGAAGGAGCAGGCTCTATTTGGACACACTATTCTCATGGCAGAGGAAAAAGAGTCAGAGGAACTGGTCGAAACATGGTGGCTTTTAAAGCTTCTGCTCAAACAGGGCATTACATTGTATCTGCTCATATCCCATCAACAAAGCAAGTCGCAGGGCTAAGTCCAACATCATTTGGGGCAGGGAATAGATATTTCTCCCACAGGAGAGCACAGCAAGTCACATAGCAATTTGGGGGCAGGGATGTCTAATCCTTGAAGAAAGAGGGATTGAATAATTGGGAACAATAACACCATATACCACTGATGTTAATTTGTGTTTCATTCACACTGAATTCTGCCTTCCCCAGGGAAGATGGTATCCAACTATTGCATTGCTAGCCTCAGAAGGGTTTGTGTTGCCAAGATAAAGGCAGAGTTTTCTGGTTTTGGTTTTGCAAAGCCTAAGTTAGAGATGTCTCTGGAGAGGGTGAAAAAAGAGGTGAGTACCCTGGGGAGAAAAGAAGGGGAAATGCTATAGGAACAGAGGAGAAAGATTTTATTCCTCAAGCTTAAAAGACAAACAGGATTTTTCAGTGGGGGATGTCACAAGAGTTGCAAGAATCAGCTAAACCTTGCTATACCACAAGGGATGGCCAGACCTCACAGAAGCATGCTTCTGAGGTGTTCCTGGAGAGGCCAAGAATGCCAACCTCGATGAGAAGCTCAGCTGGGTGCAGGCTTGGTTCTCCATGTGCCTCTCCAAAGAATCCCTCTCCAAAGGTTTTAGATGGTGTGAGGCTCCAGGGACCTTCCCCAAACCCAGGGATGTGGGGGCAGAAGCGGAAACATCATAACATTAAAGTTCCTGTCAAACCAGTTGCACAGGGAGCAGAATAAATTTGACTTAAAGAAATAAGTGAGACATTTCTTCCATCTCATACTGTGGAGCAAAATTCATTCATTGAGATCTCACAGCTTAGTAAGGGACACGACGATTCCTTAGATTTTCATTGAAACAATTGTTCATCATTCCCTGTGCCAAGCCCTTTGTATTGGTTTGCTAGGGCTGCCATAACGACGTACCACACACCAGGTGACCTACACAACAGAAATGTATTGTCCTGGAGTTCTGAAGGCTAGAAGTCCTAGATCGAGGTGTTGGCAGAGCCATGCTCCCTCTGAAGGTGGTAGAGAAGGACCTGTTCTGGGCCTCTCTACTTGTTTCTACTAGTTTCTTGGCTTCTGGCAGCATACCTCCAATCTTCATACAGTGTTTTTCTTCCTGTCTGTGGGTGTGTCCAAATTTCCCCTATTTATAAGGACACAATATATTAGGGGTCCACCCTACTCTGGTATGACCTCATCTTAACTAATTCTGTCTGCAATAATCCTCTTTCAAAATAAAGTGACATTCACGGGGGTTAGCACTTTTTTTTTTTTTTTTTTTTTTGAGATAGGGTCTCTCTGTCACCCAGGCTGGAATGCAATGGCGCAATCTCAGCTCACTGCAACCTCAACCTCCTGGGCTCAAGCGATCCTCCCATCTTAGCCTACTAAATAACTGGGATCACAGGCATTCACCACCGAGCCCAGCTAATCTTTGTATTTTTTCTAGAGACAAGGTTTCACCACATTGCCCAGGCTGGTCTCGAACTCCTAGGCTCAAGTGATCCACCCGCCTCAGCCTCCCAAAGCTCTGGGACTACAGGAATGAGCCACCATGCCCAGCCCAGGTTAGGACTTCAATGTATAAATTTTTGGGGACAAAATTCAACACATAACCCTTCTTGTGAGGCTGCGTTGTATATTGCTACTGAGAGAGTCATGGACTTTGAACTCATGGGGCCAACCATCGAGGAGAAGGCAGACTCTGAGTCCGCTAGTGTGAGTGTGAGGCGGATCCCTCCATCTTTACCGCTTCACTCCCCTGTCCTATGGCCATATTGAGGCACAGTCTTCCGGTTAGACGGGTGTTGGAAATGCTCTTGAGAGCCTTATTAAACTGCAGCAGTCTTTGACAGTGTGCATACCCGGCCCATCAATCTGCTAAAAGAACCAACAGCCATTCCCCTGTGAGGTGGCCTTAGCCAAGACTGTGCCCCATAGGAATCCTCTAAGAACAACAAAGTAAATGTGTGAGTTGTTCTATCAGGTTAATTGGGCAACTGATGTAGTATTCCCAAAAGCAAAAGAAAGCTAGCAAACCAGTACCCTGATAGCCCCAGATGCTCTTCTGCTGCCCTGGAAGAAGTCAAGTCAAGGCAGCCAAAGGACTGCTCATTGCATCTCCCCGGCTTTCGGGACACCTGTCTTGACGTGAAACATTAATTTCCTCATTTAAACTCATTCTGCACCAAACACATCCACACAGGATGCCCCCTGCTGCAGCGAATTGCCACCTCCAACTCTATTCCATTAGCTTTCTGATCCTTGTGAAGAGAGAAGCAGCTTCCTTGTGTGGGTTAAAAAGTTCATGGAACCTAACAACGTCCTTGAAAATCTGAAATTAAGAAGAAGGTGCAGTTTGGATAATCTGGAGAAGGATGATTCCAGTGTATTTTATGAACAGTTTCCCACCTTGAGTCTTATGTATGCCAAAAGACAATTTTTTTAATACAATGAGACGCTCCTTGGGCCAGCTGATTTAGGTAGAATCTGGAATTAGTGGAAATAGCTGTTTTTCTCAGCCATAACCTTGTCTTGTATCTGGCACTTTGTTTAAAACAAAAAAAATTTAGAACTTTACATACATTATGTATATACTTTTGTATGTCGATCATACCTCAATAAAGTGGTTTTTAAAAATTGATATTAATATTGGTATTAATATAAGATTAATATTTTATTATATTAATATCATTGTATTAATAATTAATGTTACTAACTGCACAAGCATATGACTTACACTTGGTCTAGGTGGGCTTGAGATTGTGTGACTTTTCTTTTTCTCTTTTTTAAATTTAAGATGGAGTTTTTGTGTCTATTTTTTGATGTTTTGGATGAGTTTCAAAAGAGGGAGAAGGAAGAAAATGCCTTTACTCCTGCATTCGATAACTGACCATTTTCTGACCACAAGCCCCAAATTATCCCAGAGTTCTCATGGAAAGATTCTATTTAAACTTGTTCACTCAATGACACTCTGTCCCTTCACACATCATCCCTCTTCTCCACAAAGAAGCCAACATTCTGAAGCTCCTCCAGGAAGGAGAAATCAGGCCCTGAGCCTGACCCGCCACCTGGAAGCTCAAGGCAGAGAGACCACTGTGAGGAGAGGGTGAAGTTGACCGGACTGTGGCCCAGAGAAATGGACTCAGGCAATCAAAATCACAGCGATAATAATAATGGTGCACTGATTGAACACTTAGTATATGCTGGGCTCCATATTAGGAACTGTAAATATATTGCCTCATTTAATTCTCCCCGTTTCACAGGTGAGAACATGGAGGCCCAGAGATATTAAGGAACTTGTCTAAGGAATTAAATGGCAGAGTTGGTGATATGGTTTGGCTCTGTGTTCCTACCCAAATCTCACCTTGAATTGTAACAATCCCCATGTGTCAAGGGTGGGGCCAGATGGAGATAACTGAATCATGGAGGGCAGTTTCCTCCATACTGTTCTCATGGTAGTGAATAAGTCTCATAAGATCTGATGGTTTTATAAATGGGAGTTTCCCTACACAAGCTCTCTTGCCTGCCGCCGTCTAAGATGTGACTTTGCCCCTCCTCCGCCTTCCACCGTGATTGTGAGGCCTCCCCAGCCACGCAGAACTGTAAGTCCATTAAACATCTTTTTCTTTATAAATTACCCAGTCTCAAGTATGTCTTTATTAGCAGCATGAGGACAGACTAATACAGTTGTGTTTACAGCCTACGAGACCTCAACCTTTTTCTCATAGTGAGTTTTTACTTCCTGTTTCCTTCCAAGAAGGAGTGTAAGAATCTGCATTAGTCCCTCAGGGATCAAGCCCAGGAGCTTGGCTCCCTGCCTTGGGAGAGTAAGTCTATCCCGCTATCCCCCACTCATGGAGGGTAATCAATAAAGCGTATTCTTGGGCAAGTTGTTAAAGGAGAGAAACAAGCACTTGTCATACTTTTGGCTGCTCAGCATCTGAACTCCCTTCTCAAGTTCCACCTTTGTGTGAGCCTTCATAGGAAGCTGATAGGATATGGGGTTGCCACCAGGATATCGCCAGGAACCACTCTTGCCTAGAACTTTGAGTCTGGAGCAGGGAATCCTAGGAGCAGAGATAATTTAGAACCTATCCTAGTGGCACCACCGACAGCATTCAGGGTCCAGTGGCACCCATGCAGCAGTAGTGATGGCAGCCACCCTAATCAGCCTGTATCCACTGTGCGGTGCCCTGCCCTGTGCTGGACAGCCAGCTTTTCTTGGTATTTGTCTGCTTCTCTGTCCTCCCTGTTAATTGTCTGAGCTACTCCATATTCTACCAGTAGGTTCCCTTTCTGCCTATAATAACTAGAGTTTGTTGTTTGCTAATGCTGAAGGGCATGAACAATTACAGGTGCACAGGCAAACAGAACCAGCTTCATCCAGCTTAGGAACAATTAATCTTACTTTGAGATTTCTCCACCATAGAGGCCAGCCTGAGCCATTCATCTCCCTCTGCCTCACCAAAATTTGGCATCTTTTACACATTTTAAATTGCTTATAGGCTAGGTGCTGTGGCTCACGCCTATAATCTCAACACTTTGGGAGGCCGAAGCAGGCAGATCACCTGAGGTCAGGAGTTCATGACCAGCCTGGCCAACATGGCAAAACCCTGTCTCTACTAAAAATACAAAAATTAGCCAGGCGTGCTGGTGTGTGCCTGTAATCCCAGCTACTTGGGAGGCTGAGGCAGGAGAATCGCTTGAACCCGGGAAGCGGAGGTTGCAGTGACCCAAGATCGTGCCACTGCACTCCAGCCTGGGCGACAGAGCAAGACTCTGTCTGAAAAAAATTAAAAAATTAAAAATAAAAATTAATAATCATAAATTAAAAGTAAAATTAAAAAATAAATTGTTTATACTTTTATGTTCTTTGGAAGACCTACAATGAAAGAGGAATATATTTTGAGCAAAAAATGGAGAAGATTTAAATGGTGTTAAAGATGGTGGCAGATGGTAAGAACTCACTGTGAATGCCAAAGACACATCACCTTTTTTTTTTGTAGACTGTGCGTTTTCTCAATTGAGATTTTTTAAAATTTGCTGATGTCATGTTTCCTGAATTTGTTGGCTGCAGCTGCATCTCAAGACATGGTTAAGTATAGTCCAGTGAACCATGGTCATAGGAGTAGTTTGGAATGGGCCACAATCAGCCTGCACTTGACCCTGAGAAATGGAGGGGAATGGCTACATGTGTGGAGAAACAGGCATATGTAGTAGAGAGAAGGCAAAACACCAGGCCAAGGCCCAACCCAGGCAAGCAGCATGTCGGTGCTGGGGTTGTCTGTGATTGACATGGAGGCATGGGTATCCCCTCCCCAGTCATGGGGGATTCAGAAGTAGCAATTCTCTGGTTCCAAGCAGGCAGCTGACATTAGATAAGCAACACAGGATGTAGCACAGACCAACCCTTGAATCAAGGACAGGATGGGCTGATGAGAGAAATACAGGGTCCTAATTCTAAAGAATCTGCAGAACCCCCGGTTTTGAAACATAATGATTTAGAGAAAGAAAAAAATGGCAAATGCCAGTCATCAGACATGGGCACAAAGGAAGGTGGGGTCACCGGCAAAAAAAAAAAAAAAAAAAAAAAAAAAGGACTTGATGTAAGTAAGAGAACCTTCCATCCCTGCTTTCTGCAGTCAAGGCCTTTCCCAGAAGAAGAGCAGCAGCAGAATCAGGCTTCTGAATGTAGGCCATGCTCTCAGACAGAAAAACATGCTGCAGAGACTGAATGACCACTTGCAATGGATCTTGTCTCATTCATTCTTTCTTACCGAATTTGTTAGCAACAGAAATCTAGAAGAACCTTATAGGATGAGCTGGTCTGTCCTACCTCAAGACCAATAACACAAACAGAAACACTCCAAAAGAGCCACTGCCTTTGACTTGTTATAGGAAAAGAGATTCTAAAACTTCCCTCTGTATGTAGCTAATTCTACCATTTATTTCCTACTCTTGTGTCTGACTCAAAGCTCTCAACTTTGCTTAAAATTGAGGCCAGCATACACCAGAAGTATACATGATTTATGTATACGTGTCAGTACTCTCATAGAAATTCCTTATTTGCTTCAAGTTCAAAATTATGTTACCTTATTCAACAATGTAGAGTGCATGTATCGTGTAATAGGTTTTGAGGATTCAAAAATGAATAAAACACAGTCCCACCTTTGGGAAACTTATAGTATAGTCCACAGCTGCCTTTTCTCAAGACAATTTTACCCCAATTCCTACAAAAATGTTCAGCAAGAGAAGTTTAGAAAGGAGGGGAAGTTGGAATGGGGTAATAGAAAAATAAAGGCAATATATGAGAGATTTAAAAAGCAAATAATGATGAACCCCATCTTTCCTGTTTCTGGAATGGGCTGTCTCACAGGCCAGAAGACTAGGACTGCCACAGGGGGATGCCTACAGGTCCATGGAGGCCTGTCTGTTTCAGACCAACCTGACACACACAAGAAAGCCACTATGATTTACTCCATGACTAATTGAGAGACACAGAGTACTGTGGGTGTAATAAACTGTTAGCCATACGACCTTTGTCCTTGCTTAATAACAGCAGTGGCTTACACCTATAATCCCAGGGCTCTGAGAGGCCAAGGCAGGAAGATCACTTGAGCCCAGGAGGCTTGGGCCCAGGAGTTTGAGACCAGCCTGGGCAACATAGCGAGACCCCATCTACAAGAAATTTTAAAATTAGCCAGGCAAGGTGGTGCATACGTGTAGTTCCAGCTACTTAGGAGGCTAAGGTGGGAGGGTTGTTTTAGCCCAGGAGTTGGAGGCTGCAATGAACTATGATCCCACCATTTTACTCCATCCTGAGTGACAGAACAAGAGCCTGCCCATTCCCCCAAAAAAGATAATTTATTAAGTAGAGATTGTGGTCTTGGAGCCCAAAGAACCACAAAATGAGGAATAATATGTTGTTTGCATCTTTCTGGAGTCTCACATTGTAACAGGAACAGGCTCTATGGAGCCATTTGGTGCTGTTCAAAGCTGCTGTTGGTTCACATAGGCATGCAGCTCAGAGGAGAGATGCTTAATCAGCTTTTTGACTCCATGAGGAAACCACTCTTCAGCTCTGTGTGAAATGCTGCTTGCGGAACTTTGCTAGCCCTCTGTTTGCTGCACATATAATTCTATGCAGCCATTTTCCAACAGAAGAAAATGCAGAGTAGATCATTTTTGCAGTGTGCTAGGGTCTCCATGATGATGAGCCTGTTCTACCATTTAGGGTTGAGGAAGGATTGTTGAAGACTGACAACATTGTCAAGCAGCCAGGTGTGCTGCACGCCTTGTCCAAATCACAGAACTATAAAAGTTGTTGGACGGTACTGAATAATTCAAAAACCTGTTTAATATGGAGCTTGGATACTATGTAAATGATATTTTCTGATCATCTCCTAAAGAACCCTGTAGTACTGTTATTTGCTTTTATGTTTAACTCATGAGAAATACAGTACACATTGTCCTAACAGAATAGCTTAAGTCACTGAACCCTGCTGGTTGTCTCTCCACTTCTTTAGATCTTTCTTTCTTCTTTTTATTTCCTTCAGAGAAGTTTTACGTATTTCTTCAGAAAGATTTTTCACATTTCTTTTAGATATGTTCTGAGTATTTTATCATTTTGCTGCTATTGCGAATGGACTTTTTTTCCCATTATATTTTCCAACAAAGAATTGCTGTATAAAGAATAGCAACTGGCTTTTGTACATATTTTTTCTCTATATTTTACGGACCATACTTATTTGTTTCAATACTTTTCAGCTGATATTTTTGGATTTTCCATGTATGAGAATATATCATCAAAATAATCATGCTTATCTCTTCCTTTCCAACCTATGTATATATTAATTCCATTTTCTCCCTTATTAGCAAGTTTGGATGCTAATAGTAATGGGGCATTCTTACCTTGTTTCTGACTTTTATAGAAATTCCTTTATTAATCAATCATTGAATATGATAGTTGCTGTTGATTTCTTTATATACTTTTTGCCATATTAAGGGAGCTTCCTTTGACTCCTAAGAATTTAACTAACATTAGGTAGAGTTTTAGGGCACTAATGAATAACTTTTTCCCACCTTGAGTTTAGAACCAATTCTGAACACAAGAACCAGACAGATACAGATCAAAACACCAGCTTAATTGGTGAGAATAATTGAAGAATGTGGCACAGATGTGGGGACTCAGATGGCTTTCTAATTTTTCACCCTAGAAATAAACTCACCTAGATGAAAGTGCAAAATGGTAAGCCTCCTCCACATAGCCATGGCTGCCCTGGTAAAATTAATATCACACGAAGGAAGGCATTCCAGAAAAAGACCCTGTCTGCAGGCGAGCACATCTAAAATGGGAAGCTCACAAGGGGCAGAGCCAAGGAATTTCAGTGTATTCTCCAATACTCACCAGACACTCCCTGGTAGGAAGATCCAGAGAGAGGACAGAAACATTACTGTTAGAAATCCCTTTATGGAAAGATGAGGCCCACAGAATTAGAGGCTTCTTATATAAATGGCTAGTCAGTTTTCTCAAAAGCTTGTTAGGCATCCGAATGAGATGTCTATTACAACATAACAAATTGCCGCCAACATAGCAACTTCACACATGCTTATTATCTCACAGTTTATGTGGGTCAGGAGCCTGATCATAGCTTAGCTGGGCTGTCTGCTTTGGGATCTCTTATGAGGCTGCAATCAAGGTGTTGGCCAGGATGGAGTCTCATGGGAATGCTCAACTGGGGAAGGATCTGCTTCTAAGCTCCCTCATGTGGTTGTTGGAAGATTCAGTTCCTTTTGGACTGTTGAACTGATGCTCTCAGCTCCTAACTGGCTCTTGATCAGAGGCTACCTTTAGGTCCTTGCTTAATAGAGCTTCCTGATGCAGCAACTTGCTTCATCACAGCCAGCAAAAGAGAGTCTGCTGGGAAGATGGAAGTCAAAATCTTTTGTCATTTAAACATGGAAATATTATCCCCTCAATGTTGCTGAATTCTATTGGTGAATAGAAAATTATTCAAGAGTAGAAGACTCCACAAGGTTGTGAATACCAGGAGGCAGAGATCACTGGGGACCATCTTAGAGGTTGCTTCCTACAGGCAACTATAAAAATGACATAATCAACACAGTTCTTAATTTTGAACTATTCTTAAATTCTCAAAAGTTCCTTGATCATAACGTTTTTAATGAACAGATGGATTAAATTGCTAATATTTTCTTTAGGACCTTTACATCTATACTGATGAAGTATTAGGTCTACAGTTTTTGATGTTTTATTGGGTTTGAAATCTGGATTATGATAACCTAAAAAATTGAATTGGCAAGTGTCCATCTTTTCTTATACTGACATAATTTGATAACATGGGAATTGGCCTGGCATGGTGGCTCACACCTGTAATCCCAGCACTTTGGGAGTCCAAGGCGGGCAGATCGCCTGAGGTCAGGAGTTCGGGACCAGCTGACCAACATGGAGAAACCCCGTGTCTACTAAAAATACAAAAAATTAGCCGGGTGGAGTGGCACATGCCTGTAATCCCAGCTACGCGGGAGGCTGAGGCAGAACTGCTTGAACCTGGGAGGCAGAGGTTGCGACAAGCCGAGATCGCGCCATTGCACTCCAGTCTGGGCAACAAGAGCGAAACTCCATCTCAAAACAAACAAACAAACAAACAAACAACATCAAAAAACCATGGGAATTACCAGATCCTTTAAAATTTGAGAGTATCCTCCTGTAACACTATCTGGAAGTAAATCTTTGACAAAATTGTCAATCTATCCTTTCTCAATTTTAATAACTGCAGGTATTTTTTTTTTTTTTTTGAGACAGAGTTTCACTCTTGTTGTCCAGGCTGAAGTGCAATGGCATGATCTGGGCTAACTGCAACCTCTGCCTCCTGGGTTCAAGTGATTATCCTGCCTCAGCCTCCCAAGTAGCTAGGATTACAGGCATGCACCACCATGTCCAGCTAATTTTGTATTTTTAGTAGAGACAGGGTTTCACTGTGCTGATCGGGCTGGTCTCAAACTCCTGACCACATGTGATCCACCCACCTAGGCCTCCCAAAGTGATGGGATTACAGGCGTTAGCCACTGCGTCCAGCCCAGCTATCTTTTAAAGTGTTTTCTTGGCCAGGTTTATCAACGGTTTGTTTCTCTTGTTGATATTTTCTAAAACCACTCTTATGATTTTATCAAATTTTAAATTTTGTTATTTTCTAATTCTTCATTAATTAATTAATTTTATTTATTTTTTTGAGACGGAGTCCCGCTCTGTCGCCCAGGCTGGAATGCAATGGCGTGATCTCAGCTCACCGCAACCTCCACCTCCCGGGTTCAAGCGATTCTCCTGCCTCAGCCTCCCAAGTAGCTGGGATTACAGGCATGCACCACCACGCCCAGCTAATTTTGAATTTTTAGTAGAGACAGGGTTTCTCCATGTTGTTCAGGTTGGTCTCGAACTCCCAACCTCAGCCTCCCAAACTGCTGGGATTACAGGCGTGAGCCACTGCGGCAGGCCGTCTTCATTAGTTTATATTTCCAACTTTATTTTGGTCTTTTATTGTTAAAACTTCTTGAATTAAATTTTAACTAATCTTCCATTTTTCTTGTTTTATCACAAAATAACTGAAAAATATGGATTTTTCTGTCAGGATGCTTTTTGCTGTATCCTTTAGATTCCGATGTGCACTGCTTCCATTTATCATGTCTTTCAGTAGTCCGAATTTTAGATTTGTTTTCTTCATTTATTCAAAAGGCATGATAAAAAGCTTTTATTGTAATTTTTAAGAAGTTAGACCACTTTTGTCATCTTTTAATAGTTAATTTCCAGTTTAGTGTATTGCAATCAAATAACATGCCCAATAATCATTTAAATTTTTACACTGTATTGAGATTTTCTTTGTAGTTTAGTACATGGTCAGCATTTGCAAATGCTCATTGGTGATTTGAAAAACTCTATAAAGAACAAAATTGTATTTGTCTATAATTAAGTGTATATACTTACATATTCAATACATATTTGAATGTATTGTTTATTCAAATATATTATATATCAAAATATTCAAACATGCAATATTAAAATATTTTTGAATATTCAAAAGTTTTGGTCTTATTTTCAAACTACTTAATCTGTTCAATACTGAAATAAAAATATTAAAATTGACTACTAATATTAAGATCTGTTAAATTCTCATAAGTTTTCTAAGAGTTTTATTGCCTTATACACATTTTTGCTATGTTACTCAGTACATAAAGTTTATGACTATTGTAGGTTTTATATGATTCTACCTTTTATTATTTTTAATATCATTTTGTCTCATTTAGACCCTTTTGTTTTTTTATTTTGTTTTGTGTAATAATCTTGCCATCCTCCTGTGTTAATAATACTTTCTCGGCATATCTTTCCCCATCCCTTTTTTTAAACCTTACTTTGACTTTTTACTTTTAAAATGCAACCTTAGATATTCAACTAAATTGTCTTTTAAAACTACATGAGAATCTTTGAAAACAACATAAGAGTCTTGTTTTGGCAGCAATTTCAACCCACTCACATTGATGATGGCTTTTACTTATACTTACTGTTGGAAATATAGTACAAATATCTTGGGCCTATGAGGTGGCAGGCTCATATATTCTATAAACCATTTTTCTCACTCATACATATTTTATCTAGAACCAGTCCTGAAGAAGATGAGCAATTCTGCACTGAATAAACATAGGGTCTTGGTGAAATTCTTGCGGCAACCCGCTGGATGTTAACTGTCTCAACTTAGACCTATCATCGGGAGCCTATACTTAAAGGAGGCAGAGGCACAAAGTAGAGATCTGTAAGTTTCTTTCTGCATAGCAAAAATTACATCGGCAACATTTCAGTGCATCTCAGCTGCTCTGATGGTACTCAATATCGCAGTGATGTTGTCCAATAATGTGTCTTGAAGGGCCCAAACCACCAATGTTAGGGTATTAAGGTACACAGAAATACTAAGAAAGCTGCATCCATCCAATTCTGTCTTTTCTTTAACATGGGGATAGTGTTCTCAACCTCAGTCATCTCAACAAATCTCCAGAAAACCTTTGCCATTTTCATGTCTTAACTTCTTCAGAAATTGGACAGACGTCTATGCTTTGCATGTCGGGAGCTCTGTTGGTGTCTTATTCTGTTAATATCAAAGTCAAACTAGATTAAAAAACAGATAAGATGACTATATTGAAAGAAAATAGTTGGATTAAGTAACAGTCTCTTTGGGTCTGTTTTGGATATTCTAAGTAAAAGCAGAGAAAGAAAAGATGTTCTGTTTTGATTCTAATCCTAGGTCTTCCCCTATAAAGAGCCTCTAATAAGTGTGGAATCCTGGGTAGAAATAAGACAGCCTTGAAATGACTTTGTAAGAATAGGTGGGTAAAAATTTATATTACTGTAGAGAGCTACTAAGGGTGATAAGAAGGAAAAGGAAAGATTTTTAAAATCACATTTTAGAATTCATGTGTAATTCCTCACTTTTGTGTAACTAAGTCCAGGAACTTAAGAAGGTATTATGTTGAATTATTTTATTTCTATTCTAGGATTGAGTAGGTAAGTAAATATCTGAGTACTCGAATTCTCATTTTCAGAGAAATGAATTACACATAAGAAAATGGGAAGGCCAGAATGAGCCCTATGGGTTTATATTGGAATTGGAGATAGCATGTACTTATGGTTTTTAATATTTATACAGAGAAAAATAGAAACAGATGTTGTTGCTGAGTCAAACCTGGGTCTGCTTTCCTGGGGGTGAAGTAAAGCCAAACATCCACACTGAGGTTTTGCAGTGGGAGAAAAGAGGGTGTTTATTTGCAGGGCACCAAGCAAGGAGAATTGGGCAGCTCATGATTAATAAATACACGGCCTCCCTGAGGGATTACAAGCAAGGGTTTTTAAAGGCAGGGGTAAATCTCAGGAAAGCAGAAGTTACAGTCGAAAGTGTAAATCGACACTTGGAGGTTATACATTGGTTTGGCCTAAAAAAGGTGGAATATCTTGAAGCAGGAGCTCACAGGTCATAGGTGGAATCAAAAATTCTCTGATTTGTGACTGGTTAGGAAAGTGAAGCTTCGTCTGAAATCCTGGGGTAAGCCGAAAGGAATGTTAAGGTCTGGCCCGTGGCATGACTTCTTCCAGGTCCTTCAGGAAGAAATTTAGAACAAAGGAGGGTGGTCAGAATTCAGTCCTCAGTTTCCCCCATCTGAGGTCCACGTGCCAGCGGATTCATTTGGTGGGGCTCTAGGTTTCTGAAAAACAACTCAAGGACACGTGTTAAGATGTTATCTTTAGTTTCTACAGGGAACCAAACACCTTGTGGCTCTAACTTCCTTGACTATTCTTTTTAAGCTACAATTACCTCCTTACCAGGTTGCTCATTTGGTTCTCAGGGCTAGCTAGGTGTCTGTTATTTACTTTCCTTGAAAAACTCAAGATTTTGTTTCCATGTTTGCGGCTGGGGAGGGCAGCAGGCCTGTAAGAGGGTGCCCCTGCTCCGTCTCAATGTGTGTGTATTATACATGTATTTCTTCGCTCTGCCCACTAAGAGGATCTAGAAGAAATGTCTCTGCACCAGCGATGAGAACAATCAGCCCCCAATCTTAGATTCTAAAGACCATTCTCCAAAAAAAAGACACAGGGCTCCTTGAAGAAAAGGCTGAATGAAGAGCTGGAGCAAGGGAAGAACAAGACGAGCCTGGAATATGTTGATAATACTGTAAAGTAGGAAAGTGTCCAAGGAATGTGCCATGTCACAGGACACACAAACCCCTATGAAGGGGCTCCCAATGGCCAAATCTGGGATAATTTGAGCCAGAAACTAAATAATGACAGCAATGCATTATATCTCATAGAATAAAATAAGAATCCATGAGCCCATATTGACATAAATAAATACTTTTTTTTGGGGGGGGGGGGACAGAGTCTCACTCTGTCGCCCAGGCTGAAGTGCAGTGGCACAGTCTCAGCTCACTGCAAGCTCCGCCTCCTGGGTTCACACCATTCTCCTGCCTCAGCCTCCCATACAGGCGCCTGTCACCACGCCCGGCTAATTATTTTTTTTGTATTTTTAGTAGAGACAGGGTTTCACTGTGTTAGCCAGAATGGTCTTGATCTCCTGACCTCGTGATCCACCAGTCTCAGCCTCCCAAAGTGCTGGGATTACAGGCGTGAGCCACCGCAACCGGCCAATAATTTTAAAGTAAATAAATAGGGGAGAAAGGGAGACTCATCCTTTCTGTACAATTTCAGTGAAGTGAGAGAATTAGAAAATCACCACGTAGAAAGCACCACAGTCATAATTGTTTCAGGTAAGAATCCTCAAAGGATGCTAAAAGTGTTGGGTGAATGTCTGATGAGGACCAGGATATTTATTTTCAAAGTGTCTCCTCATCAGATACTGCACTATTTGCAGAGGGGGAAAAAATAACTACAGTAATCAAGTAATCAAAGTGAATCTCACCAGAATGGATCAGTGTCCTGATATATGCATCAAAAATGCACAACCTACATCTAATCAGGAAGACCCATCAGACAAATCCAAAGTGAGGCATATTCTACACAATAGCAGGCCTGTACTCTTCAACAGTGTCATGGTCATGAAAGACAAAGAAAGACCAAAGAACCACTGCAGATGAAAGGAAAGGAAGAGAACAGGACAACTAAATGCAACGTGAGATCCTTGACTGGACCGGACCAGAACAAAAACATGAATGGGACAACTGACAAAATTGGAATATCTAAAGATTAGATGATAGCGTCATATCAACGTTGATTTCCTAATGTGGATCTCTGAACTCATTTTACTCACATCATTGTGATTGTGTAAGAGGTTTAAATTTGGGAAGTCTGAATAAAAGATATACAGTAATGTTTTCGTATTTTTTAAAGCTGGAAATGATTTCAAAATGAAAAGTTAAAAAAAAAAATCCAAGCACTACTCTTTTGTGGATAGACAATATGTCCATCTGGTTTTGAACTTGGTAATTTCATTTGAATGTGATAGTCCTGTATTTTACAGCACACTTCTAACCATGTTTTTACCCACCCAGAAGCTGAGAGTTCAGACTAGGTGATTAAATTCCATGATACACTCCACGGATGCAGTCATAGTCATAGGGCAATTAAAGGCACTCAGAAGCACTGGTGGGCCGGGTGCAGTGGCTCAAGCCTGTAATCCCAGCACTTTGGGAAGCCAAGGCAGGTGGATCACTTGAGGTCAGAAGTTCAAGACCAGCCTGGTCAACATGGTGAAACCCTGTCTATACTAAATATACAAAAATTAGCTGGGTGTGGTGGCAAGCGCCTGTAATCCCAGCTACTCGGGAGGCTGAGGCAGGCGAATGGGTTGAACCTGGGAGGCGAGGTTGCAGTGAGCCGAGATTGTGCCACTGCGCTCCAGCCTGGGCAACAAGAGCGAGACTTTGTCTCAAAAAAAAAAAGTGTTGGTGTTGGTGGAGCCTGGGAAGGAAAGCTAGAAGCGTATGAAAAAGAGACAAACAAAATTCTCGTCTTTTTTCCTTGCTGTCTTTTCTTCTGCCTTGCTGGCCACAATCAGCTTTAGAATGCAAGCCAACCCAGAAAAGATCCAGTCTCTTCAAAATACAGGTTTTATTTTGATTTTGTTTTGCTTTGTGTTTTGAGATGGAGTCTCACTCTGTCACCCAGGCTGGAGTGCAGTGGCGTGATCTTGGCTCACTGCAACCTCAGCCCCCCGGGTTCAAGCGACTCTCCTGCCTCAGCCTCCTGTGTAGCCAGGGCTACAGGTACCCACCACCATGCCTGGATAATTTTTGTATTTTTAGTAAAGACGGGGTTTTGCCATGTTGCCCAGGCTGGCCTCGAACTCCTGATCTCAGGTGATCCACCCACCTCAGCCTCCCAAAGTGCTGGGATTACAAGTGTGAGCCACTGCGCTCAGCCCAAAATACAGGTTGATCAAAGACACACCTGTGGTCTTAGATTCAGCCCACTAGTAGTAACTTCTGAGAGTGGCAGGGGGTGGGGCAGAGGATGTGGCTCCCAGACAGTCACCCCCAGTTGGAAAAATTTTGGTGACCTAAAGTCTATAGTCTGACAGGCAGATTCAGAGGTGTTTGAGAGGAGACTAAAAATCTGGCTGTTGGTAAAGGATAAAACTGATTCAGGTTCCTGGGCAGCTGCTCATCCTCACGTGGCCTTCAAAGCCAAGATGAGCGCATGTGAAACAAAGGAGCCCAGGAGCCAAGAGCGGATGGGCACCCTCCCCAGGCGTCTTGCTACACTGTTGGCATTTTCCTGCAAGCCTGCGTTTCTGCTAGGAGTTAGAGGCTTCAGAAGTTTATTCTTCATAGTCCCTTTCCTTGGAACAGAAGACCTGGTCACGCCACTCAATCTAAATGAAAATAGCTTTAAATTAAACCTGATATTTGATTTTTTTTTCTTCCCATGGGTTGTGTTGGCTGTGGGCTCAATTTGCATTGAATCTGATAGACCTATTCTAATATCCTTGCCTACCTGGAAAAAATTCAGCATACACTCATTCCTTTCCGAATCATTGAGAGACTAGGGGTATGACAAAATATAGCAGTTCCTCTACAGGTCATCTTAAGAATATTCATGTTTTTTAAATGTGAAATAAGCAGTGACGGGTGACACTGTGCATTTCTTACATTTTTAATACACCTCAGAGCTGCAAAGTGGAGCTGGTGGAAGTCATCCCTGCTGTATTCGTTTTCTCCTACAGAGAGAGAAAATCATTAGATTTTTGCTGGGGCAGGACATCCCATCTTTCTGTTTAGACCTTTAGACGCTGTGCATGTGCCTGGACTCCCAAGTAGGCGAGGTGACGCGCCCTCGCGGATCCAGCCTCCCAGGCTCAGCCTCTGTGCTTCCCCCCAGGTGAAATATGCAAAGATGCATGAGAAGTACTCATGGAAATGCCATTTGCACCAACTTCTAAATTTTCTTGTAGGTAAGGAAGCAAAATGGAAATGGGTGGATTTAAACATCAACTTGGAACACCTTCTCTTACCAATGCTAAACTTCTCCAGTAGAAAAGCTGTTTGGTCATATGCATATATGACTGGTTCCCACCTCCCACAGCCAGAGACTGCCTGCTGCCTGATCAAAAAAAGTGTCTAAAATGGAACCTTTTTGTCGTTGTTGTTAAATCTAAGACACCGAGATAGGGCACTCTTTCCCAGAAGGTCTTGCACAAATGGAGGGTCTTTAATGAATACTGATAAGTCTGAACATGAAATGAAAGATTAACAGCTATGTAAGCCAGTGACAGATGTTGCAAACCAGTACAGCACAGCCTCGTATGCCGTCAGCATCACTCCCGACAGCACTAAAGTAGAACAGCTCATTAATATAGAGAACATCTCCTGTCTTTCTTCTGCTTGAAAAGAGCCACTCAGTTTCCTCAACACCAGACTGGTTGTTTTAAACACTAGTTAGAATTTATTGTTTTGGCCTGGCCTTTTGGTGGGGAGCTTTATTGTTGAATTTAATTCGTACAAATCTCGTTATGTTTAAATTATTTTGCAGCAAAAACAAAAATGAAAGACAGTGCTAACGTGTACAAGCAATTTTCACTTATATTCTAAGACACAGAAAAATATCAGAAATGCATATAAATAGCATTTTTAAAGGTTTGACTCATCTAAACCAGGCAACAGTCATAAAAATAAAGCAAATTAGAGATAAGAAGACACAGAAGGGAAACTGCTCAGTGTCCACCAATCAGTAGAAAAGCCCTAATCAGAAATAGGAGTTCTGGAAAGCCAGGCCAGAACAAAGAACAGAAGGGCTGGGGGCAGTAGAACAAGATATTCTTTTGCCACGGTGAGATCAGGAAGTTCTCAGATAGACCACAGCTTAGATGTTGGTCCATTTTATTTTTCATCTCCTCTGGCAATACATATTATTTCAGAGAATGAACATTTTAAATTTGAATGGAGCTATGTCAAATGCAAACTCCTTTTTAATTGTCTCAAACCATAATTTATAGATATCTCAAAAGTTTAAATAAAAATAAGGATTGTGTGATTTTTCAAAAAAATGATGACCTACTTTGAAGAATCCCAAAATGCAAGGAATACACTAACTAAACCAGGTTAGTAAGGAAGCCTGTGTATTTTCAATGACAAAAGCAGCTCTCAGACATTTGTGTGGTGGTTTTCTGGTAATTAGGTATTTGAAGTTGAGTTAGGAAAGGATTGATCTAGACGCACAAGGAGAAAGAAAGCAGAGAACAGGAAAAATAAAGGGTTAGGCATATTATTATTTCAGCAATTCCTAGCTTGACCATTAATGTAATATGACATTTTTATTTTATTTATTTATTTATTTTGAGATGTTGTTTTGCTCTTATGTGGGCTGGAGGGCAATGGTGCAATCAGCTCACTGCAACCTCTGCCTCCTCGGTTCAAACAATTCTCGGGCCTCAGCCTCCTGAGTAGCTGGAACTACAGGGGCGCGCCACCATGCCCAGCTAATTTTTGTACTTTTAGTAGAGATGGGGTTTCACCATGTTGGGCAGGCTGGTCTCGAACTCCTGACCTCAGGTGATATACCCGTGTCAGCCTCCGAATATCATGTTATTCTTTTGCTTCATGGCATTCACCACAAACTATCATTATTCAGTTCATTTATCAGTCAGTTTATTCCCTTTCAGATGCAAGTTCTGTGTGATCAGAGAGCCAGCCTGCCACCTTCAAAGTTCTAAAGATAAAATTTGGCCCAGGGCCTAACACTCGGTAGACAGGCAAAGATAATTTTTTTAAATAAATAACAAGTACATGAATGAATGAATGAAATTCATAATCAATAATTCAATACAGAATCAGTAAGGAAAAAATTAATACATACATTAATGGAAAATGAAATTAGATTTTTTAAAATTTCATGCTCTTCCATTACAGGCAGTCCCATTATATAAAGGCTGGGGCCCGGCGCAGTAACTCAAGCCTGTAATCCCGGCACTTTGGGAGGCCAAGGCAGGTGGATCACTTGAGCTCAGGAGTTCAAGACCAGCCTAGACAACATGGGGAAACCCTGTCTCTACCAAAAATACAAAAAATTAGCCAGGTGTGGTGGTGTGCACCTGTGGTCCTAGCTACTTGGGAGGCAGAGGAGGGAGGATAACTTGATCATGGAAGGTGAAGGTTGCAGTGAGCTGAGATTGCACCACTGCACTCCAACCTGGGTGACAGAGTGAGACCCCATCTCAATAATAATAATAAAATAAAGCCTAAGTGGTCTCTAACATTCTATAACTGAGAACTGACTCCTTCCTGAGTCTCCCAGGGATCCATGGGACCTATAACATAGGCACACCCATCATCAATGCACGTGTTTAGGTGGCTTTGACTACTTTGGAGTCATCCTGCAGGCTTTTATCTGCTGCCATTTTTCTAAAGCTTCCATCTGATTTACAAAGGCTCTTAAACTAGAATTTGGGAAGGAGTCACTTAGAGAAAACATTTGCTTTACTTTCTTCTTCTCAATTTGCTGAGGAAGCATTTCTTAAAACTCTATGGGGAGAAAAATTTGCTCCTCAAAAGCCAGCTGGAACTGAAGAAAACGTTGTCTAAGAAAGTATTGATTGTCAGCAGAAGAGAGAGTTATGTGAGGGCAAGTTTAGTTTTTTATGATACAATTGATTTATTATTTTATTTTTATTTAGAGACAGGGTCTCACTCTGTCACCTAGGCTGGAGTGCAGTAGTATGATCATAGCTCACTATAACCTCAAACTCCTGAGCTCAAGCAATCTTCCCACCTCAGCCTCCCAAGTAGCTGGGACTTCAGGCATGCACCACCATGCCTAGCTAATTTTTGGTTTTAGAGATGGGGTCTCACTACGTTGCCCAGGCCAGTCTCAAACTCTTGGCCTGAAGGGATCCTCCTACCTTGGCCTCCCAAAGTGCTGGGATTATAGGTGTGAGCCACCATGCCAAGATGCCAAGCCTAATATATATATGTTTATTTTTATTTTTTTTTTTTAACAAAATCTCACTTCTTCGCCTAGGCTGGAGGGCAAAGGCACGATCTCAGCCCACTGCAACCTCTGCCTCTTGGGTTCAAGCACTTCTCCTGCCTCAGCCTCCCCAGTAGCTGTGATTACAGTCATGTACCACCATGCCTGGCTAAGTTTTGTGTCTTTGGTAGAGATGAGGTTTCACTCTGTTGGCCCGGCTGGTCTCGAACTCCTGACCTCAAGTGATCCACCCACCTCAGCTTCCCAAAGTGCTGGGATTACAGGCGTGAGCCACCGCGCCCAGCCCTTATGATATAATTTTAACCTCATTTTAGAAGTCGGGACTTAATGAGGACTGAAATCAGGACTTTGGGGCAGCTTGTATAATTACAGCTCCTATAATCCTTGTCAACATGATGGAACTACAAGACCCTCCTGATCTTTGAGTCTGTCACTATGAGCCACTTCCTGAAAGGAAGCTCCAGCTTCTACCTCCACTGGGAAGGCTCAAGTCATCTTTGGCCCCGAGGAGAAGCTAGGGATGCCAGTGTTCAGGCCCCCACAGCAGAGGCGGGCCTGTGTCAATATTGCAGGGAGAACCTGCTCTCTATCGCCAGACCTCCACAGTAAGGACAGGCACTCTCGGTGCTGATGAATTTGGAAATAGGAAAATTGGCACAATCTTAGAATGGGATCTTCATTTAATAAATGAGGACTTGGAACCCAGAGAGGTAAAGTGAATTCTACAAGATAAAATCATGGTAGAAAAATCGTGGCACAGCATATAGATTCTAAGCAGAGAGAAACTAAAGGTCATGTTTTAGGGTGCAACAAAGACATGTTAAGTCCTTCTGTCCAGTGCAATCTATGTTTCAGGAAACCCCCAGCCTGAAAGTTGTTCTCTGCAGGAGGGGTTATGGAGAAAAGACCACAGATTGCCCCTTTTGCTACTGCAGTACCCACAGACAGGAGACAAAAGGAGACGCCCGTGTAAAAGGAAATGCGGCTGGCATATTGCAGCAAGAACAGAAAGAAGTTCTAGCCATTGTACACATCTGAAAAGAACCCAGTGAGGGAGAGCAGCCCCTGGAATAACTGAAATAGAAATTAATGAAACCAGGACATTAAAATCTAAGCTTGATGTGACTGTGCTCAGATCTAGAGACGTTTCTGCACTTAGTAGAAAAACTCCAATATGTCGATAAAAGCATCCAGACTCTACCCTGCAGGGAACAGAGGAGAGGCGCGGCAGTGAGACACAGCCATGGCAACAGAGAGGAAGGTCCTGACCGGACATCTCAGAGATATCGCCTTCAGCCATTGCCAGCTAAGGCTTCATCAGGGATTCCCAACACCTGGAGCTATCACCTGCACAACAGTGAACCCCAGCGAACTGTGGGGGGGGCACCAGTTATAGAAACCGTATTGGCTGAGGGGTTTAGCAAACTGTACAAACTGTACAGTAACACATCCCACACCAAGGCTTCTGTCTCTGCAAATGAATCCCTTTAGAGAGTCCCACATTCCTGAAGAGTTGTTGGAGGTAGGCGTTAAATTTGCCAAGCTACCAATATAAATTTTATCAGCTCACAAGACTGGGGCCGCATAGAGGTCCCCATGGAGTCACACACTATGCAGAGACCTACCTGGAGACAGGCTGTTCCAGCCTGGGTGTGCAGCACATGACACACACTGCTCCACGGCTCTAAGAGTCAGGGAAACTGGGAAGGCAGATGTTTATATCCAGAAAAAGCATGAATTGTGGAGTTAGGCAGAACTGGGTCAGAATCCTGGGCCCTACCACTGATTGACCCTGGCTAAGTAAATTAAGTTGGTGTCTTAGTCACTTAGGCTGCCATAACAAAACACCAGGTATTAATACTAGCTTGAACAACAGGAATTTATTTCTCACAGTTCTGGAGGCTAGAAGTCCAAGATCAAGGTACCAGCAGGGTGTCTAGTGAGGACTCTCTCCTTGGGTTTGCAGATGGCTGCCTTCTTGGTGTGTGCTCACTTGGCCTTTTCTCAGTGTGTAAAGGTGGAAAGAGAAAGAAGAAGCTAGCTCTCTGGTGTCTCTTCTTTGGGCACTCATCTGATCATATCCATCCAGCCCTCATGCCTCATCTAAACTTCATTACTTCCCAAAAGCCCCATCTGCAAATACCATCACATTGGAGGGAGGATAGGGTTTCAACATATTAATGAGGGGAAGACACAATTCAGTCCATAGCAGTTGGCCTGTGAGTCAAGTGACTTTCTCCTTCCCAATCTGTGAAATAAAGACAGCACTGTTAAAAGAATTAAATAACCTACTCTACTGAAAAAGGCAGAAAGCTGTTAGCATAGTGCCTGGTTACATGGTAGGTACTCATATTCATTTTCTGACAGCTATCTAGACCATAAACCTGTGGACACTTCCCCCGATTTTTAAAATATTGCGATAAAATCTGCATAACATAAAATTTACCACGTTAGGCATTTTTAAGTGTACAATTTGGCAGTGTTAAATGTATTCACGATGTTGTACAACCAATCTCTAGAATTCTTCTCATCTTGCAAAATTGAAATTCTTACCCATGAACAACTTACCCATGAAAGAACTCCTCATTTCTCCCTTCCCTAAAATTTTTAATTAAAAGGAACAAATTAAAAAAAATCAAGAACTTTAATTGCTACTCTAACTAGCTGCTAAGAATCTTCTTTATTTATTTATTTTTTTGAGACGGAGTCTCTCTCTGTCGCCCAGGCTGGAGGGCAGTGGCGAAATCTCGGCTTACTGCAAGCTCCACCTCCCAGGTTCACGCCTTCTCCTGCCTCAGCCTCCCGAGCAGCTCGGACTACAGGCGCCTGCCACCACACCCGGCTAATTTTTTTGTATTTTTAGTAGAGACGGGGTTTCACTGTGTTAGCCAGGATGGTCTCGATCTCCTGACCTCATGATCCACCCGCCTCGGCCTCCGAAAGTGCTGGGATATAGGTGTGAGCCACCAAGCCCGGCAGAATCAGATTTTTCTAACAAACTAAATTCCAGATTTCTTAAAAAAGTAGATATCGTCCCGTCTCCACTAAAAAATACAGAAAAATTAGCCGGGCGTGGTGGCGGGAGCCTCTGGTCCCAGCTACTTTGGAGGCTGAGGCAGGAGAATGGCGTGAACCCAGGAGGTGGAGCTTGCAGTGAGCCGAGACTGCGCCACTGCACTCCAGCCTGGGCGACAGAGTGAGACTCCGTCTCAAAAAAATAAATAAATAAATAATATTTTTAAAAAGTAGATATTGTAGTTGCTTCACAATGAGAAATTCAAACTAAATTCCAGATTTTTTTTTTAAAGTAGATATCTTAACTGTTCCACAATGAGAAGTTCATGCAGGAACAAGCAATGAATTAAAACTGTCAATACAGAATGATTGATTTGGTAAAACTCTATCTTTAAAAGATTATGAGGGTTCAAAATTACCATATTATATTCAAACTCTGTCAAATGGAAGCCTACAGAGTCATTACAAAGGTTGTTTGCACGTCCAGCAAATACTTAGCAGGTCTATGTGAATGAGGCAGGAAAGAGAACAGGAAAGTTGTAAGGCAGGGTTTTCCAGACTTTCCTGATAATGATCACCCGAGATACTTGTTAAAACTACAAATTCCTGGGCCCCATCCCAGACCCACTGAATCAAAATCTCCAGATTGGATTTCAGATGTAATGTTCTAAAACAACAGTCTTCTAGAGGGTAAGAAATCTGTATCCAAGAAAAAGAGCTGCCCAATAATGCTGATGACGATATAAAGCAAGTACTTGAGGATGGTAGCTCCCATCTGTCAGGTTCTGAAAGGTGAACTTAAAGGTTTGTTCCAAGCACAGAGGCACATTTAGCCACAAATGAGGCACACTGCTAGGGGACACTGCTAGGGACACTTGGAACAAAATCAGGGATAGGGCACTATGGGATGTGGTAGACAGGAACTAAGAGCACAAGTCATGAACTAAGGGCACAAGAAATGAACTAAGAACACAGGGGGAGGTGGAAAGGCTTACACACGGCCATGTGTTCCTTTCAAAACATGATATGACTTGGAATCAGTTTATAATATCTTTGTATTTGTTTTTTGACAGTGATAATATCAGCAATTTAAGAAGTCAAGATGGAAACTGAAAACAAAAGCTAAGTAGCATGTCTTAGAGACCTGCCTGTGTTACCTGGGGCCTCTGGTGCAGGGAGCAGCCCCTATCGCAAGCAACTAGGCGGATAAAAAAAAGGAAGATCTCCAGGGTCCAGGGGATGCAGTGGGGACAGAGCATGGAGATGGAGAGAGAAACCAGGTCACAAGAGGAAGTTAGCTTTGGGTCTGAGTTGGGAGACCCAGATGTTTTGTGCCAGATGAAGCCTCCAGCCTTGTGTCCCCTGCCTGGCTCCCACTAATACCAGTCTAAGAGAACAGGCACTCATAGTCTTCTAACCTAATTATTCTATGCACAGTTACAAGTGAGGGTTTTAGTGCCAACATCGGCACCAATAATTCCTTACTCAGTATTATTTATTCTCTTTATTTTAATACCGCTGGCATCCATCAGAAAGAATACAAAAGAAACACTTCCTGGCAAAGTCCAATCAATGCTCTTAATTTGCTACAAGGTGAGTTTTTTTTATTTCTGCACATATCTTCCGCTTCTAATAGTCCAAGCATTGACTCACACACAATTCCTGTTGCTAGATTTCCCATGGCTTTCCTTTCTCATTGAAGGATTAATAGATTATGCTTAACCACAGTCGTTAAGAAGGCAGAGGTGTAGGTGGAAGAGGAAGTGCAGACTGTATTAAAACTATGTTAAAAAAAACTCCTTTGTCTCTATAAATCCTAGACTGAACCACGGGGCTCCAGACAAATCAGTCTGTCTCAATTCCCACCTCCTTCAGATCTGCAGTACTGAAGCAGAGTGCATCATTCTGAATTAACGCTATTCAAGTCAATGATGAAAAACACAAACAATTGTAAATCCCTTTTGAGATTGCAACATTCTACAAGAGCTGCTGCTGCTGCTGCTGCTGCTGCCGCTGCTGAATTGTGGTTCAACAGTAAAGTGAGAACTATTCAAGGTCAGAATATGAGTAAGGCAGGGAGGGAAGGCTGGAAAAGATAATTACATTTTTGAGGGTCCTTATGTTTTTAACACCATTAGATTCTCAAAAGGCCCAAACTTAAAGCACGTCTGTGGTTCCTTAAAATATATATGCTCTATTAAAGACTGTGGCAAGTTTTCAGCAAATACGTAGGAAGTGATCTATACCAAATAAAAGCAGATTTTTAGAGTATTACATTTCTCTGATAGGATGATCTTAGAAATTACCTCTCTAGAACTAAGGAATTCAAAGAACACATTTAAAGGCTAAGTTAGCCTTTCACACCTCCTAAGAGTAAGATTACACTTGAGGAAAGGATGGAGGATGGGAGGGAGGAAAGAGGAAGGAAAGGATGGAGGATCAGAGTACAATATTATCCTTAGTGCAAAGAAGAAATGTGATGACCAAGCTAACTTTTTAACAGCAGGCAGCATGTTATTGATCCAAGGCTTGCCAGCCATCCAAATTATTCTTTGGTCATTGTGTCTGAATAATAGAGATAGAAAACCATATTATCCATAGGAATGGAATATTTTATCTCAATCCCACATAGGAAATGTCTAGGTATAACACTACGGGAGAAGTACTGGGGAGAAATGAATCCAAATTTTGTGGTAATCAGGACAGAAGCTGAGCCTGTGCAAGCAATTGCTCACAAATCAATCCCATGGCAGTTATGGAGGCCTTCAGCTCCCCAGAGAGGGCCACAGTGATTGGGGAAGGTGTCCCCCGGGGGTGGTGGCGAGCACTCTGTGACGCAAGGGATCCCTGGGGTGTGGAAGATGTAGTAATAATGAAAATGCAGCAATTAACATTTACTAAGGACTTCCTATATTCCAGGCACTATGCTCAGGGCTTTACGTACATCATCTCATTAAACCCACACAATGAATGGGCTAATGCAATACACACATTATCTCATTTTACAGATTAAGAAACTATTAGCGGTGGAAGAGATCCAAGTTACCTGCGGCGTACCTGTACTGGTCAGAAGCAACTTCAGTCCTTGCCTCCTCAGAAGAAAGAATTCGACTGAGGGCCATAAAGCAGAATCCAGGACAGGAGTGGAAGTTTATTTAAAAAGCCTTTGGAACACGAAAGAGCGGGGCGCGGTGGCTCAAGCCTGTAATCCCAGCACTTTGGGAGGCCAAGGCGGGAGGATGACGAGGTCAGGAGATCGAGACCATCCTGGCTAACACGGTGGAACCCCGTCTCTACTAAAAAAAAAAATACAAAAAAATTAGCCGGGCGTGGTGGCGGGCGCCTGTAGCCCCAGCTACTCAGGAGGCTGAAGCAGGAGAATGGCGTGAACCCGGGAGGCGGAGCTTGCAGTGAGCCGACATCACGCCACTGCACTCCAGCCTGGGCGACAGAGCAAGACTCCGTCTCAAAAAAAAAAAAGAACAGGAAAGAAAGGAAAATTCGCTTGGAAGATACCCAAGCCGTCGCCTGAAGGTCCAAGAGAGAAGAGAGCAAAAAAGGGCCTTTAACCTTGATCCTAAAACTTTACAGGCTCACCTCTTTCCCATGATTCTTCCCTCAGCGTGGGTTTCCCGCATGCGCAATGCTTTCCTTAGCCTTTGGAATTGAGCACGCGCAGTGCGTTTAGGGAGTTACACGCATGCCCACCTGAGACTTTTTCCTTTTTCCTGTGGCGTGTACCCCGGAAAGTCATACTTTGCCATTTTATCTCTTAACACACATGCCCAAGAATCTGCTTCTCCCTGGGATCTGTATTCAGTTAACACTTTTAATGTCAAGGTTATGGACCATCAGGAGATTGTCTCTCCCTGGCTGCTGAATTATGATTTTTAGAGAGGCAATGCGATAACTGTGGAACTGTCATCCGACATTTCTAGTGCGTCGGGGGAGAGCCCACTCTTGCCTATCTACCTGTAACAAAACTAGGTTTTGGAGACAAAGAAACTTGTTCAAGATCACACAGCTAGCTATGAGCACAACTGTTCACGGCAGAACTTGCTGGACCTTCTTAATAGTAGAGCGTCAAAGCTCTGAAATTCCGCCATTTGAACTCTATGTTCCAGTCCAACAAGACTGTTGCATCCCCCCCACCCCCACTTCCGCCACCACACCATTCAGAAGAGTCTCCCCCCATCTCACCATGGCTGCTCAGCCTTTATTCACCGTTCAATTTCAGCTCAAAGCCTTCCCCCTCTGTAAATATCCTCCTTGGTATTCCCATTGTTTCTTTCTCTTCCCTGTAACAGAACTTAGCTCCCAGCACTGGGAGTGCCTGATTATTTGTAATGTCCCTCCAGAAGACTCTACCCTCTTCGGAAGGCACAGATCTTACCTATGCTGCTCCCCTTTGCACCCATGGTACGTGGCACCGGGTCTGATGCAGAGCAAATGCTCAAAACTATTTCTGGAATGAATGAGTCATCTAACTCCTCCATTTACTGTTGAGGAAGTGAACATTCAGAAAGGCTGTGTTGATTGCCCAATGCCACACAGGAAGCAGGAGCACAGGTATAATAAGTCAAAAGCCAGGTCTCGGACTGGGAGTGGTGGTTCACACTTACAGTCTCAGCACTTTGGGAAGCTAAGGGAGGAGGCTTGCTTGAGCCCAGGAGTTTGAGACCACCCTGGGTAACATAGTGAGACCTCGTGTCTACAAAAAAATTAAAATAGCTGGATGTGGTGGCGTGCACATGTGGCCCCAGACACTCCAGAGGCTGAATCAGGAGGATCCCTTAAGCTCAGGAGAGTGAGGCTACAGTGAGCCGTGATCACGCCATTGCACTTCAGCCAGATCTCCTACTTCCTAGAGAGAGCTCTTTCTACTTTGCCAACGTCACTCTCAGCTAGAATGTTCCAGTTCTGTTCTCTACCATCTCCATCCTCTCATCCTTACAGCCCCAGCTCCTGTTTCCTCCTCACTCACACTGACTTCAGCAGACCCACTGAAGGTCAAAAGCATTCGTTACGCAATTTACCACCTAACACCTTGTGTTCAAAATTCCACTGTTGTTTCCAATCGCCTTTTACATCTTGCCCAACCATGTTTAATGCTCTCCAGTATCCTCAGCAGCACCCACACTTTGCTTTGTAGCCTGTAGCAGGGGCTCAGGTCAATGTTAATTTGATTTTGCAGTGCCACACAGAGCACAGGTGACCCTTGCTTTTTCATAGGGTATTAACAGTGAAACAATAAACGATAGTCCACACCCCAAGATAGCCAGAGAAGACCAAAGAGATTCTCATTCCCCATTCATGTCACAATTCTAACAATGCCAAAACTTAATACCCAGCAATCTTATTCCTAGTGGGCCAATGTTTCCTGATGCCTGTCTCCTCCCCCACTGTATATATTGATTCAATGAAAGGCCCCAGCTACCTCCATTATTCATGCTCCTCACTTTCCCTGCCTGTTAGCTATTCTCCAAATCGAGCTATTCAAACCAATTCATCAGATTACCTCCGGAAACATTACAGGCTGGTCAAGGGATGAGAGCAAATAACAAACACTAAGATTGCAAAGCCATTCTTGAACAGTGTGCTAAAGGCAGAAAATTGAACATAGAGGAGAGACAGCAAGAGCTTCAAGGAAGCCATTGAAATGTCCTCAGATGCCAACAGACAGGAAAATGTGGCAGAGAGGAAAGTCACTGGGGCGTACAACCCACCAAACCATCACTCTGATTTGAAGTCAAGAAAAATAAGGGGAAAGTACAGTCTACTAGATTTACATGGTTCCCCAAAGGAGAGCATATTAAAATATATTATTAAACCATTTTTAAAATCTGGTTTCAGGAGAAAAACCTTGGCCCAGTGTTATTCCTCATTTACACAGTAAATACATTCATTCATCATTCATCCTCCCCATCTCTTCGAATTCTATGAAGTGCTGCCTACTTCATCTCAAAATATCTATGCTTGCAGAAGAATGTGCAGTTTAAGCACAAAAGCTGTAAAATGCCACAAGAGTAATATCAAAAATCAGCTTAAGAACTTAACGCAATAAGACAAAAGACCAATAAATCTCAAGTATGAGTGTGTGCATATTTTAATAAAAGAATTCCTGAGTACAGCATTACAGTTGGGCTTGCCACATAGAAGATATTTTCCAGTATCCTATGTTCATAATTGCAATAAAAGGTCTTATTGTAAATGCTATGGTCAGGAATTTGAGGGGGGTGGGGGGGCACATCTTAGGTTAAGGAGTTTTATTAAGGAAGGTAACCTGTAGTTGCCCAGGAAAATTGATCATTGATTTTCCTGCTCAAATCGTGAATTTGAAGTTAGGCAGTCGAGTCTTACCTTTTTACATCATTTTTCTTTTCTTTTTTTGTTTTATTTTTGAGATAGCGTCTCACTCTGTCACCCAGGCTGAAGTGCAGTGGTACGATTAGAGCCCACTGCAGCCTCCAGCTTCTGGGCTCAAGTGATCCTCCTGCCTCAGTCACCTGAATACCTGAGACTATAGGTATGCACCACCATGCCCAGCTGATTTTTAAAATTTTTGTACAGGTGGGGTTTTACTATATTACTAAGGCTAGTCTCAAACTCCTGGCCTCAAGTGATCCTCCCACCTAGACCTCCCAAACTGCTGGAATTATAGGTGTAAGCCTCCACATCCAGCCCTTTATAATACTTTTTAGGGAATTTTGGCTTTTAAAAATGGTTATTGCATAGAAAGATCCTCTCTTCTTTTATTTCTCTGCTCCCTACTCCCCTTTTAAACTTGAAAAAAAAAAAACAAAGTATTTACGTTGATATTCATTCACACACTTGTCTAAGTCCTTAGGGATATTCAGATGAACCTTCTGGTGTTAGGGAAAATAACACTTTCTTCCAAGCCTTTCCTTGAAAAACACAAATTTCCATTCCACATTGCAGCAGGTGATGAGACAAGATGGTGGCACCTTAGCTCATGTAGGCAATGGAGATGAGAGACTATCATTGGTCTGACGTGGCTGAAAGGCTGCCTGACAGCAGGACCTTGGGTCAGATGGCTCTCCAGTGACCTGACTCTGCTGTCCTGCATCCCCAAGTGGAGGGGACAGAATTAGAGCAAAAGCTATTTACAGACAAACACTACTGTAATGTCCTATCAGATGACTTTCATGCGCGTCCGTGTGAAGAAACCACCAAACAGGCTTTGTGTGAGCAATGAAAGCTTTTAATCACCTGGGTGCAGGCGGGCTGAGTCTGAAAAGAGAGTCAGCAAAGGCTGGTGGATTATCATTAGTTCTTATAGGTTTTGGACTAGGCGGTGAAGTTAAGAGCAATGTTTTGCAGGCAGGGGTGGATCTCACAAAGTACATTCTCAAGGGTGGAGAGAATTACAAAGAACCTTCTTAAGGGTGGGGGAGATTACAAAGTACATTGATCAGTTAGGGAGGGGCAGAAACAAATCACAATGGTGGAATGTCATCAGTTAAGGCTATTTTTTACTTCTTTTGTGGATCTTCAGTTACTTCAGGCCATCTGGATGTATACGTGCAAGTCACAGGGGATGCGATGGCTTGGCTTGTGCTCAGAGGCCTGACAATGACAACATTGTCCACGAATAGAGGGAGAGACAAAATAAACAAAGGATTTTCTGCCACTCCTGAAATCGTAAGTCAATGATCTGCACATTAGTATAAGATCTGGATGAGATATTTAATCCCCACTTTCTGTGATTAGAAACATACCCATACACACATACGCATCCCCTTAACTCTTAAAACAATAGAACCATGCTTAGAATGCCACCTTCTATCCCTAGAAAGTCTAGGCAAGAACAACCGAGCCAGTGTAGGCACACAGGAAAAAGCCTTTGAAAGGAAGTCACACCATCAAAAGCCTTCATAGACCCATTGGATAGCACTAAAGGCAGCAAGTTTTGTTTGTTTGTTTTGTTTTGTGTTTTTGTTTGTTTGTTTTGAGACAGAGTTTTACTCTTGTTGCCCAGGCTGGAGTGCATTGGCACGATCTCGGCTCACTGCAACCTGTGCCTCCCGGGTTCAAGCACTTCTCCTGCTTCAGCCTCCCCAGTAGCTGGGATTACAGGCGCCTGCCACTGTCAGGCCTCTGAGCCCAAGCTAAGCCATCATGTCCCCTGTGACCTGCACGTATACATCCAGATGGCCTGAAGTAACTGAAGAATTACAAAAGAAGTGAAAATGGCCTGTTCCTGCCTTAATTGATGACATTCCACCACAAAAGAAGTGAAAATGGCTGGTCCCTGCCTTAACTGATGACACTACCTTGTGAAATTCCTTCTCCCGGCTCATCCTGGCTCAAAGGCTCCCCCACTGAGCACCTTGTGACCCCCACCCCTGCCAACCAGAGAACAACACCCTTTGACTGTAATTTTCCTTTACCTACCCAAATCCTATAAAACGGCCCCACCCCTATCTCCCTTCGCTGCCTCTCTTTTCAGACTCAGCCCGCCTGCACCCAGGTGAAATAAACAGCCTCGTTGCTCACACAAAGCCTGTTTGGTGGTCTCTTCACACGGACGTGAGTGAAAGCCACCATGCCCAGCTAATTTTTTGTATTTTTAGTAGAGACAGGGTTTCATCATCTTGGTCAGGCTGATCTCAAACTCCTGACCTCAGGTGATCCGCCCACCTTGGCCTCCCAAAGTGCTGGGATTACAGGCGTGAGCCACCGTACCTGGCCAGGCAGAAAGTTTAAAATTGGATTTTAATGCTATTTAGGAAATGAAGAGTAAGGTGTGTAAAATGAAAATAAATCTTGGGACCCCAGAATCACTAGGCGAAGGGAAAAGTCATGTTGGGAACTATGGCAGGCAAACCTGCCTCCTATTTTACTCCTAAATAAGACTGCTAGAAAGATAAAAAGCTGCATGCCTCCCTCACAGTTTGCCCACAAAGGACAAAGGACAGACAGAACTCAAAGTGATTTCTCTGAGGCCTGCCTGAGGCAAATGCATATCTGATAGCTTCCTCTGCCCTATTGTTTTTGTAAAAATGCAGATTCACTGAACCAGACTACGTTGTGTATTCAGTAGAGGGTTGATCAAGAACTCAAAAGAATGCAATCTCTTGTCTCTTATCTACCTATGACCTGCAAACTCCCTGCTTCAAGTTGTCCCACCTCACTGGATTGAACCAATGTACATCTTACACATATTGATTGATGTTTCACGTCTCCCTACAATGTATAAAAAAAACTGTGCCCCAACCACCTTGGGCACATGTCATCAGAACCTCCGAGGCTGTGTCACAGGTACGTCCTTAACCTTGGCCAAAAAATCTTTCTAAATTGACTGATACCTATCTCAGATATTTGGAGTTCACAGGTGCAGTGCCCCCACAGAGTCACTCTGGGCCACAGGAAAGATCTGAGTGGCAGGTTTGTAATAAATAATATTCATTTTCTTTCTTAGATTTCAAAGTGCATCATCACCGTGTGTGCGTGGCTGAGAAACAACGCAGCGCTGTCTACCAATTCCCTCTGGGCTCATAAGCAAGTGCTTGTTTACAGGAAAAGAAAAAGTGGCTCTTTAGCGACTTATATTGATGAAATGAGCCATACTAAGTGTATCATTGATCAATTTCCTGACAGCTCCAAATCAAAAGGTCAGAACCAAAGAGAGAAGGAAGCTGGCTGGGGAAAAGCCAAGCAGAACTGACCCAGGTGCTAAGCGCGAAGTCATTATCTCTCTGGATTCCCTACAGTGAGGAAACAGAATCCCATTTGTCACCTCCTGGCACTTATTTCTGGACTCATAGATGTTTGTCACCAAAAGGATGCTGAACAGTCTCTAGTCCCTCTGTATCATTTTGTTAAGGAGGAAGCTGAGCTCCAAGTAGAATTTGGGATTTCTATGAATTTCTCATAGTCTTAACAGGCAACGACTAAGTGACAGAGCCCAGGGGTCCTGGGTTTCAGCATGTGCCGTGCATAGCAACAGGGAGAGCAGAGGTGTCAGGGGAGAGAAATGAGCCCCAGTCTCATCATGTGGCAGTAATTGGGGATGCACCTTTTCTTATATTAATAGAGATGAACAAACACTGCTCCAGCACATTCACATTTGAATCTTCCTGAAAACCGTGCTTTCCCATTTTGCAGATGCAGAAACTGAGGCTCCAAGAGCAGAAGTGACACCGAAGTCACCTAGCCCGTAAGTGACCCTAAATTTTATGCTGCTGCTTCCCTTTTCTTGTGTGTCCCTTATTTCAAGAAATAGACCCAAGGTGCAGGTCCATTTCCTACCTAGACATGCAAACCTGACAGAGACAAAAAAAAAAAAAAAAAAGAAAGAAAACCAACAGAAAGCACTTTATATCTATTCTTGACCAGCCATAGTGAGGCTGGCCCATCACACACACACACACACACATTCACTTAACTGTTAAAACAATTTAACAATATTTAGAATGCTTGTCGTACAACAATTTCCTAAATGAAGGTCAATACTTACTATAGTATAAATTGAAGTGAAATTCTTCAAGGAACGACATGATTCCATTCTGATTCAAAGACTATTGCTACTGCCACATGTTTCTTTAACCTTTAAGAATGTCTTATTTTTTTGTTTTGTTTTGTTTTGTTTGAGACCGAGTTTTGCTCTTGTTGCCCAGGCTGGAGTGCAATGGTGCAATCTCGGCTCACCGCAACCTCTGCCTCCCAGGTTCAAGCGATGCTCTTGCCTCAGCCTCCCTAGTAGCTGGGATTACAGGCATGTGCCACCATGCCCGGCTAATTTTGTATTTTTAGTAGAGACGGGGTTTCTCCACGTTGGTCAGGCTGGTCTCGAATTCCCGACCTCAGGTGATCAACCCACCTCAACCTCCCAAAGTGCTGGGATTAGAGGCATGAGCCACTGCGCACGGCCAGGAATGTCTTAAACTCACATTCTTTGGTAGAAGAAAAGATTAAGCTGCTATCATTCCTGCATTCCACTGGCAAGTGTCCATACTTTAACCTTTCTTTTCAAGTTATGGCTCATCTCAACTTCCCTGGCTTTTCCTGTTGGAAATGAAAGTCTGACTCTAGGCAAGCTAGAAGCACTGGTGTGTAGCACGTTTGCAGCCTCTTTGCTCCAGAGCAGAGAATTAAAACTGTCAGATGCAGCCCCTGTGAGGCCAGTTCCCGGACGCTGGCCAGGACAGCAGCAGTAATTATGAACCAGGGCGCCTGGTCTCAAAGTTGTGCTCAGAGCAGATTTATATCATGTAAATGATTGTTCTAATAAAGAGATTGGTACATTAGCCAAAACTCAAGGACATGCAAAATGTATTAGGCAATTTATAGTCCAACAAGTTTCCTGTGGCGAAGGCAGTAGAGAAACATTCCCAAAATGAATGTCATTTTAATTCTTAATCTAAAAAGAATTATAACCACAGCTGGTTTTCCCCACTAAAATTAATTCTGCATTATCATCTATAATGGAGCAGGACACTAGAAATCTGTGATGACCTTCTGTCCCTGTTGACATCAAGAGTTCAGCACCTGCTCAACACTGCAATCACACCTCTCAAATGTACAAAAGTTGCATTGATTCCTTGGAATTATATAAGCCTAGGGATCTGGCATCATCATTTAGACTCCTTCAGTATATGTTCGATCTATAATAATTGCCACGGTTAAAAAGAATCTTCAATGCTTGTATATTTTTAACTGCATTTAAAATAAAAAGGAAATGGAAAAATATTTTATTACCTGCAGAAACATGATTCCAAGTAACTGCAGTGTTATTAAAAATGGTGCAATAAAATTCATAGTAAAAAAACATAATTACCAAAAGAAAAAAAATTGGGCATGGTGGTGTGTGAGTCTGCCATCCCAGCTACTTGGTAGGCTGAAGCAGGAGGATTCCTTGAGTCTAGGAGTTCAAGCTGTAGTGTGCTATGATCATACCAGTGAATAGCAACTACTGCAGCCTGGGCAACATAGCAAGACCCTGTCTCTATAAAAAAAAATTAATTACAGTAATATAAACATTCAAGTTTTTTAATTTAAAAAAAGAGGCACAGAAGTTAATACAGGTGATAGTGGCTTCTGCTGGTAGAAATTACCAATAGTAGATGATACTCAAGAGCTTTTTGTGTTCTACTCTGCAGAGAATTGTCTATCATCAAGGCTGCTACTGGCCTCTCTAGGAGCTTTTGTGTCCACAGAAAAAGATGTTCCTCTGGCCTGCCACAGCCTGCGGAAATGTTTGCCCTAGGTGGCAGAGTGCCAGCTGAGTGTCAGCCCACAGATGAAGGAGCCTTCAACTTAGGCCAGAACTTTGTGCAGAATGCAAAATATGCACCCCTCTGCTGGCCCTGTCTGTGGAAGTAAAGAAGTTAAGAAACAGATCAATAAATGATGGTCTATTCACATGATGAAATACTAGGAAGTCATCAAAATTATGTTTTAAAAAATATTTAATAGCCAGGCGTGGTGGCAGGCACCTGTAATCCCAGCTACTCAGGAGGCTGAGGCAGAGAATTGCTTGAACCCAGGAGGTGGAGGTTGCAGTGAGCCGAGATCGCGCCACTGCGCTCCAGCCTGGGTGACAGAGCAAGACTCCATCTCAAAAAAAAAAAAAAAAAAAAAGAATATTTAAATATTTAAATCATTTAACTAATGATTTTGCTATTGATACACGTCTGCATTTGAAAAATTTTCTTCAATGGGCAGGAATTATTCCTATAATAAAATAAATTATATATAATTTTTAAAATCTATGATTCTATCTGCTTTTCAGTCAAGGAAGTAATACCACCTTGTTACTTATGTTAAGCCATATTCTTTCCACTTAAGGACACGTGGGGATGTTAAAGCCATAAGAAAGCAATTGATTATTTCTCCAAGGCCGTGATCTCCTTAAGGATGTGCAAGTAACATATGGTGGTTTAAAAAGAAAAAAATTGCAGCTTAAAGTAGGAGGTAAGGGTTTGAATTCTACTTCCAGTAGCCATTAGGATATGACCTTGGAAAACTACTTAATGTCTTTGATTCTGTTTCACCTTTTATACAATGGGGTTAATCTGCCTATCTTAAAGACTGCACTGAGCATAAAATGAACTCATGGAACCATAGCATAGGAACTGGCACTTAATAGGTACATAATAATTGCAGTCTTATTACAGTGATCTTGTATACGTCACACATCCCCTAGCCCACTGCCTTGCACATATTAGGGGCAGAATAAATGATATGATCAATGGCTTGCGTTACACTTTGAGGAAGTCTGGCAGTTTCAGGAAATCTAAAATGTTATATAGCTGGGTAAGCCCTACAGAAGTGGCCTTATTAGAACAGACCCTAGGTTGTGTTAGTGAGCACAGAGCCTCTCTCACAGATCATTTCTCTACTACCTGTGTGTTTGGGCACTTGTTACGTGTGCTGATATATGGTTTCAACCTCCTGGGGCTCTTCGCCTTTCATGGGTGAACCTTTAAAGCACGGTTCTCTCTATGTGGGAAAGGAAACTCAGAGCTTATGAACGAACCTGGACTTGAAGCCTTATAGCAATCTCCAAGGCCAGCACTTATACTAACCGAATTAATACGAGAGGGACCTCCACTGGAAACTCAACTGAATAGGCAGATTTAACAGGGGAAGGACCTTTGTAGTGGTGCCAGGAGGGTATAAAATATTGGGCCTGCCTCTCCCTCAGAAGGCAGAATTAGAGGATGTGTATCATGTGGTCAGGAAGCGCAGACAGCAAGACTTAGGAAAAGCTAGGTAAGCTGTTCAGGGCCATAAAATGGCTTTTGTAGCTCAAGAAATTCCAGGGCTAGTATTTAAATTATTTCTTTTTTTTTTTTTTTTTTTAAGATGGAGTCTGGCTCTGTCACCCAGGCTGGAGTGCAGTGGGGCAATCTCGGCTCACTGCAAGCTCTGCCTCCCGGTTCGCGCCATTCTCCTGCCTCAGCCTCCCGAGTAGCTGGGACTACAGGCGCCCGCCACCACGCCCGGCTAATTTCTTGTATTTTTAGTAGAGACGGGGTTTCACCATTCAAAGGATGGTCTCGATCTGACCTTGTGATCTGCCCGCCTTAGCCTCCCAAAGTGCTGGGATTACAGGCGTGAGCCACCGTGCCTGGCCTTAAATTATTTCTGTGCTTCTACTTAGATAGGTAGACTCAGACATTTTACCGTAGAATCCTAGCAATTTTTATATCATTCCTGTGTTCTCTCTTTTCCAGTCATTTTTGCTTATGTTCATTTTTGCTTATCTTTGTTTTTTAAAATATCAGCTTATCTGAAAAAGAGTGATTAGCATTACCGGCCATGAGCAGAGCTATTCCCCCAGACCATCCTGACATCCTTTATCATGGAGTAAATTATAGATAAGGAGGCCACTTCCCCCAGGAAAGGGATGTGTCAGGACAGGCAGGGTTAGGTTCACTGTAAACCTAATGAAGTCAAGTGAGGCCAGGCACGGTGGCTCACGCCTGTAATCCCAACAGTTTGGGAGGCCAAGGTGGGAGGGTCACCTGAGGTCAAGGGTTCGAGACCAGCCTGGCCAACATGGCTGAACCCCGACTCTACTAAAAATACAAAAATTAGCTGGGCATGGAGACAGGCATCTGTAATCCCAGCTACTTGGGAGGCTGAGGCAGGAGAATCGCTTGAACCTGGGAGGCAGAGATTGCAGTGAACCAAGATCGCACCACTGCACTCCAGCCTGGGCGACAGAGGGAGACTCTGTCTCAAAAAAATAAATTAAAAAATAAAGTGAAAGGGCCTCTCACTTACCTGCAACCCTCCCTTTACAAAATTCTGTATGATGAATGTATTTGCTTTCCTGCACATAAGGATCCCAAACTTCATAAACTCCAAGCCCCACAGCTCTGGATCTACCACTGGTGACCCAGCAAATCAAATGACAGCGACAAAGGACAGACTGGCGGAGGCTTTGGGGTCTGTCCCCTCGAGGGGGTCTGGTTTCTGCTGGAAAGTTTTGGCATTGCTTTAAGGGTTTCGAGCTGTTCCTGTACAAACCCCAACACAGCGAGAGGTTATTACTGGATTTGTATGATTTTATCTATTGATGATTGATATCTGAACAAAGCAAAAAAGGTTTCTTTGGTGTCGGGTGCAACACTGATTCAGGCCATCCTCAAGATAACATGAAGCAGGACTGGAGTCTCAAATAACAACCTCTCCCTAAGCAGCACTGAAGAAGCCTAAAAAAGGAAAACAAGAAAAGGAAGGCAGTGCCTCCAGGAGCCCAGCGCTCTTTGATTATAACCCACTGAAGCCACCTGCGTCCTTAAGAGGAGCGGGTGCTCAGGTGGACAGCTGACTCTTTAGAAACTGGGCCTCGTGGGTGGCACGGGACACTCCGTTGCTGGCGTATCATTTGCTCTTCCCCACATGGGCAATACTGTGGTGGGTCTGTATGGTGGGGAATGAGGGAAGGGCTGGTAAATATCTTAGAATAACAAACAAACAAAACCCTGTACGGGATTTCTCAAAACACTAAGCCTTTGTTTTCATTGATTCATTGATTGATTGATTGATTTTTTTTTTTTTCTCTAGAGAGAGAGTCTTGCTCTGTCACCCAGGATGGAGTGCAGTGGTGTAATCTCAGTTCACTGCAGCCTTCAACTCCTGGGCTCAGGGGCACTGATTTATTAACATGCTCTTGGCTTTGGAATATTCTGAGAAACTCTTAGCTCTGCCTTTTACCATTCTAGCTGTAGCATTAAGAAGAGGGTCTTATCGAAGAAAAAAAAAAGCAGACTAAAGGGTAAAGTTGGTTTTTGTTTTTTAGAGATGGGGTCTTGCTTTGTTGCTACAAGTATATGCCACCATGCCTGGCTAATTTTTTTTTTTTTTTTTTTTTTTTTGTGGAGACAGGATCTTGCTATGTTGCCCAGGCTGGGCTAAAAGTTTTCATATTCAATAGTATTACAACTAAATATTTTTTGTACCCAAGAAGAAAATACATTAAAACACTAACAATAGTGGTATTAGACGGTGGGTTTTTAATTTTCTAAATGTTCTTCAATATGCATGTATGACTTTATAACATAAAAGGGACATCATATACTTGGAAGGGGTGCATTTTATTAGTGATTTTGTCCCCAGCACTTAGCCTACTGGAAAGCAACCAATACATACTGTTTGAAATGAATAATCCATATGTAAATGAGTTATTGGCCTTCTTAACAGCACTTAGTGGAATCCACTGAAGTTGCAAGACCAGCCTGGATAAAAGACAGCTGCAGCTCTCCTCACACTATTTTAATTAACCTTTCCTCCATCTAATTATTTTTGTGACCAGGGGGTCCAGTAAAAAGGTAAAAACCTGCAGACTATACCATGATGCCGCTTTAAGTGACAATAACAAAATTCACGGTTTTCTAAAACTGCTAGGGTATTTTGAATGACCCTGGTTCTTATGCTAAGTTGATGTTTAATTCTTCAGCTTTAAAAACATTATTATTAATCATTTGCACAACAGAAAAATATGCCTCTTGTTTCAACCAGATAGGTCAGTCAGTAATCAACTTAAGCCAAGTCAGTGACATTAAAATTCTGTTTTAATTCCGACCACCTGAGGGTCCTCTCCATGAGATGCTTTGGCCTGGTCAAACTTGTGTAGTTATGTTAAATACTGGATCCTGCGAAGAGAGGGAAACACCTGTCTTGGGGTGGGAGGGTGGAGACAAGCTGGCACGAGGCTTATTCAGTTTTCCTTATCTTGCTAAGATCAATGGAGGTCACCACCCTGGTGATGTGGAGCCCATGCCAACCTCCACTGCTTTTTTTTTTTTTTTTTTTTTGAGGTGGAGTGTCCCTCCGTCGCCCAGGCTGGTGTGCAGTGGCACGATCTTGGTTCATTGCAACCTCCACCACCTGGGTTCAAGCGATTCTCCTGCCTCAGCCTCCCGAGTAGCTGGGATTACAGGCATCTGCCGCTGAGGCCGGCTAATTTTTGTATTTTTGGTAGAGATGGGGTTTTGCCATGTTGCCCAGGGTGGACTCGAACTCCTGAGCTCAGGCAATCTGCTGGCCTCGGCCTCCCAAAACGCTGGGATTACAGGTGTGAGCCACTGTGCCCGACCCTCTCAAGCTCTTTTTAATCTGTTTGCCTCCTCTTGTTCTGTTAGTCCTCTCCTCACACCTTTCTCCCTCCCAGCGGCTCCTCTGCCTTGAGTTGGTTTCTCTCTGCTTCTGCCTTAGGCCTGGTGCTTATGGTTGGTGTGTGGCCCCTGTAGTTCCCTGCAAGCCACACACCAAAAATCTACAGTCCAGGTGAAGAGCCATGCAGTTGAAAACATCTCTATGGTAAATTCGGGGACTTGGCTGGATCTTGTTTATTCTGATCAAACCACAGAATGCCTAAAGCAGCTCCTGGTTTTGATCGGAGGCACTTGCAGCCAACAGGTTGCCTAAGCAAAGCCAGCCAGTTTATGGCAGCATTGACTGGGAGCCCAATGGGAGCCCTAGGGAGCTGGTTCCTTCTGTACCAAGTAATGAGCAACTGACATCATCCATGGGTGACTCTGGAAAATCTCAGGCTCTCTCTGGTGGTTTAGCAACTGCTCAGGTCCCTCAAGGTGATGTTTAATAGCTTTTTTCAGCAACAGGGGCCGTCTGCCATAGATACGGAAAGGCACTATTTATTAGGATGCTTGTTAAATGAAGTGCTGATAATCAAGAACTCATAGTAGGACAAAGCTGACTGTATTTTCTAAAACACTCATAAAATATCCAGAACCTCATGCTGTTGCAAAATCCTGCAGTTCTCCGATCAACAGATGGAGTCTTGGCCGGGTTGAGGCTCACGCCTGTAATCTCAGCACTTTGGGAGGCCAAGATGGGAGGATTGCTTCAGGCCAGGAGTTTGAGACCAGCCTAGGCAACTTAGGGAAACCCCATCTCTACAAAAAATTTAAAAATTAGTCGAGCATGGTGGTGCACACCTATACTCCCAACTACTCAGGAGGCTGAGGAGGCAGGATTGCTTGGGCCTGGGAGGTCAAGGTTGCAGTGAGCCATGATCAGACCACTGCACTCCAGCCTAGGAAACAGAGTGAAATCCTGTCTTTAAAAAAAAAAAAAAGAAAAGAAAAGAAAAAGAAAAAAGAGTTGGAGTCTACATCCTCTCGCCTTTATCTGGGCAGGCCTTTGCGACCTCTGAGGGTGGGTCAGAAAAGGCTGAGGGTTCTCTCTCACGTCCTCTCTCCCTCTTTCTTTCTCCATGTGCCTCTGGAGCTCTAAGCTGCCACAGAAGAAGCCATACTACTCTCACATGCAGCGACAGAGAGACAGAGAGAGATGTTAGACATGTGAGAGAGTGAGTCTTAATGTGATTCCAGTCCCAGTTGCTGTCTGACTGCAGCTGCATGAGAAACCCCAGTAAGGGCTGGAGGTGAGAACAAGGCACACACATTGTGGCTTGTGGAGAAGGGGATGATGGGCTGGGGTGAAAGTTGTCTTCACAGAGGAGTTACAACTTGAATTGGGTCTTGAGAGATGAATAAGAGCCCACCAGAAAAACAAAGGAAGAGGCTCTCTGGGTAGACATAGCAGCCTATGAGGCTACATATGAGGGGTGCAACAGCCACCAGAAGATGCAAGGTTTCCTGGGGTTGGAAATAAAGGACTTCATCTGCAGAGTTAGGAAGAGACATCAGCAAAAGGAAGCACCACGTGATATTCTTTTTTTTTTTTTTGAGAGATAGAGTCTTGCTCTGTCACCCAGGCTGGAGTGCAATGACATGATCATAGCCCACTGCAGCCTCAAATTCCTGGGCTCAAATGATCCTCTCACCTCAGCCTCCAGAATAGTTAGGACCACAAGTATCCACCAGCATACCTGGATAATTTTTTTTTTTTAATATTTTAGTCGAGACGGGGGGTCTCACTTTGTTTCCCAGGCTGGTCTCGAACTCCTGGGCTCAAGCAATCCTCTCATCTTAGCCTCCCAAGATGCCGGGATTACAGACGTGAGCCACCACGCCCTGCCAAAATCTGATTTTCATTTGAGAAAGCTCATCCTGACTGCAGAGGAAAGGGCGAGGTCGGAGTGGGGGGTGGCAGAAATATAGGCAATGCTGTGGAAATAGTCCAGGTGAGAGAGGATAAAAGTACCAAATTAAGGCCGGGTGCGGTGGCTCAGGCCTGTAATCCCAGCACTTTGGGAGGCCGAGGAGGGTGGATCACGAGGTCAGGAGATCGAGACCATCCTGGCTAACACGATGAAACCCCGTCTCTACTAAAAATACAAAAATTAGCCGGGCGTAGTGGCGGGCGCCTGTAGTCCCAGCTACTCGGGAGGCTGAGGCAGGAGAATGGCGTGAACCCGGGAGGCGGAGCTTGCAGTGAGCCGAGATCGTGCCACTGCACTCCAGCCTGGGCGACAGAGCGAGACTCCGTCTCGAAAAAAAAAAAAAAAGTACAAAATTAAGGCAGCAGCAGTTGAGATGGAAAGAAAGTGGCAGCGGAGAGAAGGGAGGTGGCTTGAAAAGGAAGTGGTCACCTGCTAGGGGTGAGAGGGAAGAAATCTGCGGTGGATCCCGGTTTGTAGCTCAGGCAACAGAGTGGTCAGTGGTGCTATTCACGTGGCTTCAGACTGCAGGAGCATGTGCTGGGTGGGGTGCACGTGGACTCCTGCTTTTTCCACCGGTGTATGAGCTTCTGGGGAGAACGTATGCTTCTCATCAGCAACAGAGGCATTTTTAACTCAAGAAAAGAGAAGAGCCTTGGAATAGTAAATAAAATGATGAAAGAAGAGGGTGATGAGCGAATTTGGAAGGCTACCAACCTTTGAGAAAGCAACAGAGAAAGCAGACCCTGGAAACGAGAGGAGGAAGAGCAGAGGAGCCTATGACAAGTCTAGGATCCCAAGAGCCAAGGGCATACCCATCCCTGGGCTAAGGAATCAGCTCCAAAGGAAGCTCGTCTCTGGATGGAGTCTAGATATTTCTCCCTTGCCTTACTGTGTCCTTCTGCAGCTATTTAAGGCACAACATTTGAAGAAATGTATGACCCAGCACTGATCTCTGGTTTATCATTTAGGGACAGTCATAACTGTTTTCAAGTTAACCATAAGTCATAAGTTTTTCAAGTTAACCCATTGTCTTTAAATGGTTTTGGCCAGGAGTTTGCTTAATTCTTTAGGTAGTCATCAGAATTTTCAGTAAGAACACACTTAAAATGCAGGAAGGAGAGTGTTGTGGCCTTTGGATGTGGCCCAATTGATACAGTAACCAGATCTGCAGGTATATGCAAATTCCTCAGGGGCACACAGGACCTGAGAGCTTGCACGTTTTTTAGAATACTAAGGAATCCTGAGAGCTGCCAGCACTTAATTAATATTGATGCTCCCTTTCCTAGAAATGCTGGGCTTTGAAAGCACCTTAGATGTCATCAACTGCAACCTCTAAAACTTACAGACTTTGGATGGTGTCATTAGAAGTCAGGGGCCAAGGGACTTTAATTCCACTGGAAGCAGAACAAGAAGAGAAACTTGATTCTATGCAGAGCTGACCTCCAGGTGGATATAAATTATTGATGAGGACTCAGCCTGATGAATTTGGGGGTAAACATGGATTGGCTATAGATGAATCACAGACTTTCTCTCAACCAGAGCTCCCGGGGCTGGGACTCTCACTTTCCAGATGAGGAAACAAAGGACCACAGAAGTCAAGCAACTTGCCAAGGTCAAACCCAAGTTACAGCCAGAGCTGGGACGATTCCTGCGGCTGACCCCTTGCTGGGCTCGTTTCCTTCCGCCTGCCCAGCCATCTCTGGTTTTATCTGATGTGTCTGATGTCAAACGTCATGAATATGGAAAGCAGAAGACCTTGTTCTGGGTTGACAAATGCTTGCAGTTAGGGATTTTTTTTTTTTTTTTTTGCTCAAGCTTTTCCAACATCTATCAAATGCACCTGTGGAATATGCAAACAAAATTCCTGCTGCATCTGGGCCGATCTAATATATCTTAGAAACTCAGTGATCATTGTATCCTTAAAACGGGTTTGGAAAATTAAATAAAATTTTATCCACAGAGAGAATGTAATTGTGAACTGCCTCCCAAAATCTAATTGTTTTATTTCTCAGGATATGGGTTATAGCACCACGGTGTGCTACAAGGAACTCACCAATTACAGCTTAAAACTTCCAGGCTTGGCCAGGTGTGGTGGCTCATGCCTGTAATCCTAGCACTTTGGGAAGCCGAGGCAGGTGGATCACCTGAGGTCAGGAGTTCGAGACCAGCCTGGCCAACATGGCAAAACCCTGTCTCTACTAAAAATACAAAAATTAGCCAGGCGTGGTGGTGCATGCCTGTAATCCCAGCTACCTGGGTGGCTGAGGCAGGAGAATTGCTTGAACCTGGGAGGCAGAGGTTGCAGCGAACTGAGATTGTGCCACTGCACTCCAGCCTGGGCAACAAGAGCGAGACCTCATCTTAAAAAAAAAAAACAAAAAAAACTGGTTCAGTACTCCCTTCGGCACTCCGGCCTGGGTGACAGAAAAAGACTCCGTCTCAAAAAAAAAAAAAAAAGAATTTGGGTGTAGGTAGTTCATTTGGAAGATGACCCCTAGGCTAGGATAGAGAGGGGTTAAAGAAGGAAGTCAGGGAAGAGAGGGAGGCCAATCGTATGGTGCACTGCCGAGATTCCCCCTCAGGACTGAGGTCCTCACTCTCCCAGCTGTTGGGAGTGTTGCTGGTTGATGACTTTTAGCTGAGTCTCGAGCCAGGAACTGCTCTCAGCAGCAGAGAACAGCCTTAACCCAGGTCCCAACCTGGGGCAGCCACATCCACTGACTAATCAATAGAGGATATAAAGCCCTGACCCCACCTTGGTCTCAATAGGTCAACTCTGAAGGACTATCCCAGGGCCAGAGCTTCCTGTGGGATCCTCTCAAGCTTCAATAGCACCACAGTTCAACGACTACCTTCTATCCAGTCCTACTTTCTTCTTCATAGGCGTTGGTCTCAAAGGAATTCCCTAATAAACTTCTTGCACGCAACTGCATATGGCAGGGTCTGTTTTTCAGGTGACCCCACCTAAGACAACTAATAAAGTTGCATTTATGACAAAAATGCTGCTGTGAGCAACTGAGGCTCAATTCTTCCAGGACCCCTCAAAAAACTGCATAAACCTCAGCAATGACCTATCATGGAGCCGGAAGGCTGGGGTGTTTATCCAGCAGCTTCTGTCCTTCATTGGTTGAGGGATGCTCCCAACGCTGTAATGTTCTGGCACTTCTAGCCTGTCTCTAGGTGGCCAGCCCAGAGAATGCTGTCAGGCAGAGATGCTGGAAGATACCAGCTCAAGGGGACTTGTCTGCAGGCAACTCTAAGAGTGGACCAATGGGATCTGGGCAGAGAACACCAACAGCATCTGCTACAATTCCCCCTCCCCAAGAATCGCCTATGGCTCCGCATTTCCTACAGCAAGGATCAAGCTCACAGAGCAGTTGTCAGCCACTGATGTGACTGGTCGGTTGGAAAAATGCAGCATTTTGACATTCTAAATTTAAACAGGGAAATCACATTCAGAGACTTCACACATTTGCTACTTATGCAACCTCTGAAAACTTTTCAGATCTGGACACTTGGTCTAGAAAATAAGTCCAGATTTTTTTGACTACACACTTGGCAGCATTTGTGACCTGTTATCAAGCAAGCTTTCTAATCCTGTGTTCTTCTAATCTACTTCTTCCACACAGATTGGTCTGTCTTGTGTGTGTGTGTGTGCATGTGTGGTGTGTGTAAAACAAAATTCTAATCATGCAATACCTTCCAGAAACTTTCCACTGACCAGATCAACTTCAAATTCCTTTGTAAGGAAACGAGGGCTCCCACTATCTGGCTAACCCCTTTACAAGGATATATTATACATAGTCATGCCATCCCTAGGTACTCACGGGGGATTGGTTCCAGGATCCCCACAGATACCAAGATCCTCAGATGCTCAAGTCCATCAAATAAAATGATGTAGTATTTGTATACAACCTATACACATTCTCTTCTATATTTTAAATCATCTCTAGATTACTTATAACACCTAATACAATGTAAATGCTATGTAAATGGTTGTTATACTGTCTTTTTAATTTGTATTATTTGTATTGTTGTATTGTTATTTTTCTATTTTTTGAACATTTTTGATCCATGGTTGGCTGAATTAGAAGATTCAGAACCCATGCAGACAGAGAGCCATTGTGTTATATATTATATATAAAAGAATACATCTATCTTACCCTTTACTAGGAGAGCCAATCCTATAACTCCCAGTCTAAGGCTGAAGGCCTGGGAATCAGGAGGGAGAGTGGGTGCTGGTATAAGTCCTGGAGGCTGAAAGTCTGGGCATGTGACGTTGAAGCTGAACCCAGGAGGATAAGGAAGAGGCTGCTAGGGAAGGAAGATTGCAATCAGAGCTATCCATTCCCCACGCAGAGGGTGGGGAAGCTACAAAGGCTGTGTTCACACTACGCATCAATAGATACTTACCACACCTAGGGCAGAACCTTTAGCCTGGGTCCCCCCGAAACAGGCTGAGTGTCCAGCTTCCACATAGTGTAAACAGCAGCAACGCCAAGAGACACGTGCATGGAAATGGTGGCCTTTAAAATCTTTGAAGTTCTTGGGGAATGTCGGTGACAGCTGGACATTGAAGAGCCTTTGGTGGCTCTCAGGCTGCTTCTCATTGATTGGAGGTGTCTCTAGGTCAGCACGCACAATTTGTGATTTTTATGGTTTAGTAATAGCTTGTTGTCCATTTTCAAGGATTAAGCCAAGTGGCGTTGATGTGATGATTACAGACATAAGTGCCCTGCCCGTTACTGCAATTAGCACTCTATTAAAACAGACAGCATTTGTACAGACAGCCTGAAGCTTCATAAGCTAAAAGGTAGAGCAACATTAAAATCTGGCCAGGAACAAGGAGACTGTATTTTTCTGAAGAGGGCCAAGTTCCCTAAACACACCTCTGGCCAACATATGTGACTTGGCAGAGACGCATCTTTGCTAGAAAGGGGTTTTGTGAACAGCTTTCCATTTTACCATCTACACAGGAACCAACTGAAGGCCATTAGTCATTCCATGCAACACTGCTGTGAAACATGTGAACAATCTCACCACATTGCAGTTTGACAGAAGTTATAAGGCAGGTCAATGACAGATCTGAATTCCAAGATTCGACCTTTGATCTTTTGATGTTTCTCAGCATCTTCCAGAGTGTTGTCTGATATCTGCTTTGAGAGGCTTCAGGAGAAGAGATACGTTGCCAAGCCCAGTAGTTAATGTTTGGTTTTATAAACAATTAAACAACCATCTGTTGGTCTGCTTCAGCGGCTGTGAAAGCAAGGCTTAATTGCTGTAGGGATCAAAATGGACATGATGCGTTTGGGTGACTGCATTTTGGGTTCCGTCCCGTAGTTCCAGTCACCGTACTATTAAAGAACTTAACATATGGGCCTGTAGTGATTTGTTGACAGTCATTCCTCTCTCCAATGGTGAGCACATCACTGCAGCAATCCTGGCTTGTCCACTACACATCCTCAGTCCTGACCAAGCATCTGGCACATAAATTGCATCAAATGAATGAGTGAATAAATGTGGATACTACAAAGATAAAAGTCCTTTATGTTTAAAAGAAGAGTTTTCCCTTTAAAATCCGCATAAAGTGTTCATATGAATGGGTTTCTTGCTAGCACCTGTGCTGGTGTAAGTGATGCACTTGTGCCTTGTCCCTGTGTGTCTGTGTTTGTGCAAGGATGGTCTATTTTGGTATGTCTTTGTTCCTTTCTGATAAGCCTTAAACTGGTCAGTTGAATCTCTCTCATTTGATTCTGTTTCTTCTACTGTGGTTTGGTTCAGTGCTTGCGTGGAAGAAGGCATCCTTCTGCCTGTCCTGCTATAGAAAAAAAATTGCTCAGCACATAATCTGTTAGTTTCCCTCCTTGTTCTCTTGAGGCCTAAGAGTGCGCAGAATTGAATCATGCATGATGTATTTCCCAATTCTGTTAGGATTTACTTCCTAAAATTTCACTCATGCTCACTGCTATGGTCTGAATGTTTGCATGCCCCCAAAATTCATATGTGGAAGTCCTAGCCCCCAAGGTGATGGTATTAGGAGTTAGACCCAAGAGGTGGTAATTAGGTTATGGGAGGGCAGAACACTCATGAGTGAGATTAGGGTCCATACAAAAGAGGCCAGAGAGAGCTCCTTTGCCCCTTCAACCACATGAGGATACAGCAAGATGGCACTGTCTACAAGGAAGCAAAACTTCCCGAGACGCCAAAGCTGCCTGCAGCTTGATCTTGGACTTTCCAGCCTCCAGAACTGTGAGCAATAGATGTGTGTGTTATTTACAAGCCACTCTGTGGACAGTATTTTGTTATAGCAGCCTAAATGGGAATAAGATACTCATCTATATTCATTCTGATCTCTTTCCCACCTTTCCATACACTAAAATGCAGCGTTGCAAGAACCGTGAGATCTTGGGTCAGCTTGTGAAGTGCCAGGTTAAATAAAGCTAGCCAGAGTCCCACAATACAGGATTCCTCTGAGGCTGTTAAAAAAAAATTTTAAGTTTAATTTTTAGTTCTGCGGTCCCTGTGCAGGTTTGTTACATGAGTAAACATGTGCCATGGTGGTTTGCTGCACCTGTCCACCCATCACCTAGGTATTAAGCCCAGCATGCATTAGCTATTTTCCCTAATACTCTCCCTCCCGCCACCACATCCTCCGACAGGCTCCAGTGTGCTGTTCCCCAACCCGTGTCCATGAGTTCTCGTTGTTCAGCCCCTACTTTTTTTTTTTTTTTTTTTTTTTTTTTTTTTTTGAGACAGAGTCTCGCTCTGTCGCCCAGGCTGGAGTGCAGTGGCACCATCTCGGCTCACTGCAAGCTCTGCCTCCCGGGTTCGCACCATTCTCCTGCCTCAGCCTCCTGAGTAGCTGGGACTACAGGTGCCCACCACCGTGCCTGGCTAATTTTTTGTATTTTTAGTAGAGACGGGGTTTCACCGTGTTATCCAGGATGTCAGCTCCCACTTATAAGTGGTTTTTGGTTTTCTGTTCCCGCATTAGTCTGCTGAGGATAATGGCTTCCAGCTTCATCCATGTCCCTGCAAAGGACATGATCTCATTCCTTTTTATGGCTGCATAGTATTCCATGGTGTATACATACCAAAGATCTAGAACCAGAAATACCATTTGACTCAGCAATCTCATTACCGAGTATATACCCAAAGGAACATAAATTCTCTTACAAAGATACAGGCACGCCAATGTTCATTGAAGCACTATTCATAATAGCAAGGACATGGAATCAACCCAAATGCCCATCAACGACAGACTGAGCCTGGTTTTGATCCCAGAATACTTTTTGTGATGACCTTCTCTCAAGAATAGTGTTCTACCCAAGCACTTTGGGGAACAGTTGCTTACTTGGCTTGTTGTTTTTCCCTGTTTCTTTACACAACCACACCTTTTCTCCAATGCCTCTCTAGAAACAAAATAATTTTCCTGTATCCAATTTTGGTCATCTCTTAATCAAAAGTGTTGTTTAAACAAATAGGTACTGAATACATTGATAAAAGTCTTTAGGGCCGGGCACGGTGGCTCACGCCTGTAATCCCAGCACTTTGGGAGGCCGAGGTGGGCGGATCACGAGGTCAGGAGATGGAGACCCTCCTGGCTAACACGGTGAAACCCGGTCTCTACTAAAAATACAAGAAATTAGCTGGGCTTGGTAGCGGGCGCCTGTAGTACCAGCTACCTGGGAGGCTGAGGCAGGAGAATGGCGTGAACCCAGGAGGCGGAGTTTGCAGTGAGCCAAGATCGCACCACTGCACTCCAACCTGGGTGACAGAGCAAGACTCCGTCTCAAAAAAATAAAAAGGTCTTTAAATATTTGCCAAACAGAGAGAGTTAGGAAATCTTGAGGCCCCTGTGCACTGTAAGGAAGGTGGCCACGACCCATGTCCTGCTTCCCCTGGGAGGAGGAGAGGTGGGCATCCCTGCCAGTGAGTGGCACAAGTGTAGAGTCTTCTGACTCACTGTTCTGTAGCTGGAAGTGGCCACAAAGGCAGTAGGCACATTTGTCCCAATAGAGGTTTTTCCACAATCCCTACAGAACCCTAAACTCGGCCGGATGCATTGGCTCATGCCTGTAATCCCAGCACTTTGGGAGGCCGAAGTGGGTGGATCACCTGAGGTCAGGAGTTCGAGACCAGTCTGGCCAACATGGTGAAACCCCGTCTCTACTAAAAATACAAAAATTAGCTGGATGACCATCCTGCCTAACACGGTGAAACCCCATCTCTACTAAAAATACAAAAAATTAGCCAGGCGTGGTGGCGGGCGCCTGTAGTCCCAGCTAGTCGGGAGGCTGAGGCAGGAGAATGGCGTGAACCTGGGAGGTGGAGCTTGCAGTGAGCCGAGATTGCACCACTGCACTCCAGCCTGGGCAACAAAGCGAGACTCTGTCTCAAAAAAAAAAAAACAAAATTTAGCTGGATGTGGTGGTGGGCACCTGTAATCCCAGCAACTCTGGAGGCTGAGGCAGGAGAATCACTTGAACCTGGGAGGCAGAGGGTGCAGTCAGCTGAGATCATGCCACTGCACTCCAGCCTGGGTGACAGAGTGAGAATCCACCAAAACAAACAAACAAACAAAAAAACCCTAAACTCATGACCTTCCAGTGATCTGGAAAGCCTTGAAATTTTCATTACTTGTTTCTGCAACATATCATCTTATTTATAAAAATGCCAGATGACACATATTCATGTTTTAAATTATTGTAAATTCAAATGAAAGTTAATTTTTGTTTTGGCAAGATGTTTTGAGGCTGGTATGATCCCCCCGGGCAGGAAATACTCTATTTTGAGATCTAGGGAGTTCTCAAGGTACAAAGGTCAGTGGGACATAGGATTCACATCCAAGATGACCAACTGGCAAACTGTCCCCCCGTCCTGATCACACTCTCTCCTTGCAAGAGTCACTTGCTTCACATGCCATGTGACAAGTGCCAGTCCTGGCTGGGGGCCATGAAGAGAGGCTGCAGATAAGGATAGGGCTCAGCCACTCAAGAGCCTCCACTCCTCTCTTAACTCCCACAAACCATGCACCCAAGTGTGACACACTATCTGCACATTGAGCTCTGGGCCTCCAGGTGTGACAAAGCCAGAGATGTCAGTGATGTCTAGCTGCCCTGGCCTCAAAGTATTCACCCACCCTAGACAAACTTCTCAAATCAGTTTTAAATAAAATGAATTCCTTTCTGGTTTACTATAGAATTTCCCACCTCCACTGTGTTTATAGCAGGCTATTTGTTAATTTATTTTCCATGCTGTTTGAGGACGTGGGTGTACTTGAGAACTGTTTAGGGTAGCATTTTTTTCCATGTGTGGCTTCCTCCTGGAAACAGAGATATTTGGCATCTGTTCATCCATTGTGTGGCCTTTCCCTTGCACCCCAGACAAACCTCAGAAACCTGTCTCCCCAAGTGTCCCCTCTCATGGTTTTCTTCTCTACCTCCCCAGACTTCCTTCCTGCCTGCCCTGCAGCAGCCATTCGGGGAGGCTGTAAACCTCCCCTTCTCCAGCCAGAGCTGTAGCCACCACGAGTAACCTAATCATCCTCTCTTTACCTCCTGCCTGTGAATGAGGTGGTTGTCCTAGCAGTCAAATTGAATTAAGGGCTATGTTTTCAAAATCCCAAATTTATTCTTCTGAGGCCCAGTGAAGGCCCTATAATTCAATCGAGCAGATCGGGGAAGAAAGCCAAGGTGTCCCCAAAGTGAGACCATCACCCTCTTTCATCTGCTCACTGAGAGCTGCAGCCTCGTGTGGTGTAAACAGCCTAAACTTTGGGGTCAGATCTTACTTTGAATCAAGATTCTGCTACTCACTGCTGTGTGATCTTAGGTGAGTTACTTAACTTCTCTGAGTTTCACTTTTCTTACCTATGAAAGGGGGTTAAACAAAAATACCTCCTTTTCAGGATATTGGTATCAAGTATGTAAAGTGTCTGTGCAGCAAGAATGCTCAAAAAGTAATAGTCCTTACTGTTTAGATTGAGGCTGTGGCACATAAACCTGGGAGGTAGTAGTCAGCTCATAGTAATGAGCTGACCAGAGGGTTTTCACCCGTGGAGGTCATGGCTCCTGCTTTGCTCAAAATGCACCAGCCAGTTTGTCGATGGCAGAGACAACGTCTCACCTGGGTTGCTGACACTGCTCACGGCCACACCTTCCAAGGCTGACGCACATTCCCACGGCCTGCCCAATACAGCATGAGGCATCATCTTGGAGACTTGAACGTGAGTGTCTCCTCACCAGTAATGACCCGACAATGAGTTTGTTTCTCACCTGGTATGAAGTGAACTTGTTTTCTAAGCCCTCAACACACCATCCTGCCCTCCTTACTGCTATCTTATCTAGGGGAAGGGAGACAGACCATCAAGACCCCTGGAAAGGTGACTTGGTTTGGCTGTGTCCCCACCTAAATCTCATCTTGAATTGTAGCTCCCATAATTCTCACGTGTTGTGGGAGGGACCCGGTGGGAGACAATTGAATCACAGGGACGGTTTCCCCCATACCGTTCTGGTGGTAGCGAAGAAGTCTAAGGAGATCTAATGTTTCTATAAGAGGTTTCCCCTTTTGCTTGGCTCTCATTCTCTCTTGTCTGCTGCCATGTAAGACATGCCTTTTGCCTCCCGCCATGATTGTGAGGCCTCCCAAGCCACGTAAAACTTTGCTGTGAGTCCATTAAACCTCTTTTTCTTTATACATTACCCAGTCTTGGGTAGATTTTTATCAGCAGAATGAAAACGGACTAATACAAAAGAGCTCCGAGAGAGGAGAAAGTCTCCACAAAGCACAGCGGACACCTGCTTACGCATGCAGGTTCCGAAGCCCTCATGCTCTCTGGCAGTCTTTCCTGAGCAGGAGGCAGGCTGGAGAGTGTCCCGTACCTTCCAGAAGTGGGCCTGGTCATGGCCAAGGTAAAGACAATGTAGGGGAATTATTAATTTCTTTTCTCCGTTCTTGGAAAAACGTATTTGACAATAACAAGTGGATAATAAACTCCGTACTAACCCACACTGGCTATGGATAATGTAGTGGCTATTGTGTAGATCTGCTCTGTGCCCATTTCCTGCTCATTCTCCTTAATTTACTGACAGAAAATGTTCCTCAACAGAGTGGTGAGCATGGAACCAGGCTGGGTCATCCCTTTGTCCACAGTTACGCAGCCATCAGTGTCCCCTCTGGGAATTCTGTACATTGACGACAGGTGGAAGATGCCCTCTTTCCTCTCTGCTCTTTAAGTGGGGTTGATGTTAGCCCAGAGATGTGAGCAGCCATGTTCCCTGTGATGTGGAGAAGTTAATCCTAGGCCCAGTTCTGCCCCTGCCTTCCTGGTATTTGGTTATGACCCAATTCATTTCTTCTTCTGGTTTGATTAGGCTAGTTGGAGCAGCCTCTCTTTTGAAACCTAAAGAGTTGTGACTCACCTAAGGAGAGAAGCTAAGAAATCTACAAATGCAGGAGATGATTTTGCCCCTTGAATTTGGACCAGTGTTTGATGAAAGGATGTCAGGTGTCATGAGCCAAGTCTGCTTGCTTAGAAAGGAAGTTTTTGTTACTAGAACCCTTAAAAGTCAAACTTTTCTTTCTTTCTTTCTTTCTTTCTTTCTTTCTTTCTTTTTGTTTGTTTGTTTGTTTTGAGACAGGGTCTCACTATACATCCCAGGCTGGTCTTGAACTCCTCAACCTCCTGAGTAGGTGGGATTACAGGGGTGAGTTACTGTGCCCCTGCCCAAAGTCAAAATTTCTAAGAACTTTGAAAAACTGGCTAAAGCATGTCTTCTGTATCCTTGGACTTTTCTAGAATGAATACCTTGAGTTTTCAATGGCTCTGAGGTGCTATGTTGAAGGTGTGCCTCTGCTTATTGTTGGAAATTCACTGACTTTTTGATTACCGGGCATTAGCTTGCCTTTGGCCATTCCACAGGCTTTGGGCCCTGCCACTCACGAACTTCTTCATCATGGTGAAGATGGGATCACTTGGGCCTGCCAATAGATCTTGTCCATCAGTGTCAGTCTGGTGCGGGATGCAGAAAAACCAGGAGCCTAGCTGGTCCTAACACGAACGGTATCTGAATCCTTGACTCTAGACAAGTGATGGCTCTTTTCTCGGTCTGTTTTTTTCACCTGTAAACCAAGGATGCTAGCCTAGAAGATGTAAGAGGCCTTTTAACTCTAATAATCGCCAGTTTTTCAATATAATTCATAAATCAAAGTCTTGGCATTTGGAGTAAAATTAAGGGACAAAGGCTTGCTATGTGGAGCTCTTCCACCTGAGCAAACACTACGCCCACAAAGTAGAAATTCCCAGTGGCAAGGCAAACAAAAGGACCACCCTTGGAGTGGGAGAGATGAGGTTAAAGAAGTCATTGGGAGAGAGACCTCTTTTCTCAGCAGCAAATAACACTACCACTGCCAGATTAGAGGAACGTTAAAACCAAAGTTAAAACACACAGAGAGATGGGGAGGCATAAAATTGGCATTTTCATACAACTTTAGAATCTCATCAAGAAACTAAATTACCATAGTGGATAAGATACAATAACTACTCTTTTGAGTACTAATCAGTCTCCTTGCTGTATTATGGTAATAAAACTAGGGGGTATTAGGAAGCAAGGTCATTTACACATGAAAGTTGACTTGGCTGAATATAAAATGCTTTTAGATGCTTCTCCATTGTTTTCTGACTGTAGTAGTACAAAGAGGTCAGAAGTCAGTCTGGTATTTGTTCTTCCATCAACAACTTGTTTGGGATTGGGGGTGGTATTTCCTGTGTGGATAACTTGCAGCACTTCCTCTTCTTCTTTTTTTTTTTTGGTCTTTGTAACTAAAAAATGTGGTCAATATGTGTCTAGGTGTGGGTGTTTTAAAATTGATTTTACCTGGAATTTGTGAGCCCAGTCAATCTATATACTCCAGTCTTTTTCCAGCCTGAAAATGTTTTCTTCAATAAAGTCATTATCACTTATTTCTGTTGTTCTGGTTTCTTGATTAGTAATACTGTTAAGTCTTAAACTGAATTCCCATTGTTTATATTTATCAGAATCTATCACTTTTCTTAGTTAACTATTTATTTTCACTTATCATGTCTAACTCTATGCTCTTTTCCTGTAAAAGACCTCTTAAGGTTCACCTCCAAATCAACGTTTCCATTTTCTACACTGTCAATTTTGCTTCTTTCCACCTCCATGAGGGATTTTAATTCTTGGATTGCATTTTTTTTTGACATCCATTCTTATCGCATCTCTCTTTGTATCTTGTCTTCCTAACTTTTCATCTTATCTCTGTGTGTGGTTTTCTGTAATTCATAGACCATGTCTTCCTGCAATCCAAGATGTTTTTAAAATTTTCTTTTGTTTCCTGTAGTAAAACTATTTCACGGGGAAATTTGGCAAACTGGTGATGCCCTTGGAATAGTCACCATACACTTGATAGTTTACAAATGTGTCAGCATGTAAATTTGTGTTTCATTTTCATATACCCCAACATCTTATAATGGAGGGAAAGGCAAGTCTTTGTTTTCCAAGGTCTTGGCTCTTTTAGCCGCAAAGTGGTGCTAACAGCTCCTTCATGTTCCAGGAGCCTCTGGAGAAACTGCTTCCATAAAGTGTTTGGGAATTCTGGGCCCTCCCAAGAAGGGGCCAGAACTGTCCAAGAGTGGGAGGAGCTCCAGCCTGGTACTTCTGTGGATTTACAGAAAGATCCACCCCAGAAAGGGGGTGAATCCCCAAAGTCTGCGAGCTGCGGGACTGAAGTTTCTGCAGGCGGTAGGACACCCCATCTGAGTCCAACATTCTGGAAGAGGCTTCTCTCTGGGGGTGCATGAGCTTCCTGTCAGGCCTGCCAAGTGGGCATCACCAAAGCCTGCCTTGAGCAGTAGCTCCAGTGGGTAGTGAGGACCTGACCTGCACAGAGGCTGGGCTGCAGAAGGAGCAGTGCTAAGGGCTGTAACCACAGAGTCGAGGAACAAAGGACCTGTTCCCAGTTGCATGAGCCACATAAGCCAATTGACATTAAGCTTCTTGCTGGCCTTAGTAGGTGGAGGGTTAAGATCCAGATTTCACTGTATTTAGAATCATCAAGAAATGTGACTTTTTTGCACTTGGGTTTTGTGGAGCAAGTCATCCTGATTATACATAAATATTGTTCCAGGAAATCCTCAGAATAACCCTACCAAGCAGGCATTACTATTCCCATTTTGCAGATCTGGAAACAGAGGCACAAAGTGGGCAGGTGATTTCCCCCACGCCCACAGCTCATTGTGGCAGAGTCAGCATACTCATCCAAGACCACCAGGTGACTGAGATCTTACCCTACACTTCATTATCTCTAGGGCATGAGGGTTATGTGAGTCTTCAGCTTTTTGTCTTTCTTCCTAGGAATTTCAGCAGGAAGTTAAATCAGAAACTTCCTCGCTTATTTTGCAATCGGTTCCTTCTTTTCATAAACCATGTCTTGGGACTGTTCTTAAAAATTGATAAACAGTGCTGATTTATAAGAGGGGAGAATGACAGAATTGCTTATTTACTAATCTTACAAAATTAGAAGAGAGAAATTTCTAGATTTTATAAACTCAGGAGGAATACTTTTAAAAAGGAGGAAGGAAGAAAAAAGAATAAGGGTTAAACTCAGGGAAGAAAGGATAAGTTAATTCTCTTTTTGGAACAAAGGGCCACAACTAAAATAAGAGACAAACGACCCCCAACTTGGGAGGATTTTGCATTTGAAAATGACGAAAGAATTAACAGAAAGAAAATGGGAATGGTGCCAAATATCTTTGTTAAGTCTGAATATATGGTTATAGCAATCTCTAAGGTTTAGATGGAAATAATGGCAAAGTTTGGCTTTGTATATTTTATAGTCCTGGCTATCTACCAAGTAAGACTCATACTAATAGTGAGTTATCAGGTTGTTGTTTTTGGTGAAGAATAATTGTATAACAAACTCGAGTAGCCTTTATAACAAATGCGCTATTGTCCTGTACATTTTATTATATAGTAGGTGAAATAACCTCACTAGACAACGGCTGCCCCTCTGCCCTCTGAGATGCGTGTCTCCTCAGGCACACAAGCCGGGCGAGATGCAGTGAAGGAATAATCTCAACGTGTGTGACCTCCTAGTTTTAACTGCTCCATTTCAAACTCCAAAATAGCCTGTGGCTCTGCATGGAGAAATCTTTAACATGAGTTTTGAGAAGGAAGAATGCAGTCTTTAAGTCATGATTCCCTAGAGGATATCAAATAATCATGAGGAAAACCATGAAGTCAGTTCACTTCTGACTCTAAATTTCAAAGAAAAAGAGGAGTGACAGAAAATCAAAAGCTGATGGAAAACATAGTGGTGTACACTTAGGACTCATTGTACATAAATACTTAGTTTGTTTTCCTTCATCTTTCAAGCAAATCGTTGCTTTCTTAATAGAAATATATATCATTGCATGGTTGTAAGTATGATCCAGGCAGTTTTGTAAATATCAGGACGGAACCAGCTGAAATTGCTTATACATACTCTGAAGTGCTTGCAGTATCAGAGTCATTTGATTCCAGAGGCATGCAAGAGAAACATCCCAGACCTAAGGCACAAGGCATGCAATAGCCAAGTGGTTAGTTACAGTCCTAAAAGCAGCTTGACATATTTTTTTTTCCTCACAAAAATGCAGGCCACTTGTCATGAAATTCTGCATGCAATGTTGCTATGCCTTGCATTATATGTATATAAAGTTACAGGTTTAAATATAATTTATGACCACACTAGTCATGAACAGAGGATGAATAAGCAAAGAATATAAATATATACTGGTTCTGCCTAATGGTATTTAAGCCTTTGGCAAGGTGGTATTCCCTGGTTTCTAGCCTCTCCACCTTCTCCCTGACCAGCCACCACTTAATACCATTTAAGTCGACAATATGGGTTATGAAGTCCTTATTCATAATACAAATTGGCTGTGTACTTTGAGATTCAAAGCTAAAGCACTAGATAAGGTGTGCCGCTATTTTTACCCAGGCATACAGTAAATGATTCATTCGTAAAAATTCTCATATGGCTATTTTGCAAGATGAGCTATAATTTTCCCCAAGTCCACAAACCAAGACCTTATTGAGATTATTTAACTTAATTTTCCCCAGTAGCAAGAATGAAAGGTCAATACTAACCTTCCTAAAAGGTTAGTATTCAAATCTGGCAATATGCATCCAGCCTGAAGAACATCTATACTCTGTAGGAAATAGGCAGGAATGTGGACAAAATTTAAATATGAAGATGCTTATTGAAGCACTAGTTTGGTGCAAAAGTAATTTTGGTTTTTGCTGTTGCCTTTAATGGCAAAAACAGCAATTGCTTTTGCACCAACCTAACATATTTACAATAAAGAAAATTTGGGAAGAAAAATCTAAGTGTCCCACAATAAGAAAATAGTTAAATAAATTATGATCTCTCTATGTGAAAGAATATTATGCAGCCATTAAAAAGCATATGTCAGGAAAACTATAATACTAATATACTCAAAGTGAGAAACAGTCATGAATAAAAATCAAGATATTAAACTATATATACACACTATGATTCAGATAATATAATGTTTATGCACAGACTAAACTGAAGAAAATACAGTGAATTATATTGATAGTTATCATTGGGTAGCACTAATTCTATTTTCATCTTTATATTTTTCTGTATTTTCCACAATGTCTAATACTAATACAATGACTTTGAACAACTTGGGTTTGAACTGCATAGGTCCACTTACATTTGGATTTTCTCCTGCCTCTGCCACTCGTGAGACGGCAAGACCAACCCCTTCACTTCCTTCTCCTTTTCAGCCTACTGAAAGTGAAGACAACCAAGATGAACACCTTTATGATGATCCACTTCCACTTAATGAATACTAAATATATTTTCTTTCTTTCTTTTTTGAGACAGAGTCTTGTTCTGTCACCAAAGCTGGAGTGCAGTGGTGCCATCACAGCTCACTGCAGCCTTGACCTCTCCAGGCTCACATGATCCTCCCACCTCAGCCTCCTGAGTAGCTGGGATTACAGGTGTGCACCACCATGCCTGGCTAATTTTTGTATTTTTTGTAGATACAGGGTTTCACCATGTTGTCCAGGCTGGTCTTGAACTCCTGGGCTCAATGAATCTGCCCACTTTGGGCATCCCAAAGTGCTGGGATTATAGGCATAAGCCACCATACCTAGCCAACATATTTTCTCTTCCTTATGATTTCCTTAAGATTTTCTTTTCTCCAGCTTACTTTATTGTAAAACTACAGCATAGAATACATATAACATACGTAATATGTTTAATTGACTGTTGATGTTATTGGTAAGACTTCAGGTTGGCAGCAGGCTATTGTAGTGAAGTTTTTGGCGAGTCAAAGTTATATGTCGATTTTCAACTGCACAGGGGGTTGGTGCCCCAAGCCCCCACATTGTTCAAGAGTCAACTGTAATCATAAAAAAGAATAAACAACACAAATTAAAACATATCACGCTCACACAAAGCACTGCACAAAGTATGAAGCTGTAGAATAAAATCAGTTCTGTAGTCACATAGCTTTCAAACACGTGATCCATTTGTCAACCTCACTCAGGAACTCAAAAGCCCTCAACGGTAAGAAAAAATGCCCTAATGGGCTCTAGGAGCTTGGTGTGTAAAATACTCAAGATCTTCTCACAAGCTGAGGACACATTATCTGCAGACAGAGGCTTATAGAGTTCCTTTGTAAGTATTCCTCTGCCTGTCCCCATGAAACATGACCTTGCAAGTCAATGTCAGTCAAATATGAAAGAGGGGCAGGGGGCCCCAGGTAACATAATGCGCCAGAACACGTCTGCGGCTCTGACAGGTGCAAACAACTCCACTCGGCTAAATATAAATTGACTCGGGCAGTTTGGAAGCAGTCTTTCCCACTTGCTATTCTGATCAAGCAAAAGAATGTTCTCTTCTTTAGTTCTGACTCCCAAGGCTGGTTATTTTTATTTAGATTAATTTTGCAATCATTTTCATTCAACGAGAAGCAAATTAGAAGTAAAAAAAAAAATTTCTCTTCCAAAATCTCCGATGAGAATAGGACTAGGTTTGAGCTGTTTTTGAAATGCATTAAGTTGAGAAGGAGGTAAAACATTTGCAATCCTTTTTAAAAGTTTCTGGATGAGCAGAAAGCTGATGTGAACACATGTATAAAGGAACACTGTTTAATATTTAAGCCAGAAAGAGGACCTAACTTTTAATCAGCACAGTGGAAATTCTCTGGGTACTTACCGAACTCTGCGTCTTTGCCAATTCCTGCCATGTTCCCTGACATGACCCTTTAACTCTAACTCCTCCTCCAGGATCCCAATGATCACATCTATAGGATCAGCCTCTGGTCATCCCCATTCCCCCCCCAACTCTGCTGCTAAACACACAAGGTCTTCCTCTTAACTCCCCTAACACAGAGACTTACCTTAACATACATTTATCCCAAATCAATATTTTTTTTAGCCTATGAGCTTCTCAGGGGTAAAATTATATTTCACCTATTTTTCCACGTTCAGCATCCCGGCTTAAGGAGGTTCCTTAGTAATATGTCGTTGAATAAATGAATACATGAGTGAATGAAGAGAGGACTGAAGAAGCCACACATGAGCCTAAATGCAAGGAAAAAGATGGACAGTGCTACCACTAACAGCCATGAAAAAGAACAGTTTCTCCCCCTCCCCCTCCCCCTCTCCCGTCTCCCTCTCTTTCCACGGTCTCCCTCTCATGCTGAGCCGAAGCTGGACTGTACTGCTGCCATCTCGGCTCACTGCAACCTCCCTGCCTGATTCTCCTGGCTCAGCCTGCCGAGTGCCTGCAATTGCAAGCTCGCGCCTCCACGCCTGACTGGTTTTGGTGGAGACGGGGTTTCGCTGTGTTGGCCGGGCCGGTCTCCAGCCCCTGACCGCAAGTGATCCGCCAGCCTTGGCCTCCCGAGGTGCCGGGATTGCAGACGGAGTCTCGTTCACTCAGTGCTCAATGGTGCCCAGGCTGGAGTGCAGTGGCGTGATCTCGGCTCGCTACAACCTCCACCTCCCAGCCGCCTGCCTTGGCCTCCCAAAGTGCCGAGATTGCAGCCTCTGCCCGGCCGCCACCCCGTCTGGGAAGTGAGGAGCGTCTCTGCCTGGCCGCCCATCGTCTGGGATGTGAGGAGCCCCTCTGCCTGGCTGCCCAGTCTGGAAAGTGAGGAGCGTCTCCGCCCGGCCGCCATCCCACCTAGGAAGTGAGGAGCACCTCTTCCCGGCCGCCATCACATCTAGGAAGTGAGGAGAGTCTCTGCCCTGCCGCCCATCGTCTGAGATGTGGGGAGCGCCTCTGCCCCGCCGCCCCGTCTGGGATGTGAGGAGCACCTCTGCCCGGCTGCGACCCTGTCTGGGAGGTGAGGAGCATCTCTGCCCGGCTGCCCCGTCTGAGAAGTGAGGAGCCCCTCTGCCTGGCAACCGCCCCGTCTGAGAAGTGAGGAGCCCCTCCGCCCGGCAGCCGCCCCGTCTGAGAAGTGAGGAGCCTCTCCGCCCGACAGCCACCCAGTCTGGGAAGTGAGGAGCGTCTCCTCCCGGCAGCCGCCCCGTCCGGGAGGGAGGTGGGGGGGTCAGCCCCCCGCCCGGCCAGCCGCCCCGTCCGGGAGGTGAGGGGCACCTCTGCCCGGCCGCCCCTACTGGGAAGTGAGGAGCCCCTCTGCCCGGCCACCACCCCGTCTGGGAGGTGTGCCCAACAGCTCATTGAGAACGGGCCAGGATGACAATGGCGGCTTTGTGGAATAGAAAGGCGGGAAAGGTGGGGAAAAGATTGAGAAATCGGATGGCTGCCGTGTCTGTGTGGAAAGAAGTAGACATGGGAGACTTCTCATTTTGTTCTGTACTAAGAAAACTTCTTCTGCCGTGGGATCCTGTTGATCTGTGACCTTACCCCCAACCCTGTGCTCTCTGAAACATGTGCTGTGTCCACTCAGGGTTAAATGGATTAAGGGCGGTGCAAGATGTGCTTTGTTAAACAGATGCTTGAAGGCAGCATGCTCGTTAAGAGTCATCGCCACTCCCTAATCTCAAGTACCCAGGGACACAAACACTGCGGAAGGCCGCAGGGTCCTCTGCCTAGGAAAACCAGAGACCTTTGTTCACTTGTTTATCTGCTGACCTTCCCTCCACTATTGTCCTATGACCCTGCCAAATCCCCCTCTGTGAGAAACACCCAAGAATTATCAATAAAAAATAAATAAATTAAAAAAATAAATAAATAAATTAAAAAAAAAGAAAAAGAACAGTTTATGGAAGAATAATAATTTACTATGCTTAGCCACTGCTGTTTTCTGGTTTCATTTTTTTTTTTTTTTTTGGTTGGGGGAGGAGGGTTGTTAAATAAAATTAAAGCTGTAACCCAATGCCAGATATAATAGAAAGAACTTGGTGTGCATTGACTGATGCAGTAAGCATTGAAATTTTCCATTTTCACTTTCTCTCTTTGTTGCCATAAAATGAGAGGGTGAGGCAAGATCGTGTCTGAGGGTGGGTCCAGCTCTCAGGCTCTGGAGCTCTGCACTGCTGGGTCTCCTGGTAAAGCCCTCCTCTGAGCTTGCATCTCAGCTCTATCCTGATGGCAAAGACTGTGCTCTTTTCAAACTCATAGATGACACCCTCCTACCTACTAAGGCTGTGGTGTACCACAACTAAGTTTAACCCCTCTCTCCTGGTCTGAAAAAGTCATCTAAACCACAGGGGAAATTATTGACCATGGTTTCCTAGATCTATGCAAGAAAAATGCTCCCAAACCCTAATGCTACAAAGCTGTATTTACTTGTCCCAACTCTTTCCCGGTGTGGTTCGGATTACCCTTTGCCTGCATATGTTTTGCAATACCTCTTGGCTCTTCATCTTTGCCCACTCCTCCAGCATGCTCACTACACCTGAGAAACTTAGCCAGTACTTGGCTTAAAAATCTTCAACCTACTCATCACCTAACAAGAGAGGGTTTAAAGTTGGCAGAGGGAATATTGCACAGAAACGCTATTTGCCAACCACCTACCAATAGCTGACTTCACAAGTGGTCCCTTATCAGATCTGCCCATCAGAAAAGAAGGAAGAAGATTAATGATCATTCTTCAGACACCAGGACTCCCTCCGGGGAAGCTCTCTATAGAGCTAAAGGCTTGTATTGGATTATTGTCACCGATCACTGTTTTAGGCTTGCATTCCTAGTAAAATTGAAGCTGAGCCTGTATCCCTTACAGTAGAAACTCCCAAATGCCATATTCAACATAATGAGTTTTCAGAAAGCTAAATATATCCAATGGGAAAGACTGGCCATTACATCCTTCCTGCATTTCGTTGTTATTGCTATTAAAGTGTACTTTAAAAAATAAAAATAAAAGGATAGTAATAGAAGACAGCAGGGTTTATTTTCATGTCTTTCTTGGCAGTTTAAAAAGTTGGCAATCCTATATCAATTTCTAATTTTTTTCTAAAACTCTACTGGTCATTAAAATTAGAAAACTGGTAGCCTCATGCCTAAAGTGGCTAGTTCAGATCAAGTTACATGTAAACTGAAGAAAGGAAGAGCCTCTGATTCAAACTCTTTAAGGTCATCATTTTTTTCTTTTTCTAAGACCATTTTCTATAGATCTCAAGGTGCATAATATGCATCGCGGAGGCCCTGTAGATTTAGATAGCGATTATAACCGATTCAAGTCAGGAAATTTCTTCTGAAGTATACCTACCTGTGAAACCCTCCATATCTGGGGCGCTCTGTGCCACGGGTGTCAGACTTTTGCAAAAGCCCTGTCATTCTAACGGGACGCCCTCCTGTAGGAAGTTGCCCCCTGGCGCCCGTCCTCCGGCTTCTGATGAAACGGCGACCCACCACCCCCTTCCCAGACCCTGGCCCGCAGCCGGATCACTCCGGGCGCGCTGCCGATCACGTGGCGAAGCGGTGCTCCCCAGCGCCGTGGCTGCGCGCCCATTGGTCGGCGGCTGGAGTCCCGGGCGCGCCCATTGGCTGCGGGGGGCGTTCACGTGGCAGGGGGCCTGGGATGGACCCCGGGGTCCCGAGAGCTGGCAGGAAAGTTAAAGGGGGCAGCGCGGCCGCGGGGAGCTCGAGTCCCGGGTGACTGCTGGAGGGAGGAGGTGACCGCGCAGCTCTCGTGCACGGACGGACTTCGCCGCCCGCGGGGGGCGCGAACCCGAGCCCGGGCCCAGCTCCTGCCGTCACGGCAGCTGTCCCTGTTCCCCCAGGGCGTATGCTGCCGCGGGCTGGCGCGTCTGCCCTCGGGACTTATGAGCTGAACCCGGTACGTAGCTCCCCAAGTCTCGAGTCCGAGGGAAGGGCTGGGGACAACAAGGCGAGGGCGTGCAGCGGGGACCTCTTTGGGTTCCTGTCACCTACATTTTCACCGTGCGACTTGCACTGGCACACCGGGGCTGGAACACTCTAGGTAGCTGGCCCCAGGGAGCTGTTGCTTCAGCGTGGAGAGGGCGATCCAGGGACCGCAGCTGGGAAGCGCCTCCCGGGCCCACGTGCTCCACCGCGCTGCTGGGCCCGGCTGCGACCGTGACCCGGGAGCTGCGGCTGCGGCGGCTGATCCCTTTACCACCTGTTGTTCTGGCTTCGAAACTAGCACAAGTTCCCAGCCCCGGGTCCCGAGAGGTCTGGAGACTTCTCCAAAGTTGGGTAGTGGGGTTTGGAGCTTAAGGACAAGCCGCTTCGTCTCTCTCCGGGCCTTATTTTCCCTATAAAACGCGAGGAAATACACTTGGTAGGCTCTCAGGCCACCGAGGGCGACGGGACCTAGCACGATCCCCGTCCCGGGCTGGCGGAGGCCAGGCGGCCGCGCGGGGGTGCTGGTGTCGCGCTGCTTGCTCCGGCCGGGGTTGCCCCTTTGCCGGCCCCGCCCGGGTGCGATAACGGGCTCCTCCTCCTCGTCGTCTTCCTCCCACCGCCGACATCTCCGGGAACCCAGCCCAGGCCCTGCCTCCCGGACACACCGACGCTCACGTAGTCGCGCTTGCCACAACCCTGCGGGCTCTCCGATGCGGCGAGCGAGCTGGGGAGGGGGCTTCTCCGCGGCCCAAAAGGTGGGTGCGGCGCGAGGCCAAGGAGGCTTGTAGGGAGGTTGGGGGCGGAGTGCAGCCCTGGTCAAACTGGACGGAGGGGACAGAGTCGGAGAGTAACTTGTGGGATCCTCCAGCCTGGAGAGCACTGGCCTGCTCCTGCGTCTCTTTGGAATCCAGAAAAAGGGGTGTGGAAGGCACAGTAGCTGCAAAAGAGGGAGTGGGGGCCGGTAATGACTTACTGGAAGATTTGGGGCCTGTCAGAGCACTGTTTTCTGAAAAAGAGGAGAAAACAGAGGAAAGACTGGACTTGGGAACTTGGAGACTTGGAAGGTGTTGGAACCTGTGGTCTGAGTGGCGGGGGCCTGCCTGGGAGACCCAGGGTGCAGCAGAAGAGACAATTAGAGCTTTGGTCTGGGAGGAAGAGGAGGAGAGGAGGAAATGTTTCCTTGGGCAGAGTTGTCCAGGAGCCAAAACTAAAGTGAAGACAGCTGGAGGACTTACACAAAAGTACAGTTGAGGTATTTAGGAAAAAAAGTTAGTGGGAAGAGAAGCGGCACCAGGGGTGGGTCGCAACATACAATGTCAGGGCCAGCAGGGACCTTGGAGGGGACCTCAAGCCCAGAGCAGCTGAGTGACTCGCTCAAGTAGCAAAGCAAGGTGCGGGCATTCTTAGCCTAGTACTCTGTTTTCCCTCGTACGTTTTTAGACGGCAGGGGCTGTGTCATTTGAACTTGCCTCTTTCCTAGAATATGCAACTGTATTCACAAATGTCAGTCTCCAAGATGCTTTGGATGATGGGGACAGGATCAAGGGGTACAAGGAGCCTTTAAGGCTGTGAATAGGCCCCCATGGTCTGAGTACAAAGGGGAAAGACATGCACTCTCTTCATGCTGGATCAGTGAAACCTTTTGGAAGGGAACACAGAATTGTTGGAGGGAGGTAGATGGCCATGTCTTTAAAAATGAAAATTATAACCTGGTTGTGAATGTTTACTGAATGCAGTTCGGCAGCTTTCAGTGTTCCTGGTGGGTTGCTTGTGCATCTGATTTTTTTGTTTGTTTGGTTTTGTTTGTTTGTTTTGAGACGGAGTGTCGCTCTGTCGCCCAGGCTGGAGTGCAGTGGCGCCATCTCTGGCTCATTGTAAGCTCCGCCTCCCGGGTTCACGCCATTCTCCTGCCTCGGCCTCCTGAGTAGCTGGGACTACAGGCGCCCGCCACCACGCCCAGCTAATTTTTATTTGTATTTTTAGTAGAGACGGGGTTTCACCGTGTTAGCCAGGATGGTGTCGATCTCCTGACCTCGTGATCTGCCCGCCTCGGCCTCCCAAAGTGCTGGGATTACAGGCGTGAGCCACCACGCCCGGCCTTTTTTTGCCTTTTTTTTTTTTTTTTGAGACGTAGTTTCGCTCTGTCGCCCAGGCTGGACTGCAGTGGCGCCATCTCGGCTCACTGCAAGCTCCGCCTCCCGGGTTCGCGCCATTCTCCTGCCTCGGCCTCCTGAGTAGCTGGGACTACAGGCGCCCGCCGCCACGCCCGGCTAATTTTTTTTTTTTGTATTTTTAGTAGAGACGGGGTTTCACCGTGTTCGCCAGGATGGTCTCGATCTCCTGATCTCGTGATCCGCCCGCCTCGGCCTCCCAAAGTGCTGGGATTACAGGCGTGAGCCACCACGCCCGGCCTTTTTGTCTTTTCTTACCAGAAGAAAGAGAGAGAGAGAATAAGAGAATGGAGGGGATAATGTCGTGGCCCTGATACAAAAAAGATTTCCTCCCTATGAAAGGTACAGCCAGAAAGTCAGTAGTTCAGCTGCCTGAAACCGTGAAGGTCATAGGGTTATTTTCTGTGCAGGTCTATAGTTATCACCATGGCCGTCTAACCTTGGCCAGCTGTCTTGAGAAGGTGTGTTATGAGTGGAACAGATAAAGCATTTATGCAAAACTATCTCCATGATCTGTTAGGGTTTGCCCTGTCTTAGCCATGAACACTGTAATCTACCCTCAAGCATGGCCCAGTCTCTCACCAGAGAAACTGATCCCTGAGCTCTGAGGCATCTCTATGGAAGCAAGTGTTTGAGAATTCATACCTACCTGGGAGCAGCACTCATACACTCATTCCTATCCTGCAACTGGTATCAGATCCTGAGTCCTGCTCTCATGGTTCAAATGTATGTCCATAACTTCTGGTTCTTTTTTTTTCCCCCTTGGCCAACTTTGGTGACTCATATTCCCTGGCCTGGGAAAAGGACAGAGCTGGAGCAGCCAGAGAGTCTGTCAGGAGAGGAGGCTGGGCTGCAGCCTGGTGCTTCCTGTGTTGGAACCGATCATTTTCATGTCATTTGTAAAAGAAGCACCTGTCCAGGTGCCTTCTTTTCAGGAACTTAATATTACCTTGCACATCTCAGTTGCTAGGAGTACTTCTGCATGGCGGCAGCCATCCCTGTCACAGTCCGCTGGGGAGTTCCTGAGCAGTTCAGGAAAGCCTACACCAAACCAGCACTTTGGTGTGCTGATTCTTGGAGAATGACCTGGTAAATAAAATCTGGAAGCTATCTGTGGGACAGGCAAGGTGACTGACAGTCGAGTCATACCCCAGATTGAGGCCACACAGGTTAATGTCCTCACCTGCAGTTATGGTGACACACAAAGTGAAGGGATTCTAGACTGGGGTTGCTTGTGCAATGTCCCTGGGGTAGTAGTCCTGCGGGTAACTCTTGAGCCATCATAACCTTACTTTTGCCTTTCATGGAAGAATCTTGTAATAGCAGTTTGGCTCCTTCAAGTGCCAGCAGCATTGTTTAATTAGCTCTGGCTCTGACTAGAGCCTGGCCTCTCCAAGCCGGACTTCTGCTTGTTCTTACAGCTTGGTGATAAAAAGGGATCTCAGGGACAAATTTATGCCACTGGGGTGAAACAGTGAAACTCTACCAAGGTCTTCAGCTAAGTCTCTTCAGCCTGCGGGATTAGAACTTGGGACATTGGCTCTAGTGGGCTGTGTGTAGATTCTTTGATTGATCCTTTTGCTTTGGCTGTTTCCACAATATCTTGAGAGTTTCCAAGGCTTTTCCTAACATGCAGAAAAAGCACGTAGGAGGCTGGTTTGCAGGCTTCTTGGAAGTGCAAAGAGAACTTGCAGATAACCTGTGCTGACTCAGTTGAGGAGGAAGCTGTGAAGAGGAACCCTTCCTCCCTCAGTTCACACCCAGATTTTTCAGGATGGGTAGAGTGGGGGGCACTGGGATGCCAGATATAGCCTCTTGTTTGGTTTTCGTACTTGTTTAAAAACAAGGCTGGGCACGGTGGCTCATGCCTATAATCCCAGCACTGTGGGAGGCTGAGGGGAGCAGATCATGAGGTCAGGAGTTCGAGACCAGCCTGACATGGTGAAACCCCGTCTCTACTAAAAATACAAAAATTAGCTGGGGGTGGTGGTGCACGCCTGTAATCCCAGGGGTGGTGGCACGAGTAGTCCCAGCTACTTGGGAGGCTGAGGCAGGAGAATCGCTTGAACCCGGATGGCAGAGGTTGCAGTGAGCTGAGATTGCGCCACGGCACTCCAGCCTGGGCAACAGAGCAAGACTCCATCTCGAAAAAAAAAAAATTAAAAATAAGACAAAACAAAAACACTACCTGTGTTACAGTTAGAGCTGAGGGTATAATTCCAGCACAGTTTTGCAAAGGACAAGAGTAACTAAAATTTAGATATTTTGTAAGTATAGGATTTTTTTTTTACATTGAATCTGTTAGTCAATCCGTGGAACCTCTGCAAACCTACCTTGCCTAATTCAGTCAGAACTTTCCTTTCCAGAACAGTTACGTGGCTATAAGAACAGATCATTGAAAGCAAATTTGCCCTTAAAATTTTCACTAGATTGATTTTCTTAAAGGGGAAACAGTGAGACAGATATCCTTTAAAATGAATGTTTAAGCACCTGCATTCTGGCCATAAGTTATTGTTTTATTTGTTTCCGAATATGTGTATTTCTCTGACTGGCCATCTGTAAGGGTTTCTTGCATCCCAGGGAAGTTCTGTACTTTTGGAAAAATGGGGTCAAATCTGATATGTGTTCGTCCGTTCACCTTTTTTCTTTACATGTTTGGTTAATCACAATCAGAAGGTGAAAATGAGAGGTTATTTATAGAACTGAACCAGTGGTCCCAGCTCTTTACAGAAGACACTTGGCATGTTGCCTGTCACTTCTCAGGGGTGGCCATGGCTGCTTGAGAGTGAGCTCCCCAACACGTCATCACACACCTACACCTGTGCCATAAGGAGGGGTAAGATAGGTTGAGGGGAGATAGGTTTGGGGACTCATCCAGATCCTGTGTTCTGTGATTCTCAGACTTGAGATTTTAATCCTAGTTTCGGCACTCATTTCCTTAATTTAGTCCATTGAAACTGTCAAATCAAAATATAAATTTGCCATGGTAATTAGAATGATAAAAAGTGCTCAGATTTTGGGAGGCTGAAGCGGGAGGATTGCTTGAGCTCAGGAGTTTGAGACCAACCTGGGCAACATGGTGAAACCCTGCCTCTATAAAAATTGAAAAATTAGCTGGGCATGGAGGTGCACACCTGTAGTTCCAGCTACTTTGGAGGCTGAGGCGGGAGGATTGCTTGGGCCCAGGAGTTTGAGGTTCCAGTGAGCTATGATTGCACCACTGCACTCCAGCCTGGGCAACACAGCAAGATCCTGTCTTATAAAAAAAAAGTGCTCAGCTTTAGTGAGGCAGTAGTGATGGGATGGGTTTTTGGCATATCATAAAATATTTGAGGATTTTTTTTAGGTTCATTTTGTTCTGATGATAGAAGCAATATTATTTTAGAAGATATAATACAAACCAGGATACCAGAAATTCCTGAAATCTTGTCACCTAGGTATTCTGATTTTAAATATATATCTCTAGTCTTTTTTCTCTGCATTTACATAATACAGTTGATCCTTGGACAACATGGAGTCTAGGGGAGCCTAGCCCCCACACAGTCAAAAATCCACATATAACTTTTGACTCCCCAAAACCTTCACTTCTAACAGCTTACTGTTGACCAGAGTCTTACCAATAACATCAACAGTCGATTAACACATATTTTGTATTTTATTTGTAACATATACCGTATTCTTATAGTAAAGTAAACTAAAGGAAAGAAAATGTTAAGAAAATCATAGGAAAGAGAAAATATATTTACTATTCATTAAGTGGATGCGGGTCATCATAAAGGTCTTCATTCTCATCCTCTTCACGTTGAGTAGGCTGAGGAGGAGGAAGAGGAGGAGAAGGGGTTGGTCTTGCTGTCTCAGGGCGGCAGAGGCAGAAGAGAATCTGAGCATACGTGGACCTACAAAGTTCAAACTCATGTCGTTGAAGTGACAACAGCATTTTTCCCCACAAGTCTAGTTTCTATGTACAATTTTATCTTCTCTCTCTCTATATATATATACATATGTAGACATAAATATAAATATATAATATTTTTTTTTCATTTCATTTGAATCTTTTTTAAAATAATGGCTTTAATGATGATATAAAATTACATCACATGGGCTGGCCATGATGGCTCCCCGCCTGCAATCCCAGCACTTTGGGAGGCCGAGGCGGGTGGATCACCTGAGGTCAGGAGTTTGAGACCAGCTTGGCCAACATGGTGAAACCCTGTCTCTACTAAAAATACAAAAATTAGCTGGGCGTGGTGGCAGACTCCTGTAATCCCAGCTACTCGAAAGGCTAAGGCAGGAGAATCACTTGAACCTGGGAGGTGGAGGTTGCAGTGAACCGAGATTGTGCCATTGCACTCCAGCCTGGGTGACACGAGTGAAACTCTGTCTCAAAAAAGGAAAAAATAACAACAGTAAAAATAAAAGTACATCACATGGATGTGGTACATTTAATTTAACCAGGTACCTGTTAATGGTCACCTAGGTTATTTTGTCATCTTTTTCCCCCTATAATGTGGCATTGAACATTTTAGTACCTTAATCTCTGTGTGTTTTTAATTCTTTACCTAGGATAAATGTCTCTATGTGATATTAGGATAAAAAATGATTAAAAAATTAGAAAGTTTGTACCAATTTTAACTAATGAAAATGTTTGCATTGGCTGGGCACAGTGGCTCATACCTATAAATCCCAGCATTTTGGGAGGCTGAGGTGGGAGGATTGCTTGAGTCCAGGAATTCAAGACTGGTCTGAGCAACATAGTGAGACCTCGTCTCTACAAAAAAATATTTTTTAAAAATTAGCCGGACATGGTGGCTCATGCCTGTGGTCCTAGCTACTCGGGAGGCTGAGGTGGGAGGACCGCTTGAGCCCAGGAGGTGGAGGCTGCCATAAGCCATGTTCATACCACTTCACTCCAGCCTAGGTGACAGAGTAAGACCCAGTCTCAAACAAAAAAAAAAAAAAAAGAAAAACTTGTATTATCTTTTCAATTTTTTTCCTAATTCAATAAATAAAAAACAGACATTGTTTTTCATCTAAATTTCTTAAATTAATAATAAGGTTGAACATTTTGCATATTTATAGGCCACTTTAAAATTTTTTTTCATGAATTTTCTATTCATGTTCTTTGCTTATTTTTCTATGTGGAATATTTGACTTTATTATTGCTTTGTAAGAACACTTTACATATTAAGGTATTAGCTCTGCTGCTATGCTTATTGTAAAATATTTTCACAGTTTGTCTGTAGTCTTTTTTTGTTTTACTTATCGTTTTTACTTAAAGAAAATATAGTTTTTGTTAACTCAGATTTATCCTCTTTCAGCATGATTCTCTTTGCTTTTTATTCTTATAGAGCCAATTTTTTACTTGTGGAAAAAACAAATATTCACCTATGTTAAAGGCTTAAGAATACGAAATTGCTGGTTGTTTTTATTTTATTTATTTTTATTTTTTTTGAGACAGAGTCTTGCTCTGTGGCCCAGGCTGGAGTGTGTGATCTCTGCACACTGCAACCTCCGCCTCCCAGGTTCAAGCAATTCTGCTGTCTCAGCCTACAGAGCAGCTGGGACTACAGGTGCATGCCACCATGCCCAGCTAATTTTTGTAATTTTAGTAGAGATGGGGTTTCACCATATTGGTCAGGCTGGTCTCAAACTCCTGACCTCAGATGAACCACCTGCCCAGCCTCCCAAAGTGTTGGGATTACAGGCGTGAGCCACCGCCCAGGCCTGCTGGTTCTTTTTAAAAGAATGGTATCCTGACATTTAAAAACCTACCATAAACTTAATGAAAGCAGGTTTGTGTCTATCTTCACTATTGAATTCCCAGTATCTTGCTTGATGCCTGCCATATAGGAAACACCCAATCCCTATTTGTGGGATGAATCCATTTCTTTTTATCAGATTATAGCAAATATAAAGCCACAATGAGATGTCACGTCACACCCGTTAGGATGGCTATTTTCAAGAAGACCAAAGAAAATAAGTATTGGCAAAGACGTGGAGAAAAGGGAACCCTTGTCTCCTGCTGGTGGGAATGTAAATTAGTACAGCCATTATGGAAAATAGTAGGGAGGCTCCTCAAAAAACCACAACTAGAACTACTATATGACCCGGCAATCCCACTGCAGGACATATATCCAAAGGAATTGAAGTCAGTGTATCGGAGAGTTATCTGTACTCTTATGTTCATTGCAGCGTTATTCACTAAGCCAAGATACGGAATCAACCTAAGTGCCCATCATTGGATGAGTGAATAAAGAAAACATGGTATATAAACACAGTGGAATACCATTCTACCTGAAGAAAGAAGGAAATCCTGTCATTTGTGCCAACGGGGATGAACCTGGAGGATGTTAAGTGAATAAGTCAGGCACAGAGTGACAAATATAGCATGATCTCACTTATATGTGGAATCTGAAAAAGTCAAACTCATAGAAACAGAGAGTACAGGGGTGGCTACCAGAAAGTGAGGGTAGAGGGACTGGAGAGGTATCCTTTGGCCAAAGGATACAAAATTTCAGGTAGACGGGAGGAATAAATTCAAGAGATCTGATGTACAATATGGTGCCTATACTTGGTAATGATATGTTATATATTTGAAAATTGCTGAGAGTGGATTTTAAGTGTTCTCACTGCAAAAAAAGTGTGATATAATGCATGTTAAATAGCTCGATTTAGCCATTCCACAATGTATACATATATGGAAACCTGTTGTACACCATAAGAATATACAATTTTTACTTCTCAATTAATAAAGAGAGGCAGAGAGGCTCACACCTGTAATCCTAGCACCTTGGGAGGTCAAGGCAGGAGGATGGATTGAGCCAGGAGTGTGAGACCAGCCTGGGCAACATAGCGAGTCCTGTCTCTACAAAAATTTTTTAAAATTAGCCAAGCATGGTGACTTGCGCCTGTGGTCCCACTTTCTTGGGAGGCTGAGGTGGGAGGATCATTTGAGCCTGGGAGGTCGAGGCTGCAGTGAGCTGTGCTCACGCCACTGCGCTCCAGCCTGGGCACAGAGCAACACCCTATCTCTAAAAATACGTAAATAAATAGTGTCCCTCAGGACAGCTATCTGTGGAAGACACCCTTTTAGTCAAATAGATTTGGGAAATTTTAAAACAGTATATATGCCCTTTTGATTATCCTCTGTGGCACATTTGCCAACGGAAGGCCCCAAGAAATGCTGACCAAAAAACCTGTGCATTTAGTTTTAAAACTAGTGGGTTTCATACTCTTTTGTTTGTTTTAACCTTGAAGCACCCCCCACCCCCCACCGCATCTCGTCCCCCCACAACATAATCTTCTCTCAAACGCATGTTGTGCTGGACCACACCAGAGTTAATCCTGACCTGTAGCCAGGTGGGCATAGATAAAAGGAAATATTGTTTGCCAGTCCCTGCTGGAATGATGCCTTTACACATCTGTCTGATCTGATTGCTCCACTGTTTTCTTTCTTCTCTTCCCTTTCCACGGTTCTAGCCTGTTCATCTAGCCCCATGATGGCTGTGGACATCGAGTACAGATACAACTGCATGGCTCCTTCCTTGCGCCAAGAGAGGTTTGCCTTTAAGATCTCACCAAAGCCCAGCAAACCACTGAGGCCTTGTATTCAGCTGAGCAGCAAGAATGAAGCCAGTGGAATGGTGGCCCCGGCTGTCCAGGAGAAGAAGGTGAAAAAGCGGGTGTCCTTCGCAGACAACCAGGGGCTGGCCCTGACAATGGTCAAAGTGTTCTCGGAATTCGATGACCCGCTAGATATGCCATTCAACATCACCGAGCTCCTAGACAACATTGTGAGCTTGACGACAGCAGAGAGCGAGAGCTTTGTTCTGGATTTTTCCCAGCCCTCTGCAGATTACTTAGACTTTAGAAATCGACTTCAGGCCGACCACGTCTGCCTTGAGAACTGTGTGCTCAAGGACAAGGCCATTGCAGGCACTGTGAAGGTTCAGAACCTCGCATTTGAGAAGACCGTGAAAATAAGGATGACGTTCGACACCTGGAAGAGCTACACAGACTTTCCTTGTCAGTACGTGAAGGACACTTATGCCGGTTCAGACAGGGACACGTTCTCCTTCGACATCAGCTTGCCCGAGAAGATTCAGTCTTATGAAAGAATGGAGTTTGCTGTGTACTACGAGTGCAATGGACAGACGTACTGGGACAGCAACAGAGGCAAGAACTATAGGATCATCCGGGCTGAGTTAAAATCTACCCAGGGAATGACCAAGCCCCACAGTGGACCGGATTTGGGAATATCCTTTGACCAGTTCGGAAGCCCTCGGTGTTCCTATGGTCTGTTTCCAGAGTGGCCAAGTTACTTAGGATATGAAAAGCTAGGGCCCTACTACTAGTGACTGCAGGTGACAGGGCGTGGCGGAGCTGCCACAGACAAGCCTAGCTCTGCTCACTGTGCAGTGGAGATGGAAGGCCAGGGAGGAGCAACGTGGAACTTCCATGAGGCCCCGTTTGGGAAAATAAAAGGATCCTCTTCACTTCTTTCTTAAACAGCAAATCCAGCCAGGTTCAGATTACACAACCAGTGTCTCACTCAAAGGAGCAGTGGTGGCTGGCGCGCTTTCGCACTGTGGCAGCCACGAGAGTCTGTGCACGTCTGTGCTGGAAAGGGTATGGATGGGAATCAAGCCTATGCCAGTGCTGATGAAGCTGGAGGAGTCTCTCTTCTGCTCTCCACTCAGATGTGGGACATCAGTCGCCAAAAGCCACTCAGCCCCAGCCACCTCGCGTGAGACCCTCACTGTTCATTGTGTTCATCTTTGGGTGCTCTCTGCCAGCCAGGCCTTTCCTGCAAGCTGCTGTGCTTCCCCGTCCACGTGTATCTCTGCTGTGACACACTGAGCTGACGCACATTTCCAGTGCAGCTGCAGAAGAGAAATGGGATTGGCTCTTGTTTTCTGCAAGTTCATGTTTTGCATTTTATGTTCTTCCACAATTGATCTGATGTTCAGGAAAAGATAATAAAGGCAAATTAGTTAGTGGTTGAGACAGGCATTTCCTCCTCCCGCTTCTTGACCCCACAGATGTATTCCAGCAGAGAGCAACACACCAGTCATCAAAACCCACTGGCTCCTGTGCGGTGTCACAGATTGCAGGGTTCTGACAAGGCAGGACAGTCAAGAGTGGGGACACTTTCAGCTTCTACTTTTGCCTTCTAGGGGGAGCTTTCTAAGTCCCCACATTTACCCCGAGTCACCGGAAAAATCTGATTTTTCCCCCGAAAGCTCAATGACTTTAACGTGCTTGGCTGGTTTGTCTCATTCTTTATGAAAGAATTTTGGGGCCGGGCGCGGTGGCTTATGCCTGTAATCCCAGCACTTTGGGAGGCCGAGGCAGGTGGATCACGAGGTCAGGAGATCGAGACCATCCTGGCTAACACGGTGAAACCCTGTCTCTACTAAAAATACAAAAAAATTAGCCAGGCGTGGTGGCGGGCGCCTGTAGTCCCAGCTACTTGGGAGGCTGAGGCAGGAGAATGGCGGGAACCTGGGAGGCGGAGCTTACAGTGAACCGAGATCACACCACTGCATTCCCGCCTGGGCAGCAGAGCGAGACTCCGTCTCAAACAGAAAAAAAAAGAGAATTTTGAATCTCCTTTCCCAAAGAGTCATCTTTTCTGCTGTGTTTAGGACATTTGATTTGCATATCCAATATCTCCTCGAAACCTTCAGAAAATGGTTTTATCGTGACTGTGATTCACACTATCTAGAACACTTTACCAGCACCCAGGGACATGGACTTGGGTGTTCTTATTTATGGTGTGTATGTAAAGAGATAGGGGAGAAAAACCTCACCCAAGTTCTTATACGTTATTTTAAACGTTTGCCAACTCTGAAATTTCAGAGATTCATTGTTCTTAACCATATTGGACTAAAGTCTGTTGGTTAGTGCTGTTGTAAAAGAGACCTCTGGGGCCGAGTGTGGTGGCTTATGCCTGTAATCCCTGCACTTTGGGAAGCCAAGGCGGGCAGCTCACCTGAGGTCAGGCGTTCAAGACCAGCCTGGCCAACATGGTGAAACCTCGTCTGTACTAAAAATACAAAATTTAGCTGAGTGTGGTGGCAGGCGCCTGTAATCCAGCTACTCGGGAGGCTGAGGCAGGAGAATCACTTGAACCCAGGAGGTGGAGGTTGCAGTGAGCCGAGATCACGTCACTGCATTTCAGCCTGAGCGACAGAGTGAAACTGTCTCAAAAAAGAGAGACTTCCGGGACAGTCATTATCAGATAGGCCCCAAACCTGTGATTTTTCTTGGGCAAGATTGGTGTTTACTTAGGGGTGCTTTAAAAATATATTTTTACAAGTATACTTGTAGGAAGTTGGTTTTTTATTTTCTATTTTTGTTTGTTTTTGGAGTTTGGTTAAACGACTCTTTTATTTTCTGTTTTGCCTTATCTTACTAAAGTGAAGTTTTCCTAAGGCAAGCAAGAAGAGGAGTGGAAGCACAGTTGCCTGGATTTGGAGGCAGAGTTGTCAGGCTTTTCAAGCTAAGAGTCTTGTGCTTGGATTTTCCAGATTAATTTGAAAAGACCTCCCATTTGTGGCTTTGTACATAACCAACAGGCAGATACTGAGTGCCTTGGCTCCTAGAGTTTTGTGGTTGGGTTAGGTTGTTTTTGTTGTTGTTTTGTTTTGGTTTTGTTTTCATTTCTGAAGTTTAAGATGCCTTGACTTTTTAAATGCTCTTAAGGCTATTCGATGTAATTCTTACTCCTAAAACTGGCTGTTCTTAGCCTGAAATCTAATGCTTTGTTTTTTGTACCTCTCCCAGGTGGGTAACACTCTAGGATGACATGATGTTATAATTTTAGGGGAAATCACATTTTTACCTTATGCTGTTACTGGGCAGAACCACGTTTTATGTAAACATACCAGACATCGGGTAACAGACAGTACTTTAAATGTTATAAATTTGGTGATCAGAACTATTAATAGCATAAATCGAACTCAAATGGAAGCAAAACTGATTTCATGCAGGTCCTGAATTTTACTTTGCCTTAAGAAGTGCCCTCCCCACAATGCAGGAGAGGCACAGAGTGCACTGTCATTGACATGTTACCCGACTAAGGATCACTCTGTTCATAAGAAAAAGGCCTGAAGTGACTCTGTTTAATAAAGTCAGTTTAATTTTATCTAATAATGATCTTAAGACATTCCCATGTCAAAATTTGAAATATGGTAATTCAGTGATAACTATCTCTTCTAAAGCAGCCGTAAACCCTCCCCACTACCCGTCTTTCTCCCAGCTCACCCTGGCTTTTTTTGCTGGGGGTGCTGGATGCAAGCCCCCAGCCAGCACACCTGGGATGCTCACCCTGCCGCACAGTTCAGAAGGCAAGTCCTCACCTGCTCGCAAAGACCCTTCTTCTCCAATAAAAGACTCTACTTGCCTGAGTTTCCTCATCAGGGCTGTCATTCAGTGATGTATGGGGGTCTGAAGAATACTGCCTTCTATCTGTCTTCTGTTTACCACTTGCTCCTCTGCTACCCTCCTGCCGCAAACAGTCTTCTTCCTTTTGGCCCAGTTCTGTCCCGTGAAATTCTCAGAAGGCCTCGGGAGCTGCGCTGATGTATTCTCTCCTTGTTTGATAGCTCATCATCAGTAGATAAGCCTACACACTTCAGAGGGTGACAGGTTTCTTACTTGGAGACTTCACTGCACCTTGACTTGTAGATTTGCCTTCAGACAGCTCTTGGTTATGGTTACAAGTGGCCCCCGAGTCCCAGAATCTTTCCCAGGTTGCCCCAGAAAGACCAGCCACCTGTCACAGGTGCAGTTGTCCGGCAATAGGGAAGCAACTTCATTTTTGTTTTATATTTATTCCCTCAAGTGCCCTGAGGAGCATTTGCAAACTGGGTACAATAAATAAGCTGGATTATACAAAGATATTTAATAAATAAGCTTTCAGTATCTATTGGAAGACATGAAGCATTTGAGTGGGTTTCTTTATTTAAAAAATTATTCTACTGGAGCTGGTGAGAAATAATGAAGCTGTACAGTTCTCCAGAAATTAAAACAATGTCAGAGTCAATGGGAGAATTTAATTTACCTTTAAGATTTCATTTTAATGGTGGCAAAATTATACATTCTTAGAAGATGTAAATTTGGAACTGTTAGGAGATTGCTCTGTGGTTTTGATCTTTTCAAACCATTTTCTTTTTGAAAAAAGGCATTAGTTGTAGTCATGGACATTAAATGGGCCATATATGCTTATCAATCAAAAAAGTGTTCCTTTTTTGGAACTGCCCATTTTCTGGATCTTCCCTCTCAATGGATAGGGGATGAAAACCTTGGTTGCCTTTTATTTGTTTCCTCTTCTAAAATTTCTCACCTGAATGTAGTCCTGGGAGAGTCCCGATCACGTCTCTCCTGACATGTTCACTGAAATCGGAGACAAGAAGTTACATGGATGATGGGATCTTATAGGGTCACACAAAGACAATTTGGCAGCTTATCTTAATTTCCTGCAGTGAGACAACACATGTGGAACTGGGAAGGACAGCTGTTGTTACGAGCAGTTTTTCCTGGTCATGGTTGTAAAGCTCTGTAACCCACATTGTAAAGCCGTGAATGTTTTTAGTCTTGTTGACGAGTTTTTAGAGACTGCTGGACCTCTGAGGGCTTTGAGAGTGCAGCTGTGATGATGTTTCACTATTACTTCAGTGTGAATGTAGAACCAAGGACTCATCTTCATTTTATACCTAAAAGTGCCTTGTCAAGAAATTTTTGCATGTTTTAAAAGATAAATATTTTTGTACACAGAGTTCAAGGGGAAATGCACTTTAAAAATCCCAAGAATGGATGTTCTTTGTGTGGTATGAGAGGTTGGTTTGTATCTCAAAAGCAAAAATGTAATAAAGGAAGACAAAACAAAACTGAAAGTGTCCTTCTATTCTTAGAGCCAGAGTAAGTGGAGAAACATTTCAAATCGATATGTTTCCACATGTAGATCTTAGGTTTCCAAAGAAAAAGCTTGCAGTCAATGGCTGAGTTAAATGTGCAAGGCAGAGAGGAGTTAATTGCTTTAGCATAGCTGAGAAGGTAAGTGCTAGGGAAGAGATACAGGAGCTAGTGTTATTCTGCACCCATTTTTAATGATCCTAGGTCATAGGCATTCTTACCCTGTCATTTGCACTTGAAGTACAGTGCAGACAGACGTATTCAAACAAAAGCAGGAAAACTATAAATGGCTACCATAGCTTTTAACTGCTTGAGCAAACAAACTAAGCAGCAAAACAAAACAGCCCCGGATAGGTAGCGGATAGTCACCCTAAGTGAGATTTCCAGAGCTGCTTTTTTCCAAAGTTCAGGACAAGATGCAGGCAGAGTGGGGGTGGGAAGCTGCATCTAGAAGTTCCATGTCAACAAGTCCTCTGCCACCCTGGGGAAGTGGGCGGTGGCTCCAGTGGAAAGGCAGAGTGTATTAAAGTTTAGCAGCTAGTGTGTAGATGCAAAAAGTGAGCTCCGTACGTAACTTTCTCCAGATTTTTACACTCTGCCCACAACTTGCCTTCACAGACATAGGAAGGGTGGAGACGTTAACTCTGGCTTTCGTGAATGTCTATTTGAGGTTCAGTGAGGTTTTAATAATCATTACCTAATCATAAGTTGTGAGACCAACACCTCAGGAATGTCTGGAATAAAAATAAGAAAAAAACACTTTTCTAGAGCAATGTCTCCAGAATGGCAAATGTCCAGCTCTGAGTAATTCAATTGAACATTTACCACTCAGCTTCCATATACAAAGCAGTGCCAGGTGCTTTTCCCACAACCCCCACAGAGGACATTCACATATTCCGGGTGACGCCTCTGGTGAGCATGGAGAGCCACTGGAAGGTATTGGAATTCAGGAAGTCTGGCTTCCAATCCAAGCTCTGCCACCGACCTCTTTGGCTTCCCATCTCCTGTCAGTGGCTCTACTGAAGGGGCCCTGAGCATGTTTAGTAGGAATAAGGTAACCAGGGGCTCTAGCAGTGCCCTGAATGCTTTTGAGAGTCAGCCAACATGTTCATTTTTAAGAGGTTTCTAAATATAGACTCTCATAAGAAGTACCTTGTACACTATTTGTGTCCTCTCCAGGAATCACGGGAGTGAATCACATTCCAGACACTTGCTTGGACTTCATCACATCCTCAGTGACTGGGCTGGAAGAAATATCACAGAGCTCTCTTTTTATGGGTAAAGAGAGGAAGGTGGCTGGGCACAGTGGCTCACATCTGCAATCCCAGCACCTTGGGAGGATAGCTTGAGGCTAGGAGTTCGAGACCAGCCTGGGCAACATAGTGAGACCCCATCTCTTAAAAAAAAAAAAAAATTTAATAGCTGGGTGTGGTACCGTGTCTGTATACCAGCTGTTCAGGGGGCTGAGGCAGGAAGATGACTTGAATCAGGAGTTCGAGGCTTCAGTGAGCTGTGATTGTACCACTGCTCTCTAGGCTGGGCAACAGTGTGAGACTCTGTCACCAAAAAAAAAAAAAAAAAAAAACAAAGAAAGAGCGAGAGAGTGAGAGACAAAGGCCCTGAGTGAGTTTCTTCAAGTCCCAGAGCCCATCAGTGACTGAGCCAGGAGGACGACATAAGTCTTTGTTCCAAGAACTGTCCCTGTGAACCAGAATCAATCTCATAGAACTGAGAGACCAAGATGATGATTCTCAAAAGTTGTCCCCCATGCTGGAGAGATACAGTTTCCAGGAAAGGAGTGAACATAATCATTTTTCTACAGGAAAAGCTGCATTCCTCCCAAGGGCTTCCTCAGCACGTACTAGGACCACAGACCGTGTAGAAGTATGAAAGTTAGAATGAAATGATGTGGGTCTCCGAGGGCCTGATTAAACCTCAGGCTAAATTGGTGGAAGGAAACCACCAAGGAACCGTGGCTGCAGGGGCATTCCAGGAGAGAGGCCGAATTCTTGGCCGCAGCATTCCCTTCCACCAGAATAGAAACCCTGTGTGGCACGGAAAGGCTTTAAGTAAACCTCATTCCTTCTTGTCACCTCCCCTTGGAGGAGAAGAGAGAGAGGGAAACTCAACAGATGCCTTTTGCTTTCTGCATGGGATTCTCTGGTAAGTGACATGCTTGCATTGATGTTGTTCATTCCACAAACACTACTTTGCCTCTCTAGCACTGGGGGACCCGGGGCTGGGCCTTGGATTTGGCAAAGGTAGGATGAGGATACAGAATCGTCAAAATTCTCTGGGGCCAAAGGCATCAATAATGATCCAAGATCTCAGCCCTCTACCCAAAGCTACAAGATCAAGTGGCCGGGTTGGGGGTCGGCAACCTTTTCCTGTAAAGAACTAGGTAGTGAATGTTTTAGGTTTTGCGGGCCACTTGTGGTCTCTGTCACATATTTGTTTTTATTTAAATGCCCTTTAAAAATGTAAAAACCGTTCTTAGCTCGTGGGCCATACTAAAGCAGGACCAGGGCAGACTTTGTCCCTCAGGCCATGGTTCGCCAGCCCCAAGCAAGAGTCACATAGGAAGAGAATTGAGAGCCGACTTGCTGAAGTCTTGAGGCCGCAGGTTATTTTCAGTGGCTTGCTTTCTTTTCTTTTTAAGATGATCATATAATTTATGATCTAAACTGGGACGCTTTCGAGAATGAATGAGGCTCCTGTGAGTTAGCCAGGAGCACCCGGTGTACACTAGGAACACCTTGGGCAAACCTGACAGCACGATCCCTGTCCGAGCTCACCTCTCCTCTGGGATCTTCTTAGACCTCTCCAGAGCTCGGAAAGACCAGGCTGGTCTTGTGCCGGGAATCAGTTCTGGCTGGATTGTGCTCTTTTTGGATGGGTTATCATGGAGTGGTGATTTAGTCTGTGGTTTAGATTTGTTTTTATCGCTTGGTTTTCTTTCCTAATTGTAGTGCTGGTGGCCAAAAGCCCTCTGGAAATTTCAGCCAATTCACTCTTAACAGTAGCTTCTTTAGGAGGAAAGGGGTGATTCATGGTTTGGGCTTATTTCCTACCAGTGCTTTTCCTCCACCTCTCCCCTGTGCCCAACAAATCGAGGCTGGCCAGGCTCCCGAGGAAGCTGCTCATTGTGGACAGAGACATTGAGGCCGGATCTTGCAGTATTCCAAAACCCAAGTCCCCAGAAAGTAACATCAAAGCGCTCCTAGGAATTTAACTAACTCCAGGGTCTCAGCTCATCTTTCTCTAGCCCAGCAAGTTCAAGAGGCCTTAATTAAGCACCGCAGGAGACCAAGGAGGTAGAAATTCATCTCTGAAGTGCTCTCTCTGGGCCCTGGCCCTGAAGACCCCCTGCTTTCCTGGTGGCACCACGAGGGGCAGGCACACATGCTCTTCCATTTCACCTCTGTTGCCTCCTCCCGCTGGTATTTACCGTTACTCCCATGCTGAAGGTGGGTCTGTAATGCCGAGGACCCTAACATTAGTGCTGAAGGGTCCTGGAAAGGCTTCAGGAATCCCCAGACATATCAAAGTGGAACTCTTCACCACCAGAGGAGGGTTAGTTTTCCAGCATCCATCCGAATATCACACATCACCACCTGCACTGCTAGAGCTGATCAGGAAGAAAAACCGGTCACTGCTTCAGACGGGCTCCCTTCCAGAGTCACTGTGTGGATTGCCTTCTGGTCAACATCTTGGTCTCATCTGAGTGTGGAATTAGCCAGTTGAAATTTCACTGATTTTATTATCATTACACCATTTTATTATAAATTATTATATTAATTCTTCATCATTAGTCAATTATTTATTGAACCTATTACTGAAAGAATTCTCCTAATTTTTGTTTTTTGTTTTTGTTTTCACATAGAGTCTCACTCTGTCACCCAGGCTGGAGTGCAGTGGCACAATCTTGGCTCACTGAAACTGCCACCTCCCATCTCCCAAATATTTTCATAAGATCTTTTTGAACACTGCTTTGCACGTTTGCTCATGCAACTAAGTGTTTGTTCACACAAATTTTCCAGGGGCTTTTCTCATCAATTGATCAATCACCTCACCACCTTGGGCTCTCGTCGCTTCTATTGGTCACACACTATATTACACACACAGACTTTGAAAACAAACATTTTTTAAACAGTATTTTCTCCAGAAAAAAGTCCCTCTCATCCTGGTTGATTTTCCCACTTTGAAATGTCATGGCTTTGCCCCAGGCCTTCTGTAAGGCAGGACACACTCTGTCCTCCCTGGGCAAGCAACACTGAATAAGTGACATTCTGCTGTCAGTGGCAGAAGCCAGACAGACAATGACAGGGGGCACTCATTCCAGCCCTCCAGGACACCACTCACGCCTCATCTCAGCCTCTGCACTCCCTCCACCAGACAGGGAATGCAGAGGCCCAGGTCTCCAGCTGCAACCTCAGTCCTGTGCAGCTGAACTCAGACATGAGCCGCTGGTGGTTTTCTAACATTTTATGAAGACATGGAATGTGTTCTTAAATCAAATCCAATGTGAAGCCATGGACAAGTAGGTAGAAAACAGGGCCGGGCGCGGTGGCTCATGCCTGTCATCCCAGCAATTTGGGAGGCTGAGGCGGGCGGATTACGAGGTCAGGAGATCGAGACCATCCTGGCTAACATGGTGAAACCCCGTCTCTACTAAAAAATGCAAAAAAATTAGCCAGGCGTGTGGCGGGCTCCTGTAATCCCAGCTACTGAGGAGGCTGAGGCAGGAGAATGGCGTGAACCCGGGAGGCGGAGCTTGCAGTGAGCCGAGATTGCACCGCTGCACTCCAGCCTGGGCCACAGAGCAAGACTCCGTCTCAAAAAAAAGAAAGAAAAAGAAAAAAAAGAAAATAGGCCGCCCAAGATAGAAATCGCACCCATTCCCCCTCCCTGAAGCATCTCCTGAGAGCCCTAGGGCCCCAGAAATACGGGTGTAAACCCTTTCCTTCCCACACAGGAATTCCACTCTCCCGCCTCCTAGGCTAATGAATGTGGTTGAAGGATATCCTATAGAAAAAGGCAAAAGCAAGTGAACAAGCAAAACCTGCATGGGAAGGAAACACAGCTGTGGACCCCAAAATAAATGTGGACTCTGGTTATGTTTTCCTTCTGTTCTCAAGGATACTTACCATGTCCTTTCACAAAAAAAAAAATTGGCTTGTTCACACAGAACCACACTTGAGCTGCCTATTATATATATGTGATTTATATTTACATTCATACATTAAACTGCTTGACAGGGCAACGTCTATTCCACACTAATATAACACATAAGACAAAATTATTGAGTGCCTCTATGGGCAAGGGTATGACTGGGAATAAGTACTCTATGGGCATGTAGAAAGAGATAGCATGTCATTGTCACCAAGCTATTTAGAATCCTCCAATAGTTACTTTAGTCTTTGCCCAAATTATACATTTTTTACTCCATTTGCTTGCATCTAAGACCAGAGAGTCCTCATGTTTCCTTTTTACAATTTAAACTGTTGTTTTGAAATAATGGCAGATTCACATGCAGTTTTAAGAAATAATACAGACAGGTTCCATGTAACATTGACTCAGTTTTCCCCAGTGGTAACATCAGGCAAAACTAGAATACAGTATCACAACCAGGATATTGACGTTAATCCAGTCAGGATATAATTTCTACTTTGTTTTTGAGAGAGAGGGTCTCAGTGTCACCCAGGCTGGAGTGTAGTGATGCGATCATGGCTCACTGCAGCCTCAACCTCCCAGGCCCAGGCAATCCTCGCACCTCAGCCTACCAAGTAGCTGGGACCACAAGTGTGTGCCACCATGCCTGCTAATGTTTTGTATATATATATATATATATATATATATATATATATTTTAATGTAAATGGGATTTTGCCACATTACCCAGGCTGGTCTCAAACTCCTGGACTCAAGTGACCCTCCTGCCCCAGCCTCCCAAAGTGCTAGGATTACAGGCATGAGCCACTGCTCCCGGCCCCAGTCAGGATATAGAACCACAAGGATCTTTCATGTCCTTTGTAACCACAGCTCCTCTCCTCTCCCTGGCTTTTCTCCTCCCCCACCCCACTCCCACCATGGTCCTTGACCCTGGCAACCACGAATCTGTTCTCCATTTCTTTCATTTTGTCAGTTCAAGAATGTTATATAAGTGGAATCCTACATGTAAACTTTGAGGATTGGCTTTCCCCACAGTTTATTTCCCTGGAGATTCATCCAAGTTGGTCCATGTATCAACAGTTTGTTCCTTTTCATTGCTGAGGACTATTCCACAGTACAGATTAATAATATACTGATGAGCGTTTGAGTTGTGTCTAGTTTGGGTTTATTATGAATAAAGCTATTATGAACATTCATGTACAGCTTTTTGTGCAAATACACATTTTTCATTTCTCTGGGATGGATGCTCAAGAGTGAAATTTCTGGGTTTATGGCAGTCTCATGTTTAGTTTTATAAGAAACTGCCAAACTATTTTCTGGAGTGGCTATACTATTTTACAATGCCACCAGTAACGTATCCGGTTTCTCTGCATCCTCGTCAGCTTTTTGTGTTGTCACTGTTTTTATTTATTTATTTAGAGGCAGAGTCTCACTATGTTGCCCAGGCTGAACTTGAACTCCTGGGCTCACACAGTCTTATAGGTATGCACCACACCTGACCACTGTTGTGACTACTTTTTATTTTAGCAATTCTGAACGGCATGTAGTAACATCTCATCGTGGTTTTAATTTACATTACCTCAGTGGTTAATTATGCCAAAGCTTTTTGTGTGCTTCTTTGCCGAATGTATATCTTATTTAGTGAAATGTATGTATGTCTTTGGCCCATTTTCTAAGTAGACTGGGGTTTTTTTCTTTCACTATTGAGTTTTGAGAGATCTTTGTATATTCCAGGTGCTAGTCTTTTGTCATATGTGTTATTTGAAAATATTTCTCTCAGTCTGTAGCCTGCCTTTTCATTCTCCTCACATGGACTTTCTCATAGTAAAGTTTACTTTTTATCTATTTTTTCCTTTGTGGGATCACGCTTCTGATGTCAAGTATAAGAACTCTTTGCCTAGGCCTACATCTCAAAGATTTTTTCCTTTGCTGTCCTCCAAAAGTTTTATAGTTTTACATTTTAAATTTACAGATATGATGCATTCTGACTTAAATTTGATAAGGTGAGAGGTTTGGGTTGAGGTTTATTTTTTTGCCTATACATGTCCACTTACTTCAGTACCATTTGTTGAAAAGGCTTTCTTTTGCGTCTTTGTCAGAAAGCAGCTGGAGATATTTACATAGGTTTATTTATGGGTTCTTTCATATTTATATAGGTTAATTTATGGGTTCTCTATTCTGTTTCAATTATGTATATACCTATCCCTGAACAATACCATAATATCTTGAGTACTGTGGCTATATAGTAAAACCTAATATGAGATAGAGTAATTCCTCACACTTTATTCTTTTTTTTTTTTTTTTTTTTTTTTTTTTTTTGAGATGGAGTCTTGCCTTGTCACCCAGGCTGGAGTGCAATGGCGCGATCTCAGCTCACTGCAAGCTCCGCCTCCAGGGTTCACGCTATTCTCCTGCCTCAGCCTCCCGAGTAGCTGGGACTACAGGCGCCCGCCACCATGCCCGGTTAATTTTTTGTACTTTTAGTAGACACGGGGTTTCACCGTGTTAGCCAGGATGGTCTCGATCTCCTGACCTCGTGATCCGCCCTCCTCGGCCTCCCAAAGTGCTGGGAGCCCCAAGATTTTTTTAAATTCTAGAATTTGTGTCTTTTCATATAAACTCTAGAGTAACCTTGTCTCTGTCTACAAAAACTGTTGCTGGGATTTTGATCAAAATTGCATTACATCTGGCCGGGCGCGGTGGCTCACGCCTGTAATCCCAGCACTTTGAGAGGCTGAGGCGGGCGGATCACGAGGCTGAGGCAGGAGAATGGCGTGAACCCGGGGGGCGGAGCCTGCAGTGAGCCGAGATGGCGCCACTGCACTCCAGCCTGGGCGACAGCGAGACTCCGTCTCAAAAAAAAAAAAAAAAATTGGATTACATCTGTCGATCAATTTGGGAAGAATTGACCTTTTTCTACATTTAGTCTTTTAATCCATAAACATAGTATGTCTCTCCATTTATCTAGATATTCTTTAATTTCTTTAATAAGCATTTTGTTATTTTCAGTACAGAAATCCTTCACATAAGTATTTCATTTTATTTGGAGTGACTTATGTTGTGTTCTAATTTTGGTTTCTGGATGTTCATTTTTATAAATAGAAATGCAATTAATTTTTATGTGTCAATCTTATATCCTGCAAGGTTGCTGGATTCACTTATTAATTCTAGGAGTTTTCACAGATTACTTGAGATTGTCTATGTAGATAATCATGTCGTCTGAAAACAGGGGCAGTTTAATTTCTTCCTTTCCAATCTTTACAGTATTCATTTATTTATCTTGCACTCTTGCAATAGCTAGAGTTTCTAGCACCATGTTGAATAAGGGTGGTGAGAGTAGACATCCTTGCCTTGTTTCTAACCTTAGACAGGAAGCAGTCTTTCACCATTAAGCATGATGTTACCTGTAGGCTTTTAATAGCTACTCTTTATCAAGCTACAGAAGATTTCCTTTATTCCTAGTTTGCTGAGAGTTTTTATCATGAGTACGTGTTGGCTTTTGTCGAATGCTTTTTCTGTGTCAATTGATATAACTGTGTGATTTTTTCTTTCTTTGCAGCGGATTATATGGATTGATTTTTTAAATATTGACCTAAATTTGCATACTTGAAATAAATTTTGTCATGGTGTTTAAGTCTTTTAATATACTTCTAGATTTGATTTGCTAATATTTTGTTGGGGATTTTTGTATCTAAGTTTGTAAGCCATATTAGTCTTTTTTTTTTTTTTTTTAATCAGTGTAATACTAGCCTCATAAGATGAAGTGATAAGCATTCCCTCCCCTTTTGTTTTCAGGAAGAAATTGTGTAAAATTGTTAAATTTTCGCCGGGCGCGGTGGCTCATGCCTGTAATCCCAGCACTTTGGGAGGCCGAGGCAGGCGGATCACGAGGTCAGGAGATTGAGACCATCCTGGCTAACACGGTTAAACCCCGTCTCTACTAAAAATACAAAAAAATTAGCTGGGCGTGGTGGCGGGCGCCTGTAGTCCCAGCTACTCGGGAGGCTGAGGCAGGAGAATGGCGTGAACCCGGGAGGCGGAGCTTGCAGTGAGCCGAGATGGTGTCACTGCACTACAGTCTGGGCGACAGAGCAAGACTCCGCCTCAAAAAAAAAAAGAAAAAAATTTTATTTAAATGCTCAATGGAATTCACCATGGAAACCTTCTGGGCCTAGAAATTTCCTTTTTGGGAGCTTTTAAATTATAGTTGAATATCTTTATTAGTTACAGGACGTAATAAGTAGTATTTTCATTAAATATTTTTCCACACTTTCTCATACATTTGAGCACTCAATAAATATTTAATCAACTGTTTTTCTCAGTGGATTTTGCAAAGACCCTTTCTAAATTAAAAGGGACATCACAATAACCAATCATATAAACTAATTCTTAGTAAAATAAAATGCTCTCGTCTCCTGTGCAAAGTTCTTGTTCTGTTTTTTGTAGTTTCTAACAGCTTTGATATTTTAGGCAAGTCAGAACTTGCCTAAACAAATGCTTCATTAACAAACCTTTTTTATGTGTGATTACTCTGGTATTTTCTACTCTATTCTATATTATTTTTAAAAAATACTGGTTGCAACTCATTAAATTGATTTCAGGACCCACTAATGGGCTACAACCTGCAATTTGAAAAACAGTGATTTAAATATTCTCTCATGTCCCTTCTACTTCAGATATTTGCTACTAAAGGTGTCTACTGCTTTATTCTCTTGACTACAACACAAAGCATATTAGACACCTACAGCACTGTTATTTTACAATTTATTTTCAAATCACTTCCAAAGTCGATTTAAGATAGTTTACAATAAATGCAGAGTTATGTTTTTAAGGGAAAAGGGAAAAATGAGAAATGATGGAGAAAGTACTTTTCCACTTTTCAGGAATTAAAATAGTCATGGAAAGAAAAATAAAGTATCAGGAAATACAGGTATCAAGTCATTTAGTCTAAATTACTTCTCACTGTACTTTGTTAAAAGGAGATCAGAATTTCAAAGACCAGAAGAGGTTGCTGAGAGTGGAATTGTCCAGCCATTGCAGCCCTCCTTCCACGGGAGAAAAGAAAGAGGTCTTGGACAAATGTGGGATTCCTGTGGTCTGGAAGTAAATCTGAGGTAAATAGACCATCTCTCCACCACCAGAGCCTGAGCCTGGCTTATCCTCTTAGCTAGGAAAGCAGCAGCTACAAGTGCTGTTCGCTATTCTTCCTGTAATTACAAGAAAAAGAAAAAGACAAAAGACAAAACTCATTGAGAAAGAGAGGTTTGAACTGTGGCCAGAGAATGGTCTTTCCAGTGTTATCATAGGACACACTTTTCACTCTGTTTTCCCTGTCACTTTGCCATCCTTGTGACATTTCCTTATCACTTTGCCTATTGTTCAGGATGTGGCCATGCTTCATAGTTTTCATGAGGTCCAAGACAAAAAACTGTAGAACCACAGATGTGAAGAGATCGTGAGGTCCAACCTCCCGATTTTATAGATCCAGACAATGAGGCCCAGAGAGGTTAGAAGACTTGCTGAACATTGAACAGAGAGTTCATGGCAGAAGCCAGCCTACACCTATGACCCTTGCTGTCCTCCCAAGCCTGGATGTCCTGCTCTTCAGCTCTGAGCTTAAAGTAGCACGATTCAGCAGTAGGGTCATTTGCCCACATATACGGAAGTCATTCTTGCATCCACTTCTGTCAGCCTATAAATCAGAGGCAGGGAGGGAGAGAGAGTAGGTGAAAGAAAAAAGGGCTTTGCTGCTTCTGCCTTGCTTAACCAGTTCAGAAATTTACGGATTTCAGCCCTATCTAAAATATGAATTAGTGAGGTGTTGGAACACTGTAGAAAAATAGATGTGAGCCCTTACCCAGTGTTATGGTTAATGGTCCAGCTGGGAAAAATCAAACCTTGTCACCGGCTAGTAGTCACCTACTAATTGCAAGACACTGTGGGTAATTACATAAGCCTGCCATACTGCCTCTTGCCCTCAAGGAGCTTACAATCAATTTGGAAGTGCAAGCAAGTACTCCTTGACCAAGTGACTGGATGTGTGAGCTCATAAAAGGTAACCAGTCATCCTTGATCATAGAAACACGTTTATTTTCCAGTTGCTAATTTCAACAGCGGGCAAAACACAGGATCACTTAATGTCTTGAGTTTTATTCCAATGTCATGCTGCCCATTAGGACCAAGATCAGGCCTGTGGGATTCACAAAGCTGCCACAGTTTCACTCATAACTGCACACAGTGGGTGGGTATCTAGAATATGTGGAAGCAGTTACTACAATCACTTCTATTTCTGGTAGTTACGGTTATTTTGCTCCCATCTGGTGGAGGCTGGAGACCATGTTCCCTCACAAACATGACAGCAGTAATGGCATTAAAGCATTACAAACTGTACCCCTGTGGGTGAGCACCTGTTTGTATCTCTTAGAGGGGGCTCCAGTGGCATTTGAGTGGGACAAGACGTTGTCATGCAGGACTGCCTTGTGCACTACAGAGCATTTATATCCCTGGCTCTTGCTCACCAAATGTCAGTGGGCCCCAGGCATTGTGACAATGCATAACACCCCCACGTTTCCAAATGCCCCTTGCCAGAAAAACCAATGTTCTATTTTTTCATCTTCTTTCATCAGGCATGATGCATGTCTAGACGAGTTGACAAGCATTCTGCTGATTTAGCGACATTAAACCCAGCACTGATAGCCTTATTCCCGCTGCAAAAACCAAGGCTGACGTGCACTGCAGGATGCACAAGCACCATCCCTCCCACCCTTCTGGCCATGATTACCATCCTGAAGTAGACTTAGAGATATGGAAGACCCTTTCATTTCAATGTTGATATCGTCCCGACAGACAGGCTGTCTTATCTGTCTCCTAAGGTGAAACAAAGGAGTAATCTTGGCAGGTAATCTCAGTGTAGCCTTTGCTTACTTCTTCTTCTAATTAAGAAACAAAAATCTGGCTTCCTTCCTCTCTTTCCTAATTCAGCCCAAGAGTCACTGAGCAGGCACAAGAAAGGGAGGTGACAGTGGCCTGGCAAGAGTGGTATTGGAGCAAGGTGGCAGAAGCAGCTGGTGGCACCTGGCAATGGCAACAATTATGAGGACAGATTCAGAGCAGGGTGAGAGGCCCCTCATGTAGTCGAGAGAATGGCTACCTACAGGGGCCAGTAAACAAACATACTAAGGATGATGCAACCCCAAGACGTCAAGACAGAAGTATAGATGTAAAGATGTATGTGTATATACACACCTTTGTGTGTTTGCATATATGGACGGATAAAAATACATCTATTTCCTAATTCTGTCCACTGAGAGGGCCCAGGGAAGCAACAACTCTAGTAGCAAAGGGCCTACTTTGCATCTAGATCTTGGCTTCTAAATATCACTCTCCATGAAAAGGAACTAAGGCTCCTCAAAGAACTGGCTGATCCAGACCTGGAACAGAAAAAGCACCAGATATCCTTGAAGGGCTTTTTGTGAGGAAGTTCTCAAAGAATGAGAGGCACATGGCAAAAGGTGCAGAATCCAGCTTCATAGGAAACCAACTGTCAAAATCTGGGTCTACATGAACATCAAAGTAATTAATGAGAGTAAGGTTTGTAACCCATTGAATAATAGAAGAATAGAATGGATGATAACACATTTGTTTGTAAAAACGGGAGGTACAAAAGTTCTTCCTTACAATAGTATGCCGATTTATTAATGTAAGGGGAATAATACAATTAGAAAATTACCATTTGGCAAACATCACAGTAATAATTAATTCCAGCAAGAAACATCAATGAGTTCTAAAACAAGGAGGTAAAAATGGAATGAATAATGGAATATTTACATAATACTTATTAACTACAAAAGAAAAAAGATGGGGCAGACACCATCTTAATCAAGCAATCAAAGTTACCATCACCAATGGGGCAAAATAACATCATGGGCTATTTGATAGTGGGCAGTGAGACCACTGCATCACTTCTGTGACATTCTTGTCCAAAAGGCGTGACCTGGTCTAACCATGAAAAAGCAGAGGACAACCCAACTTGAGAATCATTCTACAAAATGTAACCTTCATAAAGGTCAAGAGCATGGAACTCAGAGAAGGATCCAGATAGAAAGAGGCTAGATCATAGGATCATAATTTGGACCCATTGGTAGCAAGCACATCATGAGTAAAACTTGAAAGGAGTCTGAATGAAAGGCATACGGGGGCCGGGTATGGTGGCTCATGCCTGTAATCCCAGCACTTTGGGAGGCTGAGATGGGAGGAATGCTTGAGACCAGGAGTTCGAGGCCAGCCTGGTAAACATAGCAAGACCCCATCTCTATAAAAGAAAAAAAAATTATAAATTAAAAAAAAAAAGAAAAGAAAGAAAGGCATGCAGGAGTCTTTTGTAGTAGTCTTGCAACTTCTCTATACATTCGAAATTGTTTCAAAATAATCTTTTTAAAATTGAGACAGATTAATAATTATAGATTGCATCTTATAGATTATAAAGATGATGTAAATATATGTCAAGTATATGTCAGAGTGCCTCAAAGTGCAGTCTGTAGACAGACGTTGGTCTGCAGACGGTTACCTTGCCACATCAAGAGGTGAAGCTTGCACCATAATGTGTGTCAACCGCCTCACCAAGCACACTGTAGTTTAGCGGACAGGTTTTTAGTGCCTGACTTTCTCCATGAAGAAAGCAGTATGTTGATTTACAGTTTGCACCACGCTCCTCAAGCATCAGAGACCCACACTTTGAGTAGCGCTGGTGTAAATGACAATTAATCATGAGTTGAACTTCATAAACGGGCATGTTAAATTGGAGTGTTCTCTAAGGTGAGAGTCACAGTTAAAAAATAGTCATAATCATATGAGCCCCAGGATCCCAGTTCAGAACATACTCATGGAGGCATTTTGGATGGAAAAGATAGACTTGGCATGCACATGACCTAGAATGGACCATAAATCAGTCCAATAACCTCATGGACCTTTTTGTTCAAGATTATTTCTATCTATCGGCATCTCTACAGTCCTCAAAGGAGGAGAATGCCTCCCACACACCCTTAGTTCATCGTTGACTCTTCAGGAAATGAACACCAGTGAGACTCTTGCAATAGAGAAGAAAAAGTAATAATTTAAGACTCATTCATGTTTAAGTGAGTTAGTACAGAGGAAAAGCTGTTTCATACAACTTTAGGAAAAACATCTCTTCATCCTAAAAGAGATATTTCTTCAAGTGCTGGTGTCTAGCAAACTGGAAAACAAATGTCTGCACATGATTTTTTTTTTTTTTTTTTTTTACAGGTGGGGTCTTGCTATGTCACCCAGGCTGGAGTGCAGTGACTATTCACAGGCATGATCATCGCACACTACAGTGTTAAACTCTGGGCTTAAGCCATCCTCCTGCCTCAGTCTCTCAAGTAGCTGGGACCACAGGCACATGCCACCATGCCTGGCTTGTACTTGATTTTTAAAGTTCTTGGCAATGTGTTTCTTAACAATTATCTTTGAAAAATTGTCTTTTGTTGGCATGTTCTTCTCATGCAATTGGAGACAGTTCTTCCTGCTAGTTTCACATTTTACCTTTTTGGTGGGTTCTACTTGCCCATTCCACACTGATAGGAGCATTTTTTTCCCCCTTTCTTTCCTTTTATTATTTTTATTTTTTAACTTCCTGTGTTAGGCACCAAACCATACTGCTCTGCCCCTGTTACCAAGAACTTATGTTGCCAGTATAAATAAGATCACCTGCTTTGTGCATTGCCGTTCAGAGTGGCAGGGAGTTCAAGATCCAGTGGTTTCGGGGTAGCACTCCAGGCTGGTATACATGGCCTTTTGGACCATTCAAGTCTACCAGCAGTAAGGAAGATTAAAGAAATTGGCAGGATCTTCAGTGTCAGCCAATATTATCAGCAACTGCTGCACATTCCGGAAGAACATCAACACCCCTACTTTGACCCACACGAATCAATCGTCCTTGCTGCACCAGTTCTTCTGTAGCACCTGGAAGTGCTGCCAAACAAGGGGCTGACTGGCCAGGGTTGGCTCTTCCAGCCAGCATTGTTTGTCCTGGGTCTCCAGAAACTGTCTCATCAGCACTGAATCTGCAAATATGAGTAACATACACCTGGACAGAGCCCTGGAGGGGGCAGAGAGGTTTTCAGGGATCAGCAGACGCGCTGAAAAACGGATCGTCTTGCTGCAGGTGTGGTGGCTGCCAAGGCAGGCAGAGCCCTTTGGATAGAGCCACATCTGAGGTATCTTTTCATTTCCAAGCTTTAAAAAAGCACGATGTTTCTTGATGTAGGTTCTCCATCGTCTGGCCTCTGCCTATTCCCATAGCACATCCCCTGCTGGCCACTGCCACACACTGTAGACGTCCACCAATGCCAAGTTGCTTGGTGGGCCCCACACACCCCATGCTATTTCCCACCTCCAGGCTCTGCTCATAAAATTCCTTCTGCCCTGTTGACTAGAGGAGTGCCCAGCATGGAGTAGCCACCCAGGCATGATTATGGAACTGAGCTCATGAGACTTCAGGTCCCTTCTCTTCATGTGGAGTCTCGCTGTGTCTCCCAGGCTGGAGTGCAGTGGCGTGATCTCGGCTCACTTGTCTCCCAAGTTCAAGCAATTCTCCTGCCTCAGCCTCCCGAGTAGCTGGGATTACCGGCATGTGCCACCACGCCCAGCTAACTTTTTATATTTTTTAGTAGAGATGGGGTTCACCATGTTGGTCAGGCTGGTCTCGAACTCCTGGCCTCAAATGATCTGCCCGCCTCGGCCTCCCAAACTGCTGGGATTACAGGCGTGAGCCACCACACCTGGCCTGCGCACTCTTTAAGGCTTCTCCTTGGTCCATTCCCCATAGACATGAGATCTGACCTGTCTCAGCATAGGCTAAGCCTATCCCAGAGGCATAGATGCTGATCAGAATTGTAAGCTGGAGAAGATAACACTTTCCATTAGATTAACCAACAACATGAATACAGCTTCTAGAAATATCTCAGGTAATGAATGAGACTGCCTCATCCAAATTACAAACATATCCAGGTTGTGATAATATCTGTTTCTGTTAACATAATGGTCCTTAGTTGCTATGGTAATCTTCTCCGTTGACCTGACTCTAGTGGATGAGGTTATCAGGGCCCTATCACTTCCCAGCATCAAAGCAATCTTCTAATCTGCCACACAAACTAGGGCATTTTTGAAGGTCAGAAGGATTGCTATTTATAATACACCAATGCAACAGGTATAAATAAGACAGTTCCTGGCAAATTGAGATACATGGTGACATTTCCTATCAGACTTTAAAGTATCTCACATAAATAGATCCTCAACAAGTGTTTCCTGGATGAATATATTTGTTTTTTCCTCCGTTGTAATTTAAGTTTCTTAAGAACAGAGGTGGCTGGGCGCGGTGGCTCACGCCTGTAATCCCAGCACTTTGAGAGGCCAAAGCTGGTCGATTACCTGAGGTCAGGAGATCAAGACCATCCTGGCTAACACGGTGAAACCCCGTCTCTACTAAAAATACAAAAAATTAGCTGCACGTGGTGGCGGGCGCCTGTAATCCCAGCTACTCGGGAGGCTGAGGCAGGAGAAGCCCTTGAACCCGGGAGACAGAGGTTGCAGTGAGCTGAGATTGAGCCATTGCACTCTAGCCTGGGCAACAAGAGCGAAACTCTGTCTCAAAAAAAAAAAAAAAAAAGAACAGAGGCAATGTCTAATGTTTCTTCTAGATTACTCATAATGATGGATATACCATAGCCACTCAAAAATATCTGTTAACTGTCTTATGATGAGATGTTCTTTCCAAGTGAAAATTCCCTATGGGCAACTGGAAGTACAAGAATAGAACTTTGCTGAGAAGTTAAAGCTAGAATATTTGGGTAGGTCTTTAGAGAATATAGGGTTAGCTTGGAATAGAAACCCTCCCAAGATACTATAGACACCTAAGAAAAATCAGTGAAGAGATCTGAAATATATCCATAGGAGGATGAAAGCCTCCTGTTGTTTGCTGAGCTAGAGCAAGATAGAAGTCATGAGCTTTTACTAATCATTGTATTTTATAGTGTGAAGGGGGAAGAGAACTGGAGATTTTTTTTTTAGCCAAAAAAAAATAGTAATAAAATGGCTAATTTTAGGTAACATCAGCCTTTGGCAATAATACTTGAATGCAATAGAATAAAAAGACAGCTGGGTGCAGTGGCACATGCCTGTAATCCCAGCACTTTAGGAGGCCAAGGCAGGCAGATTGTTTGAGCCCAGGAGTTCGAGACCAGCCTGGTCAACATGGTGAAACTCTGTCTCCACAAAAAAATTTAAAAATTACCCGGGCATGTTGGTGCATGCCTGTGGTCCCTCCCAACTACTCGGGAGGCTGAGGTGGGACGATCGCTTGAGCCTGGGAGGTCAAGGCTGCAGTGAGCCGAGATCACATCACTGCACTCCAGCCTGGGTGACAGAGCGAGACCCTGTCTCAAAAATTTAAAAAAAAAAAAAAAAAAAAAAAAACAACAAAAAAGAATAAAAAGACTCTTACATAGCTGACTAGCTGACACAAGAAAGAACTGTGGAACACCAGTGACTCCTACTGCCTCATTTTACAGATGAAAGAATTAAGGCCCAGGGAATTTAATTGACATCCAGTTACCTGTTCCCCTTCTGGAAAATTCTTGCTGTGAAAATTTGACATTTGATTAGCCATTGGTGAGACTTCAGCAGTCCTGGGGAAACTTCAGTCTTCATTCCAAGGTATGGCTACAGTTTTGCCCCTTTAGATTAGAAACTAGAAACTTTTGAAGTTTTGCCAAGCTAAGGGCCTTCTTCTCCTTGTTTGGTAACTCTAACTCCCATGAGGTCTAGGTTAGCAAATGTGGATCTGTTCTCGCAAGCAGCAGGAGAAGTGGAAAGAGGGAGATGGTAAATGGAAGTCATAAGCAAAAGTGGTGCCACCTGGCCTTCCCATGTGTGAAAATCCAGCCCTCGTCATCACTGGCCCACAGTGTGTAAGATGCTGACATGTGATTTAGACACCCCCAGAACCAACTGGAGAGGTCGGTCTCACAGTAAATTGAGGCCATAAATTTATGACAAACAAGAAAGCTCCATTTTAAGTCCTGTTATAGTTTCAGCAGTGGCCAGAAATGTCACTTTTGCAAGGTCACTTTATTTTTGCAAGGCTCTCCTGGTATTTCAAGAATTCTCATTGTCACAAAATTATGGGAAGTAACACCTTGGACATTTGCACTTGGACCACTGCAAGGTTAAATTCACTCCCCAAAGTTATGCAGTGAGCCCAAAGGAAGGCATATTTTATGCCCATAACCTCATTCTAAAGCCATTTCTGAGAAGATCAGGAAGGTGAATTCTTCCATTGGCTGTGTCCCAAGCTGTCATTCTCAAAAAGACTGCCGTAGCACACTGAGTCGGCCCCATGCCTCTTCCTGCATTACTTCTTTTTTTTCCCAAGCAGGATGATTTTTCCAGCACAATTATTTAAATAAAAATAATACAGGCTGGGTGCAGTGGCTCACGCCTGTAATCCCAGCACTTTGGGAGGCCAAGGCGGGTGGATCATGAGGTCAGGAGTACGAGACCAGCCTGGCCAAGATGATGAAACCCTGTCTTTACTAAAAATACAAAAATTAGCCAGTTGTGGTAGCGGGCGCCTGTAATCCTAGCTACTTGGGAGGCTGAGGCAGGAGAATCGCTCAAACCCAGGAGGCAGAGGTTGCAGTGAGGCGAGATCGCACCACTGCACTCTAGCCTGGGTGACACAGCGAGACTCCATCTCAATAATAATAATAATAAGACTAGATGGAGATGAGGGAGGGGAGATGTGAACCCTTAGAGATTCCAGAAACTGACAAGTTTCTTGTGCCAAGAAGGCACTAGCAAGAGCCTTAGTTTAATTTACTTAATGAAAACTTATGGATTGATGAATTCTTGGGAGAAGAGGCCCTGTGTCCAATCTACCGTGCTGTTAATATAGGGCTAGGCGTGGTACTGAAGTGGCATCATGGAAACTGAGTTCCGCAAGGAAGTCATAAATGGAAACAACCTTTTCTGCCCACCTTGGACAGATTAGGCAGGGAGACAATTTTGGTAGGTGGGAAACATAAGCTGCCCAACTCCAGAGCACAGCCTCCCAAGATGGATGACTATCATACCCTTGAGTTTTCTCCCTTTGTAGGAATTAGTGCCTTATGATTGAAAAAAAAAAAAAAAGTGACCAGGCCAGGATCAAGGCACTCCTAAGGAATGGCAGGCCAGCAGCACGGATTAAAACTTGATAGATCTGGGGGAAGCGGGGTTAGACAGAGTCAGAGATCTCGAGAACACCACATTAAGAACCAGAGATCCTGGCTTTATTATATGAATTTCATTACTGGAAAATATCTGGGAATTAAAGATATCAGTGATACCATGGATACTCTAAGATTCATGGTCCATAAGCAAAATTTTGCTGAGAGATTTATTTCTGGTTCCTGGCCACCAGAAACCAACCATAGAATTAGGCTAAGTAATTTCAGGAAGAGATCTCAGTTCACTCTGACTTACTGAGGAGCAAGTAGAGGTAAAGACAGGAACAGTGAATTGCCCAAGATCACACAGGGGTTAACAACAACAGGGACCCACAGTCCAATCTCATGACTCTCAGACAAAAGCGTATCTTCCACATCCACAGGACTCCCTCCCTCTGGAGCCCCCTGGACTGCAGGCGTCTCTTGGATGCGGATGTTCCCCCTACACAAGGTAATCAGAAGGGTAAATATTCAGGGTGTGTATTTACATGACCATGAACCATGCTACTTTTTGTCTGTGAGGAAGGATGGATAAAACCTGTATCTACCACATTCTGATAAGAAAAGGGGCCTTCAAGTCAGGCAGATCTAGATTTTAGTCTTGCTTCCAAACACACTCAGCTGTGTGACAGAGAGACAACTTACTTGATCCCTTTAGGTTTCAACTCACTGATTTGCAAAATGAGAACAATACTTGCCCCTAATGTAAAGGTTTGGGGGAAGGCCAAATGAGATAATGTTTATGGAACATTTAGCACAGGGCCTTGCAAAGAATACATAAGCAATTATTATTACAGTTGACCCTTGAATAATGTGAAAGTTACGGAGGCTGACCCCCGCCATGCAGTCAAAAATCTGCATATAACTTTTGACTTCTCAAAAACTTAACTACTAATAGTTGACTTTTGACTGGAAACCTTGCCAATACTATAAACAGTCAATTAGCATATATTTTGCATATGTATTATATTCTATATTCTTATAATAAAGTAAGCTAGAGAAAAGAAAATGTTATTAAGAAAATCATAAGGAGAAGAAAATACATTTACAGCACTGTACTGTATGTATTGATACCGTAAGTTTCCATTGCCTGTTCACAAGATGAATAATCTGTCTGAAATGGTGGCAACCACAGCCTGCAGAGCTCAATCTATGGTACAGATCAAGCAAGTCAACTTTTTCTTGTAATGTCATGACTTTTCTCTGTTTCTTGGGAGCAATTTCAGTGTCACTAGGGGCACTCTATATGGATCTCATGATATTATTCAAGGTTTATGGTATTACACTAAAAAGAATGAAAAAGTTTGAAACATTGCAAGCATTACCAAAATGTGACACAGAGACACAAAGTGAGCACATGCATTTGGAGAAATGGTGATGATAGTCTTGTTTGATGCAGGGTTGCCACAAACTTTCATTTTGTAAAAAATTCAGTATCCGCAAAGCACAATAAAACAAGGTATGCTTATACTGGGAAGCTCTGTTATTTGGTCCATACACATACACAATTGTTATGTCTTCCTGATAAGTTGATACTTTTATCATTATGAAATGTCCCTCCTTATCTCTGGTAATAATTTTAGTTTCAAAGTCAACTTCATCTGATATTATTGCCACCCAGTCTTCTTATGTTTATTGTCTATGTGGTATATCTTTCTCTTTCTATTCTATTCTTTTACTTTATCTTTACTTTCAATCTAGTGTTTTTATATTTACAGTGTAACTTTCATAGGCAGTGTTCATTAGGTCTAACTTTTGTATCCATTATGACCATCTCTGCCTTTTAATTGGAATGCGTAGTCTATTAATATTTAATATAATAATAATAATTATTATTTTTTGAGAAGGAGTCTCGCTGTGTCACCCAGGCTGGAGTGCAGTGGCACAATCTCAGCTCACTGCAAGCTCCGCCTTCCGGGTTCATGCCATTCTCCTGCCTCAGCCTCCCGAGTAGATGGGACTACAGGTGGCCGCCACCATATCCGGCTAATTTTTTGTATTTTTTAGTAGAGACAGGGTTTCACCATGTTAGCCAGGATGGTCTCGATCTCCTGACCTCATGATCTGCCCACCTTGGCCTCCCAAAGTGCTGGGATTACAGGCGTGAGCCACCGTGCCCGGCCTATAATTATTGTTGTGGTTGGATTTAGGTCTACTATTTTCTATTTGTTTTCTGTTGGTCCCATCTGTGTTTTGTTCCTCTGTTCCTCCTTTCCTATATTTTTTTTGAGTTAATTGTACATTTTAGAATTTTATTTTAATATATCTATTGGCTTCTTATTTATGACTATTTGCATTAGTTTTTAGTGATTATTCTAGGGATTAATATATACACTCTTAACTTTCTTAATTACTTACGGCTACTTTTGCACCACTTTACATGAAATATACAAATCTTGCACTTGTACAGGTCCTTTTACTCTCCCATTCTTTTTGATATAGTTTTCATGTATCTAGATACATTTTACCAATATCCATATACATCTGTACACATTGTAAACAATGTCTTAATTTTTGCTTTAAATAGTTATATGTATTTTAAAGAAATTAAAGGGGAAAAGTCTTTCATGTTCACCCAAATGCTTAACATTTCTTATGCTCTTCATTCCGCCTTGAAATTCCAAGTTGCTATGTACTGTGGTCTGAATGTTTGTGTCTCCCTAAGATTCATATGTTGAAAAAACCCTAAGGTGATAGTATTAAGAAGCGGGACCTTTGGGAGGTGATTAGGCCATGAGGATGGGACCCTCATAAATGGGTTTAGTGCCTTTATAAAAGAGCCCAAGGAAGCTCAGTTGCCTCTTTCACCATATATATATGGTGGAGGATATAACAAGAAGACATCATCTGTCAAGCAGAAAGTGGGCCCTCACCAGACACCAAATCTGCTGACACTTTTAGCTTCCCAGGCCCCAGAATTGTAAGAAATAAATTTCTGTTTACAAGCTACCCAGTGTACGGTATTTTGCTGTACCAGCCTCAATGGGTTAAGATGTGATAACTTTTCCATTATTCTAAAGAACTTATATTGTAGTATTTCTTAGAGTTCAGATCTGCCAGTAATTAATTATCTTAGATTCTGTGTTATCTGAAAAATGTCTTCATTTCACTTTCATTCTTGAAGAATATTTTTACTGGATATAGATATTCTGGATTGAGAGTATTTTTCTTTTATACTTTAAAGACGTTACTCCACTGTCTTCTGTCCTCCGTTGTTTCTGCAGAGAAATCAGTGATAATTGACATTGTTGCTCTCCATTGTAAACTATGTTTTCTTTAGCTACTTTCAAGATTTTCTTTTTGCCTTTGGTTATTAGTAATCTGATGGTTACTTAATTGATAAATGTTGTGTATGTTCTGATTGTTCCACTGACCAGCCATCCCCCAATCTCCCTCCCTCTCCTCAGTCCTCCCTATTCCCTGAGACATAACAATATTGAAATTAGGCCAATTAACAAAATTGCTATTGTTAACAATTTCAATAACAATATTGAAATTAGGCCAATTAATAATGTTACAATGGTTTCTAAGTGTTCATGTGAAAGGAAGAGTCACACATCTCTCACTTTAAATCAAAAGATAGGAATGATTAAGCTTAGTGAGGAAGCCATGTTGAAAGCTGACATAGGCCTAAAGCTAGGCCTCTTGCTCCAGTTAGCCAAGTTGTGAATGTGAAGGCAAAGTTCCTGAAGAAATTAAAAGTGCTACGCCAGTGAACACATGAATGATAAGAAAGTGAAAGAGCCTTATTGCTGATATAGAGAAATTTTTAGTGGTCTACTTAGAAGATGAGACCAACTACAACATTCTCTTAAGCCAAAACCTAACTCACAGCAAGGCCCTAACTCTCCTCAATTCTGTGAAGGCTGAGAAAGGTGAGGGAGCTACAGAAGAAAAGTTGGAAGCTACCAGGGGGTAGTTCATGAGGTTTAAGAAAATAAGCCATCTCCATTATACAGAAGGGTAAGATGAAGCAGCAAGTATTGATATAGAAGTTACAGAGAGTTATCCAGAAGATCTAGCTAACATAATTGATGAAGGTTGCTACAGTAAACAACAGGTTTTTGATGTAGAAGAAATAGCTTTTCATTGGAAGAAGATGCCATCTAGAACTTCCATAGCTAGAGAAGAGACATCAGTGCCTGGCTTCATAGGAGAGGCTGATTCTCTCATTAGGGGCTAATCCAGCTGGTAAATTTTAGTTGAAGCCAATGCTCATTGACAATTCTTAAAATCCTAGGGTCCTTAAGAACGATGCTAAAGCTACTCTGCCTGTGCTCTATAAAGAGAACAAAGAAGCCCAGATGATAGCACATCTGTTTACAGCATGGTTTACTGAATATTTCAAGTCCATTATTGAGAACTATTGCTCCAGAAAAAAAGTTTTCTTTCAAAATCGGACTTCTCATTGACAGTGCACCTAGTGACCCAGGAACAGTGATGGAGATGTACAGGAGATTAATGCCGTTTCATGCCTGCCAACACAGTGTCCATGCTGCAGCCCATGAATCAAGGAGTAATTTCAAATTTCAAGTCTTATTTAAGAGATACATTTTGTGAGGCTGTAGCTGCCATACATACCGATTCCTGTGATGGAGCTGGGCTAAGTAAATTAAGAACCTTCTGGAAGAGATTTGCCATACTAGATGCCATTATGTGGTCTTGCATGTCACGGGAGGAGGTCAAAATATCAACATTTTAAAGTTTTTTCTTTTTTATAAATATTTTTGGAGACAGGGTATCACTCTGTCACCAGGCTGCAGTGAAGTGGCACAATCATAGCTCGCTGTAGCCTCGAAATCCTGGCCTCAAATAATCCCATCTCTGTTCCCCAAGTAGCTGGGCCTACAGGCATGCATCTAAAATATCCACATTAACGGGGATTTGGAAGAAGTTGATTCCAGCCATCATGGATGACTTTGAGAGGGTCAGGACTTTAGTGGAGGAAGTCAATGCAGAGGTGGTGGGAATAGCAAGAGAATTCGAATTAGAAGTGGAACCTGAAGATATGACTGAATTGCTGCAATCTCATCATAAAACTTCAACAAATGAAGCGTTGCTTCTTACGGATGAGCAACGAAAGTGGTTTCTTGAGATGGAATCTACTCCTGTTGAAGATGCTGTGAACATTCCTGAAACAACAACAAAGGATTTAGAATATTACCTAAGCCTAGTTGACACAGCAGCGGCAGGATTTGAGAGGACTGACTCTAATTTTGAAAGAGGTTCTACCATGGGTAAAATGCTATTAAACAGCATCACAAGCTACAGAGAAATCTTTTGTGAAAGCAAGTGTCAATGAACGCAGCAAATTTCACTATTGTCTTATTTTCATAAATTGCCACAGCCACCCTAACCTTCAGCAACCACCATCCTGCTAAGTTAGCAGCCATCAATATTGAGGCAAGACTCTTCACCAGCAAAAACATTATGACTTGCTAAAGGCTTGGATAATTGTTAGCAATTTTTTAGCAATAAAGTATTTTTATTTTTATTTATTTATTTTTTGAGATGGAGTCTCACTCTGTCACCCAGGCTAGAGTGCAGTGGCGTAATCTCAGCTCACTGCAACCTCTGCCTCCCAGGTTCAAGTGATTCTCTCACCTCAGGCTCCTGAGTAGCTGGGATTACAGGCACACACCACCACACCCGACTAATTTTTATATTTTTAGTACAGATGGGGTTTCACCATGTTGGCCAGGCTGGTCTCGAACTCCTGACCTCAAGTGACCCCTCTGCCTTGGCCTCCCAAAGTTCTGGGATTACAGGCATGAGCCATCGCACCTGGCCTGAAGTATTTTTAAATTAAGATGATAGGTACATCTTTTTTTAGACATAGTGCTATTGGACACTTAATACACTTTAGTATAGTATAAAGATAACTTTTAAGTGCACTGGGAAACCAAAATATTCAGGTGATTTGCTTTATTGCAATACTTGCTTTATTTATTTATTTATTTTTATTTTTTATTATTAGATGGAGTGTCACTCAGACTGGAATGCGGTGGTGTCATCTTGGCTCATTGCAACCTCTGCTTCCCAGGTTCAAGCGATTCTCCTGCCTTAGCCTCCCAAGTAGCTGGGATTACAGGCGCCCAACACCATGCCTGGCTGATTTTTGTATTTTTAGTAGAGACAGGGTTTCACCATTCAGACCACGCTGGTGTCGAACTCCTGACCTCAAATGATCTACCCACCTCAGCCTCCCAGAGTGCTGGCATTACAGGTGTGAGCCACCGTGCCCAGCCTATACTTGCTTTATTGTAGTGGTCTGGAACTGAACCTACAATATCTCCAAGGTATGTCTGTACATAACATCAGAAAGTTGCATGGGACATTTGATGATTCTACATGGGAGAGAAGGTGATAGGAAGTAAACTGTTGGTGGCAGGAGAATGGAGGTACTGGGTTCAGGTAAGCACTTGTGTGGCATTTCACCTCCCCCAACAGTGGAAAGTCTGGCTTATTCCTCTGACCTTTATGAACAAGACATTCCTATGTCCTTAGACGTTCTTTACTATGACTTCTACAACAACCTGGGCATCATATGGAAGGTGAGTGACCTTATGTATGATAACTAACAGTGTTATGAATTTGGGCTCAACAGACTTTCTTGAGATCTTTGAGAACTTGCCCTTGCCTGCCGTTGTGCCACATGCTATGAATCCTCTGCCTTCAAATAGCTTAAAATATATTTGGGGAGGTAAGTCAGAAAGACATAAAAACAATTCCTAACACTATAAGGCACCATTGAAGTTTCAAATAATCCATTCAGATACAAAGTCACCAGGGAAAGAGAGTATTTAAGAATAGTAGGATTTAGAAAGGAATGGGGTTTGGGACTCCAGGAGTGGGTGTGCTGTGAGCAAAAGAAGACAATGATCTTGATGATCTTGGCTTCCCAGGAAACAGAGAGCATGGGACACTGGCTGGAGGGGAACTTCACAGAATCATCCCGCCCTTCAGATGAAAGAAGCAGATGAAGACCTAAGGTTATTGTTGGCTTCCTCTTTTGCCATTCATAAAACAATATACATGTTTGAATAGAAGCTTTGCAAACAATGATCGGGATGGTTGGCCAGATGTACCCTACAGGAGGTGGGAGAAAAGCAGCAATCTGTCCTAGCCCCAGGCAGGGAATGTATTATTTTATGCCAAGCAGAGCCCCCAAAATAGTGTAAAAAGCCAAGATCTCCGCTGTTGGTGTGATGAATTTCCCAGGAAGGGGAGAACAGAGGGGCTCCTTCCTTCTCTCTAAAACAAAGGAGAATGATTTGGCCCCAAGCAGAAGCAAGCAGAGGATAAATATTTACTGGCAATTTAAGGAAACAAGGGATGACGTTGCTCTGTCCCAACCAATGGAGTTGCTTCTCTTTACTTGATGTTCTCTCAGCATTGTGTACACAGTTTCTACCTCCCTATGAGGCACTTGCATCTCTAACATCTTGGGATTTTTCTTCTCATTCTTTTGGATATGGGTGTCTCACTACCATATGATTACAAGCACCCCAGAGGCAGGAGCTACTTCCTCTTCCCCTTCAAGTGCCCCTGAGTTTCAGGATACTGCAATGCAATGAACGGGTGTATAGTTGATGTGCCTGTCTAGTTAATCAAATGAATCTGGACAGAGCTGCTTTCTCTGCAGCTTTTACTACCCAGACCCCCACGTGTAGGCTGACTGGGCACAGGCTGAGATAACCAACTGCCCTACAGGAACTCTGGAAGAAGAGGCCACTGATAACCTGGCCCCTGCTGTGCTGTTCAGTGTCTGTGACTCTGAGAGCACAATAGATTTTTCCTATCTCACTACAGAAATTCCATGGTGCCAGAGAGGAGGCCTTGGCTTGAGCCAGAGCCAGCTTTGTAAAAAGTATATAGTGGGACACAGAGGGTATTATGTTAAAAAAGAGAATACCATAGAAGGGGCAGAACTAAGCAAAAATGATACCACCTCACTATAAAGAACATTTTTCTAATCCATCATTTGAATGCAAAAGCTACAAATAGTTTGTTGAGTGTCTATATCTACAAAGCACAAAGGTAGGGGCTAGCATAGGAAACTGCTAAAAGCTTAAAGTTTAACTTTGAAGAATGAGTAGGATTGGATTTCTAGGCCTGGCAATATGGCCAACTAAGAAGGTTTCAACAAAAATGTTTTTCAATGCACAGATGAGCTCTCAAGAAAGAAAATTACATCTCTTGTTTCCAAAAATGCAGACAGAAGTTTAAAACAAAGAGCCCAGAAAAAACATGAGAGACATTATAACTTCTCTAGGGGAGAGGTTGGAAGAATGAGCATTAAAAAACATGTGACCCGGGCGGTGCTTCTCAAACTGTAATGTACACAGGAGTCATCTCTAAGTCTTGCTAAGATAAAAATTCTGATTCTGCAGTGGGGACTAAGGGTCTATTTCTGACAGCCCACAACATGCTGCTTCTGTGGCTGCTGGTTCAGGGCCCCCACTAGGGATCTATGTAGCATTGCGTCTTAAAGCCAACATTGAGACTACATGTTAACCTCAGCAAGGCTTTGAGCCTGATAAAACCATGGAGCTGGTAACTGAAATTCCTGCATTAAGCTGGAACCCTGCTAGAGCTGCCTCCTTGGTTATAAGATCAACTAGAAAAATCTACCCGTCAGTACCAAGGTATTACAAGAAAGTTTTTCTGTTTCTGGGTGGAGAGATAAAGTCTCTCTTGAAAAATTGGAACTCTAAGCCTATACCTTGCATGGATGAAGGATTCAAATTTATTTATTCGGCCTAGGAACCCGTAAGTTCAGGAACAAACATAAGAAAAAAAAAAAAACAGGTCTTAGGACTGGGCATGGTGGCTCACACCTGTAATCCCAGCACTTTTTGAGAGGCCAAGGCGGGCTGATCACTTGAGATCAGGAGTTCGAAACCAGCCTGGCCAACATCGTGAAACCCTGATTCTACTAAAAATATAAAAATTGGCCAGGCATGGCGGCGGGCTCCTGTAATCCCAGCTACTTGGGAAGCTGAGGCAGGAGAATTGCTTGAACCCGGTAGGCGGAGGTTGCAGTGAGCCGAGATTGCGCCACTGCACTCCATTCTGGGTGACAGAGCAAAACCCTGTCTCAAAAAAACAAAAAACAAAAAAAAAAGCAAGTCTTAGTTAAGTGATACCCACAGAGTCCCTGGCAGAAATAGAGATAATAACATTAGAAGGATATTCTCACAACCCATGCCATGAGAAATTTTTACACACACACAATGTATATAAGAGCACAAATTGAAAATTACAAAATACATAAGACAACAATTCACCATTCATTCACCAAGAATGAGCAGACAAAATAAATAGGAGAATTAGACTTGATAGAACAGAATGGCAATCAGAAAGAGAATATGAAAGAAAAATGTTTGAAATGATTAAATACATATCTACAGAAGACAAAACCCCTAGAAGAGAACAAGGCACTATGAAAGTAGAAAAAAAGATTTAAAAAAAGAATTTTAATGAATAAGTCTCATCATTGAGATTAAAATGCAGGGCACAGCGTAACTGCAGATCAGCAAAACTGAATAGCGAATATGGGAATTGTAAAATAGATCATTGTCATCTGCGATTGTAAAATATATGCACAGATTACCCTCTGCAACCAGAGAGATAAAGAGATAGAAAATATTACAGCATGTTAAGAGTAATGGAGATGAAGAGTCGACATTTCACCGGATTTGAGTTTTGAGAGAATGAATAAGAATTCATACTTGAAGATGTTAGTCCCAGGCAGGACAGAGGAAACCAAATCTATAGCAAGAAGCCTTGTACTGAAGCTACTGAACACACACACACACACACACACACACACACACACACACACGATTTACAAAACCTTAAAAATATACAAGGGAAAAGGGAGAGAGAGAGAGGAGAAAAAAAAAAAAAACAGAAGGGAGGAGAGGAGGAAGCAATGAGAGAAAAAGACAGATTACACAGAGCATAACAATTCGCCTGACAAAAGGCTTCTCAGCGACAGCGACGGACACCAGAAGATGGTGGAATAATATTTCCAGCTGCTCGTGGAAAGTAATTTTAATCTAGAAACTATAGAGGGCTAAACTATTGAACAAATATAGAGATGAAACAAAAAAATATTCAGATTAAGGCCGGGTGTGGTGGCTCACACCTGTAATCCCAGCATTTTGGGAGGCAAGGCGGGTGGATCACTTGAGGCCAGGAGTTCGAGACCAGCCTGGCCAAGATGGTGAAACCCCATCTCTACTAAAAATACAAAAATTAGCTGGGCATGGTGGTGGGTGCCTGTAATCCCAGCTACTCAGGAGGCTGAGGCAGGAGAATCACTTGAACCCAGGAGGCGGAGGTTGCAGTGAGCTGAGATTGTGCCACTGCACTCCAGCCTGGGCAACAGAGCAAGACTCCATCTCTCTCTTTATATATATATACAAATTAAGACTAAGATAATATATTATTCACAGGCCCTCAATGAAAAAGAGTATATTTTCTAAAGAAGAAAACTGAACCCAAGTGGAAAGAATCAGATACAAGAAGCATTGGAATCTTAATCGAAAACAACATGACAATAAATGTGCAAAACAAGGGTTGGGGCAGTGGTCTCAGGGATTTGTTTCACTTTTCCACACACTTAGGGGCAGGGGATGGTTTGGGGATGAAACTGCTCCACCTCAGATCATCAGAGATTAGATTCTTATAAGAAGCGTGTAGCCTACATCCCTCACATGTACAGTTCACAATAAGGCTCAAGCTCCTATGAGAATGGAATGCTGCTGCTGATCTGACAGGAGGCAGAGCTCGGGCAGTAATGCGAGTGATGCGAAGCGGGTGTCAATACAGATGAAGCTTCTGACTGCTGCTCACCTCCTGCCCTGTGGCCCAGTTCCTAATAGGCCATGAACCAGTACCAATCCATGGCCTGGGGCTGGGGGATCCCTGAGTTAGGGGACTTGGAGGGCTTTTATGGAAAGAAATAGTTGAAATGCATACACTTTGACCTTCAAGAGACTCTGTACTATGTGAGGCTGGATGTGAGCCTGGCTCTAGCAGAGGGCTCCTTTGGTGACTAAGTGTAAAGTAAAGATGTTAAGGCGGATGCTTAATCCTCTGACCCTGCTGCACTTTTTTCTTAGAACTTCTCATTACCTGGCATGGTACTGGTTCATGCCAGTACTGTGCTTTATTTGTTTCTTGACTTTCTCTCCTATTATAATGTCCATGAGGAGTTGGACATGTTGGTGAATGCCTGTAACCCCAGTTACTTGGGAGGCAGAGGTGGGAGGATTGCCTGAGCCCAGGAGTTGGAGGCTGGAGTAAACAATGATTGTACTGCTGCACTCCAGCCTGGGCAACAGAGCAATACCCTGTCTCTAAGAAATAAGTAAATAAATAACTTCTATGAGGGCAAGGACTTTGTCTATTGTGTTCCCTGGCCTGGCGCATAATTAGTGCTTACATATGATTGAACACAAGAAAGGGAAAAAATTGTGCAGGGTTTCAAATGTATGGGGTGCAGACTTTCTTCTATGGGGAACAGGTGGGACGAGACTAAGGAAAATAACCAGCATTTCTGAGTGTCCACCAGGTCCTGGGCTATACACACAACATATTATCTTATTTTGCATGGATTGTGGAACAGCAAAAAGCATATATTAGTGATCAAAATGAACTGGACTTCCAATTTGATTTAAAACACAAGCCAAGAATATTTTATTAATCTCAATTCATTGTTTTTAGATGTTACTGTGTATTTCCAAGGGAGATGTGAGCTTTGAGCTTATGTCTAACGCAATATCATGTGTCCGACTGAGGCAGCGGAGATAAGCTCCTGCTCTGTGTTCCTGCTAAAGCTTTCATACTCTGGCATGGCCACACTCAACACCACTTAATGATCTAGTCATTCCAGTTTTCTAACACCTGCCTGGATAGACCCCAGGCTGCAAAAACCCTGAAATTCCGGTTCTAACAACAAATCACTGAAAATCAGAAGGCCCCACCTTGAGCTCACAGCCAGCTCCACCTCCTTGAAGACGGGAGGCCCCTCATGCTCTGTGTTCTTAATGGCACCAGGAAGATCCCCTCCTGGGGCCTCTTGAGGTTAATTGTCTGCAGTAGAGATGTTGAAGCCAGAGAGACTCTCAAATTCTGATGCCTCTACCCCACGCCACCCCTACCAGCAAACTGTAGCCAGTTTCAGATGTACCCTGACCGGAATAGTTCTTTCCATGAATGGCGTCGGACACTGTGTCCTCACTCAAAGTCCCGATGGCATGAGGGTGACCTTGTACACACAGGATCCAGGGCAAAGAACAAGACGTATTCCCAGTCCTCACCTACAGCCAACACGTGACCTAAGAAGACCTTTTGGAGAACAGCCTGAGCAGCTGGGCAGCCATATAGAAAACTGCTAGCTGTGCATCTACAGGCTGATGGAACAATCACGACCTGTCCTCATGGAGAAGCGTCCGAGGTGTGGCCCCATGTTCCTGCCACACTGCATTGACTCTTTCTCCAATGGAGTCTCGGGTACTCTTCCTTTCTGCCTTTTCTGGTATTTGCAATCTCCACCTTCACCACTTGCTTCTTTCCCCGGGGTTGAAACAAGTTCACAAATGAACACATAAATAAACCCTTCCTCTTTCCCCTGTACATCTCCTTACTCTATCATCACCCACTCTCCCTGAATTTGTGCCCGAAATAACCCCTGCTGCTGACAGCCCCCAAGAGCAGCCCAGTCGACTTATCCAAGGGTCCTTTCTTCTTCCTTTGAACATAACTTTAAATAAGTCTTTTGTCCTAGATAGCACGCTCTAGAAGTACAAGGAGTACATCTTAGACTTCTTGTTAACCCCGAGCTTTGTACGCAGCAGGTGCTCACAATTGCTAGAAGGGATGGAGAGAAAAAGGGATTGATTCAGAAAATGATGTCACTGCAGGCAGTATTCTTTCAAAGGAGTGAGTTTCTGAACTTGTAGACCTTGAAGAAATTGTAAAGGATCTGATTTCAGACCCAGTGGAAGCTGCAAGAACAATGTGGTTTCGAGTTCTGCTGTTTCATTATCCCGGGTTGATTCAGCTGGCTGGGCGGGTGCCCTCTTTTCTCTCTAGGAGCTCCAGCTGCCCCTCCAAGCCCCTCTTCTGGCCTGGCATTCCCCAGCCTGCAGTGGAGGTCAGAGCAGATCCTACCGTATTCAGAGAAGTAGGAAACGCGAGCTTGAATCTTCTTCAGTGTTCTCAAGAGAGTGAGATATTGGCAAGCACCTGTTTTCTCAGCACTGAGAAAAGGGATCAGGGATTGATGAGTGGAAGACACTAATTCAAGTAATGAAGGGCTTTTGCTCTCATTTTGACAAGATGAAAAACCACACAATAATTTATGAACCACGCAGGCAACTTTTAATCACCACGATTACTATAGACAGGCAAGGGCAGTGTTGATAGGAGTGTGGGAGAGAGCTTCCTGGAGGAGGTGAGGTGGAAGCTTCTCCTGGTGCAATGTGCAGTGTGGGAACAATGTCCAAGAACCATGGTTTGCAGGTCTGTGGCATGACCTAAAGGCTTTGGAAGGCCCCAGAAGACAAAAGCACATGTCAAAGCTACAGACACTTTGCAGTTCCTTTCAAAGGGCTCACAGGATGGAAATGGAGTCAGCGAGAGGGGCATCTACCATGCTGTTAAACGGAGAAGAGAGGTTTGGAGATTTGGGGACTGGGCTTTTGCACACCAGGGACAAAGCATGAGTGCAGCTTGTGATAAGAATTGATTTCTTCCCGGCCCCAGTCACCCCTGCTTTTGGTGATAGTTTCCATTTAAAAGCGAATTCCTATGAAAGGAGCGCGGGGGCCTGCCCCGTGCCTGCGACCTGGGGTGGAGCAGACAAACACTGAAAAAGGGCTGACATGTATGGATGCCTCTGGTGATAGCAGTGGTTATATTTAGTCCCAAGCTCAAGTTAAACAGGGGGCCTCCTGCAATATGTATGAAGAGAGCACCAAGAGCAAACACAAGTGCAGGGCCAGTAAAAATAAAAGAGCAAAGTGCAAGACTCGAAAGAGTAAATATGCACAGGCTCTGGCCCCAAGATATGCCAGGTGGGTGGAGCTAGACACTGTGAACAGGGCCAGGAGAGCCAGTGCCACTGCAGAGGGGCCCCTTCCCATTGTCAAGTGCTCATAGTGAGTACAACAAATCCTCCAAGGCCTCCTGCCTTTACCATCCACTCTCCAGCTGCATGCTTAAGAAAAGGCTGGGAAATAATCATCCTGGGTCCCAGTTTCTTCATCTATAAAATGAGAGGACCGAGATGCAAAAAAAACAAATTCCTCTCCTGCATTAGGATTTTTCCAACTCACCTTACTAGCTGCCTGGAAAGGTGTGAGGCTGAATGACACCTCCTTTGTTCTCCAAACACTGTTGACATAGTGACCCAACTGTTAGTTATCTTGATCATGTCCTCTAAGGGATCAACTGAGCAAAGAGCCAAAGAACCCACTTTTTTTTTTTTCTTTTTCAGAACTAGAGTTGATCTACTTTCAAGTTTAACAGCTCAGCTCCTAAAGGAAAATCTGACTCTCTGTGTAGCAGCAATACACTGGGCTGGCAGCCTCTTATAGCACCTTGAAGCATATTAGAAAAAGTTACTCTCTCCAGGTAGGCAGAGTCTTCAGGGCCCCCAGCTTGGTGAAGGGAGCTCAAGCTGCATCTCGTCACCTCCCCACCCCAACCCTCTCCACTCAACCCTTGGCCGGCACTTCCGTGGGGCAGAACCTACACAATCCTACACCTTAATATAGCAGCTGGCTGTCAGTCAAAGTCAGGAAGGTTTATTTTCTTGATGCCTGTTCCTTGCTTACAGGGCCTCTTTTTCATGTCCACTCAACTGTCTGGATTCTTCTGCTTTTTGTTTCATGTACTCTCCTTTCTCTCTGATGTGTCATCTCCATACAAGTAAGCATGAAGTTGGTGCAAAAGTAATTACTTTCAATGGCAAAAGCCGCAATTACTTTTGCACCAACCTAATAATAGCGTGATAACACACAGATTCACAAAACAGGTCATACTTTTATTCACCAGTCTAGGCTGTACCTTCCTGAAAGTCAGGGACATGGTTTATCTGAGCAAAACGCTTGACCCATAGTGGATATTCAGTAAATACTGTTGAATGAATGAAAAACAATCTCCCAGTGGTTCTAAATTGCCTTTGAATCATGGATTTCTTTGAAATCTGATGGAAGCCAGGGTGATATGATTTTGCTCTGTGTCCCCACCCAAATCTCATCTCGAATTGTAATCCCCATGGGGAGGGGCCTGGTGGGAGGTGATTGGATCAAGGGGGTGGTTTCCCCTAGGCTGTTCTCCTGATAGTAAGTGAGTTCTCACGAGATCTGATGGTTTAAAAGTGTGGCACTTCCCCTGCATCTTGCCGTCTGCCTCACTTCCCCTTCTCCTTTTGCCAAAAATGTAAGTTTCCTGAGGCTACCCCAGCCATGCGGAACCGTGAGTCAATTAAACCTCTTTTCTTCATAAACTACCCAGTCTCAGGTAGTTCTTTATAACAGTTTGAAAAGGAACTAATACACAGGGATATTTTCTCGCAAAATGAACATGTACAAACATACTAAATTTTGCATACAGTTTGGGAAGGATCACCAACTCCTAGCAGGAAGGGATTTAGATTTTAAGCCAGGATAAAAAGGTGTGATCCCTTTAAAAAAAAAAAAAAAAAAGGTTGCGGGGGGGACTAGAAATGAACTAGGACCTGACCCTCACCAAGAATCTAATGTGTCACCGGGTAACGGGTCTGTCATCTTCTTTAATCCTTACAACCACCCTTTAAATAGGCATTACTATCTTCATTCTACCAACGAGAAAATGAGGTTTCAATAGCTTTTCCACTGTGAAACATCAGACCGAATATTCAATCCAAGTCTCTTTTACCTGCAAACTCATATTCTTCTGCTATGTCATTATGCCTCCAAATATTACAAATTCTCAGGATTCTACAGTCAATTCCCATTTATTGTGTTTTGATGGATGAGGCCCTTTAAAAAAACTACCATCTAAACCAAGCAAACAAATGCATCTTAAATATAGTCATATATTTTAGATTAGACAACTTTATAAAGGATTCCTATGGCGTTTTAACAAAATCTATAAAATGATTGCCAAATGTATCTTGCACATTATATTTTCCTTAGATTCTTAGACTAACAGTAAAGCAAAATGAAACCAACATCTCAGCTAATCAGAATGCCCCTCACTGGCACCTGTGACTAGGTTAATGTGCTTCTGTCCATGCTGAAAGAAAGCAAAACAGAAGATAAGAGTCTTGACTTTAGCATACATTGACTCATTCACTTACACCGTGGATAGAAACACAAACTGCAGGGTCAGAAAGACCTAGGTTTGAGTTCTATCCTTTTCGCTAGTTGTTAAGAGACCTTAGGCAAGTTACTTAACTTTGAAAAGGCTTAGCTTCCTCATTTTAAATGAGGGTATTCACGGTAACTATTTCAGAGGAATTGTTATTATTATCATTTTTTGTATTTTAAATATACAGTAGGAACATTTATTTTAACACTTCTAAAAGATATTTCTCCATGCCTGATGATTTGATATAAAAATCAAACCCATCATACTTTCCCCATCAGTCTCTCTACATTTAGGGCAATCAGAAATTTGTACAACACGAATATTTGCTTCTGAAATGAAAATTACAAATTTTATTGAAGGGGTTAATGAATAATGCACTTAAACTTCATAGTGCAATGCTTGGCTTGTAGTAAATGTGCAGTAAATGTTAGCTACAATTTTTCATCTTTACCATCTTGGTCTTCATCGATGTGGTTCTACAACGAGCTGACATGAACAGAATGATGGCCCTGAGGTTCAACAGAACTGGTAGTTTGCCACATGACTCAGCAATTCCACTCACAGTTGTCTGCCCAAAAGAAATGAAAGCATGTGTCGATAATACCAATACCGTTAGCAAAGACTGCGGCATTATTCGTAATAACCAAAAAGTAGAAACAACCCCAAAGGTCCATTGATAGGTAAAAGGATAAATAAATTGCTGTATCATACAATGGAATGCTCTACAGTGGTAAAGAGAACAAAAGCCACGTGAAAAAGAGTATATAGTGTATGCTTATTTATTTATTTGGTTGGGGTTTCTGTTTCTTTCTTTTTTTTTTTTTTTTTGAGAGAGAGAGTGTCCCGCTCTATTGCCCAGGCTGGATTGCAATGATACCGTCACAGCTCACTGCTGCCTTGACCTCCCAGGCTCAACTGATTCTTCCAACTCAGTCTCCTGAGTAGTTGGGATCACAGGCATGCACCACCACACCTGGCTAATTTTTTATTTTTTGTAGAAACAAAGTCTCACTATATTGTCCAGGCTGGTCTTGAACTCCTGGGCTCAAGCAAACCTCCTGGCTCCCTAAGTGCTGGGATTACAGGCATGAGCCACTGTGCCTGGCCCTGTATGATGATTTATACAAAATTCTGAAAAAAGTTGAACTAATCAGTAGCATTGGAGTTCAAATCTTACTTGGGGAGAAGGAAGAAGAGAGCACAAGAACTCTTTGTTGGTTGGATGGATATGCTCATCATATCCTGGTGATGGTTTTATGGGTATATACAGATGTTAAAACTTACCAAATTGTGGCCGGGTGTGGTGGCTCATGCCTGTAATCCCAGCACTTTGAGAGGCTGAGGCAGGTGGATCATTTGAGGTCAGGAGTTCGAGACCAGCCTGGCCAAAATGGTGAAACCCTGTCTCTACTAAAAATACAAAAATTAGCCGGATGTGGTGGGGGGGCGCCTATAATCCCAGCTACTCGGGAAGCTGAGGCAGGAGAATCATTTGAGCTTGGGAGGCAGAGGTTGCAGTGAGCCGAGCTTGCACCACTGCACTCCAGTCTGAGTGACAGTGAGAGCCTGTCTGAAACAAACAAACAAACAAAAAACTTACCAAATTGTATATTTGAAATATGTGCAATTTGCTGTAAGTCAATTATACCTCAATAAGGCTGTTTAACATTTTTTTCTATTTCTTTATTAAAAATTTTTTTTTTATTTCAATAGGTTTTTGGGGAACAGGTGGTATTTGGTTACATGAATAAGGTCTTTTGTGGTGACTTCTGTGATTTTGGTGCACCCATTGCCCAAGCAGTGTACACTGTACCCAAGGTGTAGTCTTTTTATCCCTCACCTCCCTCCCAACCATTGCCTGGAGTCCCCAAAGCCCACTGTATCCTTCTTTTTGTTATTGTTGTTGAGATGGAGTCTCACTTATTCTGTCACCCAGGCTGGAGTGCAAAGGCGCCATTTCGGCTCACTGCAACCTCTGCGTCCCGGGTTCAAGCGATTCTTGCTTCGGCCTCCCAAGTAGCTGAGATTACAGCTCAAGCTACCACACCCAACTAATTTTTTGTATTTTTAGTAGAGATGGGGTTTCACCATGTTGGCCAGGCTGGTCTCAAACTCCTGACCTCAGGTGATCCACCCGCCTCAGCCTCCCAAAGTGCTGGGATTACAGGCGTGAGCCACTGCGCTCGGCCAATTATTTGTATTTTTAGTAGAGACAGGGTTTCACCATTTTTGCCAGGCTGGTCTCATACTCCTGACCTCAAGTGATCAGCCCACCCCAGCCTCCCAAAGTGCTGGAATTACAGGTGTGAGCCACTGTGCCCGGCCCATTGTATCATTCTCATGTCTTTGCATCCTCATAGCTTAGCTCCCACTTAGGAGTGAGAACATGCGATGTTTGGTTTTCCATTCCTGAGTTACTTCACTTAGAATAATGGTCTCCAATTCCACTCAGGTTGCTGCAAATGCCATTATTGCATTTCTTTTTATGACTGAGTAGTATTCCATGGTGTATATACATATACCATAATTTCTTTATCCACTATTTGATTGACGGGCATTTGGGTTGTTAAGCATTTTTTTTTAATTAACAAAAATTTAAACTTCTGCAATGGCTTTTATTGCTTTCAGAATAAAATCCACATTCTTTATGATGTATATAGTGCTTGTTTATGTCTTTTCTTCTTTCTTCTTTTCTTTCTTTTAAAAAAGTCTCTTAACTGCCTACTAAATGATAAATTACTCTTTTTTTTTTTTTTTTTTTGACAGAGTGTCATTCTGTCACCTAGGCTGGAGTGCAGTGGCACAATCTTGGCTCACTACAACTTCTGCCGCCCTGGTTCAAGTGATTCTCCAGCCTCAGCCTCCTGCGTAGCTGGGACTACAGGCGCACGCCACCGTGTCTGGCTAATTTTTGTATTTTTAGTGGAGACCGGTTTTTACCATGTTGGCCAGGCTGGTCTCGAACTCAGCCTGTGATACTCAGGAGATCCACCTGCCTCAGCCTCCCAAAGTGTTGGGATTACAGGCGTGAGCCACCGCACCTGGCCCTAAATGATAAATTACTTCTGAAGAGAGGCCCTGTTTGTTTGGTTTACCACTGGGTCCCCAGTACCAAATGCAATGCCTAGCACAAAAACACTCGACTGTTAATGAGTGAATAAAAAACAGAAAATCATGAAAAGCCAAAGAGTAATACAAAAAATATAAAAAATATGTAGCATATGAAAGCGGGGAGAAAGCGCTGGGGATTGAATAGTCACAAAAGGCTTCATGGGGAGGCACACACAAAGGGTCCTGAAGGATGGAGGGGGTGTAAATGGGAAGAGAGAAGAAAGGGGGACTTCCAGAGGAAGCGGGAGAGCTAGAAGAGTAAAGGCAGAGAGGGAATGGGTTCGTTTGGGACCTGGGTAGGAAAGGTGGCTTCGTCTAGAGAGTGAAGAGCCCTGACTCCCATCATAAAGGCAATATTTAGGATCTGCAGGATGGGTGCGTGAGATTGAAGAAAAGAAGAATGTCAGGAGAAAGTCAGACAGAAAGTGGGAACAGAGGCCGGGCACAGTGACTCACGCCTGTAATCCAGCATTTTGGGAGGCTGAGGCGGGAGCATTGCTTGAGCCCAAAAGTCTGAGGCTGCAGTGAGCCATGATCATGCAATTCCAGCCTGGGTGACAGAGTGAGATCCCGTCTGAAAAGAAAAAAAAAAAAAAAAAAGATGGCAATAGAAGTAAAGAGATGGACATTTCATTTCATAGAACGGGACTTTGGATCACTTAGGCCTCTTCTCAAAGCATGCCTGAAATGTACAATCAACATCAGGCAGCTGGACCACACTTCCGAGGTCAGCCCCAAGCCACCGCTCCTCCCTCCTGATCATCCTCACAGTGAGCCCTTTCACAGTCCAGCAGTGACGTTGTCCAAGTTCTTTCATGGTGCCTCTCCTGTGACTACCTCCATGGGAAAGAAAGCATTGCTTCTGGGGTACTTGGCCCTGGTTCAAGGCTTGAGAGAAGGCCAATCCCTTGATGAAGAACCAAGGGTAGGTGTCCTCAGACACCCCTTGTTTTGAGGCCATACTCTTCCCCAGCCTCCAAGATCCTGGGAGCCGGGGCTGGATTTGTAATCCAGCACCTCTTTATAAACTCAGCAGGAAACCCTTAGAGGACCTGGCTTTGTTTTGAAAGGAGAAGAGAGGAAGCAAAGCAACTGAAAAGGCACTGTTGACTTTTCATTCAAGGCTAAAGCCAAATAGAATGTGTTTGCTCTGCACTGAATGCCATGCAATGGAGAGTTTGTACTTGAACCTCATGAATGGCCCAAAGTAAACGTCCTCTCTACCTCAGGCCCTCAGCAATACATTTAGACAGTGCTTCAGGCTTATCAAGTACTTTCACAGACATTATCTCATTTGATCCTCAGGTCAGCCTATGACGCAAGGGGGATTATTATGATTTCTATATTCCAGATGACCCAGTGCCCTGCAGCTAGGCGGCGAGGGCTCCCGAAACATTTCTTTAATGAGGCTAGTAAGGCCAAGTGCCTTGCCCCCCGACCCACCCCTACAGATGATCCTTAAACACAGAGCAAACTTCTATTATATAAACATCTGTCCTGGCCGAGCGCAGTGTAATCCTAACAGTTTGGGATTCCAAGGCAAGCAGATGTCTTGAGCCCAGGAGTTCAAGGCCAGCGTGGGCAACATGGTGAAACCCCATTTCTACAAAAAACACAAAAATTAGCTCGGCATGGTGGCATGTGCCTGTAGTCCCAGCTACTCAGGAGTCTAAGGTGGGAGGATCACCTGAAGCAGGGAGGCTTGAGCCCAGGAAGTTGAGGCTGCAGTAAACCATTATCAGGCTACTGCACTCCAGCCTGGGTTTCAGAGTGAGACCCCATCTCAAAAACAAACAAACAAACAAACAAACAAACAACAACAACAAAAGACCTGTCCCATGGATTTGGGCATCCTGTAGCCAATTTGAATTTGCAATGCTGAACTCCTTACCATTACAGAATTAGGTTTTATTAAGAGATAGCCCTCTACGGACTCCAAGTAGGGAGAGGTAGAGAGAACGGGAAGGACTGAAAAGATATCTACTGGGTACCATGTTCACTATTTGGGTGATGGGTTTAATACAAACCCAATCTATTCAATAGAACCCCAGCATCACCCAATACACCCATGTAACAAACCTGCACATGTACTCCCTGAATCTAAAATTTAAAAGTGTTTTCAA